>NC_000005.10:47635210-47961236 GCF_000001405.40 Homo sapiens
AGGCAGAAAAGGAAATATCTTCGTTTCAAAACTAGACAGAATCATTCTCAGAAACTGCTCTGCGATGTGTGCGTTCAACTCTCAGAGTTTAACTTTTCTTTTCATTCAGCAGTTTGGAAACACTCTGTTTGTAAACTCTGCAAGTGGATATTCAGACCTCTTTGAGGCCTTCGTTGGAAACGGGATTTCTTCATACTATGCTAGACAGAAGAATTCTCAGTAACTTCCTTGTGTTGAGTGTATTCAACTGACAGAGTTGAACTTTCATTTAGAGAGAGTAGTTTTGAAACACTGTTTTTGTGGAATTTGCAAGTGGAGATTTCAAGCGCTTTGGGGCCAAAGGCAGAAAAGGAAATATCTTCGTATAAAAACTAGACAGAATCGTTCTCAGAAACTGCTGCGTGATGTGTGCGTTCAACTCTCAGAGTTTAACTTTTCTTTTCATTCAGCGGTTTGGAAACACTCTGTTTGTAAAGTCTGCACGTGGACAGTTTGACCACTTAGAGGCCTTCGTTGGAAACGGGTTTTTTTCATGTAAGGCTAGACAGAAGAATTCCCAGTAACTTCCTTGTGTTGTGTGCATTCAACTCACAGAGTTAAACGTTCCCTTAGACAGAGCAGATTTGAAACACTCTATTTGTGCAATTTGCAAGTGTAGATTTCAAGCGCTTTAAGGTCAACGGCAGAAAAGGAAATATCTTCGTTTCAAAACTAGACAGAATCATTCCCACAAACTGCGTTGTGATGTGTTCGTTCAACTCACAGAGTTTAACCTTTCCGTTCATACAGCAGTTAGGAAACACTCTGTTTGTAAAGTCTGTAAGTGGATATTCTGACATCTTGTGGCCTTCGTTGGAAACGGGATTTCTTCATATTCTGCTAGACAGAAGAATTCTCAGTAACTTCCTTGTGTTGTGTGTATTCAACTCACAGAGTTGAACGAGCCTTTACACAGAGCAGACTTGAAACACTCTTTTTGTGGAATTTGCAAGTGGAGATTTCAGCCGCTTTGAGGTCAATGGTAGAATAGGATATATCTTCCTATAGAAACTAGACAGAATGATTCTCAGAAACTCCTTTGTGATGTGTGCGTTCAACTCACAGAGTTTAACCTTTCTTTTCATAGAGCAGTTAGGAAACACTCTGTTTGTAAAGTCTGCAATTGGATATTCAGACCTCTTTGAGGCCTTCGTTGGAAACGGGATTTCTTCATATTCCGCTAGACAGAAGAATTCTCAGTAACTTCCTTGTGTTGTGTGTATTCAACTCACAGAGTTGAACGATCCTTTACACAGAGCAGACTTGAAACACTCTTTTTGTGTAATTTGCAAGTGGAGATTTCAGCCGCTTTGAGGTCAATAGTAGAAAAGGAAATATCTTCGTAGAAAAACTAGACAGAATGATTCTCAGAAACTCCTTTGTGATGTGGGCGTTCAACTCACAGAGTTTAACCTTTCTTTTCATAGAGCCGTTAGGAAACACTCTGTTTGTAAAGTCTGCACGTGGATATTTGGACTTCTTTGAGGCCTTCGTTGGAAACGGGTTTTTTTCATGTAAGGCTAGACGGAAGAATTCCCAGTAACTTCCTTGTGTTGTGTACATTCAACTCACAGAGTTGAACGTTCCCTTAGACAGAGCAGATTTGAAACACTCTTTTTGTGCAATTGGCAAATGGAGATTTCAAGCGCTTTAAGTTCAAAGGCAGAAAAGGAAATATCTTCGTTTCAAAACTAGACAGAATCATTCCCACAAACTGCGTTATGATGTGTTCGTTCATCTCACAGAGTTTAACCTTTCTTTTCATAGAGCAGTTAGGAAACAGTCTGTTTGTAAATTCTGTAAGTGGATATTCTGACATCTTGTGGCCTTCGTTGGAAACGGGATTTCTTCATATTCTGCTAGACAGAAGAATTCTCAGGAACTTCCTTGTGTTGTGTGTATTCAACTCACAGAGTTGAACGATCCTTTACACAGAGCAGACTTGAAACACACTTTTTGTGGAATTTGAAAGTGGAGATTTCAGCCGCTTTGAGGTCAATGGTAGAATAGGAAATATCTTCTTATAGAAACTAGACAGAATGATTCTCAGAAACTCCTTTGTGATGTGTGCGTTCAACTCACAGAGTTTAACCTTTCGTTTCATAGAGCAGTTAGGAAACACTCTGTTTGTAAAGTCTGCAATTGGATATTAAGACCTCTTTGAGGCCTTCGTTGGAAACGGGATTTCTTCATATTCTGCTAGACAGAAGAATTCTCAGTAACTTCCTTGTGTTGTGTGTATTCAACTCACAGAGTTGAACGATCCTTTACACAGAGCAGTCTTGAAACACTCTTTTTGTGGAATTTGCAAGTGGAGATTTCTGCCGTTTTGAGGTCAATGATAGAATAGGAAATATCTTCCTATAGAAACTAGACAGAATCATTCTCAGAAACTGCTCTGCGATGTGTGCGTTCAACTCTCAGAGTTTAACTTTTCTTTTCATTCAGCAGTTTGGAAACACTCTGTTTGTAAAGTCTGCACGTGGATAACTTGACCACTTATAGGCCTTCGTTGGAAACGGGTTTTTTTCATGTAAGGCTAGACAGAAGAATTCCCAGTAACTTCCTTGTGTTGTGTACATTCAACTCACAGAGTTGAACGTTCCCTTAGACAGAGCAGATTTGAAACACTCTTTTTGTGCAATTGGCAAGTGGTGATTTCAGCCGCTTTGAGGTCAATGGTAGAAAAGGAAATATCTTCGTATAAAAACTAGACAGAATCATTCTCAGAAACTGCACTGCGATGTGTGCGTTCAACTCTCAGAGTTTAACTTTTCTTTTCATTCAGCAGTTTGGAAACACTCTGTTTGTAAAGTCTGCACGTGGATAATTTGACCACTTAGAGGCCTTCGTTGGAAACGGGTTTTTTTCATGTAAGGCTAGACAGAAGAATTCTCAGTAACTTCCTTGTGTTGTGTGTATTCAACTCACAGAGTTGAACGATCCTTTACACAGAGCAGACTTGTAACACTCTTTTTGTGGAATTTGCCAGTGGAGATTTCAGCCGCTTTGAAGTCAAAGGTAGAAAAGGAAATATCTTCCTATAAAAACTAGACAGAATGATTCTCAGAAACTTCTTTGTGATGTGTGCGTTCAACTCACAGAGTTTAACCTTTCTTTTCATAGAGCAGTTAGGAAACACTCTGTTTGTAAAATCTGCAAGTGGATATTCAGACCTCTTTGAGGCCTTCGTTGGAAACGGGATTTCTTCATACTATGCTAGACAGAAGAATTCCCAGTAACTTCCTTGTGTTGTGTGTGTTCAACTCACGGAGTTGAACTTTCATTTACACAGAGCAGATTTGAAACACTCTTTTTGTGGAATTTGCAAGTGGAGATTTCAAGCGCTTTGAGGCCAAAGGCAGAAAAGGAAATATCTTCGTTTGAAAACTAGACAGAATCATTCTCAGAAACTGCTCTGTGATGTGTGCGTTCAACTCTCAGAGTTTAACTTTTCTTTTCATTCAGCAGTTTGGAAACACTCTGTTTGTAAAGTCTGCACGTGGATAATTTGACCACTTAGAGGCCTTCGTTGGAAACGGTTTTTTTTAATGTAAGGCTAGACAGAAGAATTCCCAGTAACTTCCTTGTGTTGTGTGCATTCAACTCACAGAGTTGAACGTTCCCTTAGACAGAGCAGATTTGAAACACTCTATTTGTGCAATTTGCATGTGTAGATTTCAAGCGCTTTAAGGTCAATGGCAGAAAAGGAAATATCTTCGTTTCAAAACTAGACAGAATCATTCCCACAAACTGCGTTGTGATGTGTTCGTTCAACTCACAGAGTTTTACCTTTCTGTTCATAGAGCAGTTAGGAAACACTCTGTAAAGTCTGTAAGTGGATATTCTGACATCTTGTGGCCTTCGTTGGAAACGGGATTTCTTCATATTCTGCTAGACAGAAGAATTCTCAGTAACTTCCTTGTGTTGTGTGTATTCAACTCACAGAGTTGAACGATCCTTTACACAGAGCAGACTTGAAACACTCTGTTTGTGGAATTTGCAAGTGGAGATTTCAGCCGCTTTGATGTCAATGGTAGAAAAATGAAATATCTTCGTATAAAGACTAGACAGAATGATTCTCAGAAACTCTTTTGTGATGTGTGCGTTCAACTCACAGAGTTTAACCTTTCTGTTCATAGAGCCGTTAGGAAACACTCTGTTTGTAAAGTCTGCAAGTGGATATTCACACCTCCTTGAGACCTTCGTTGGAAACGGGATTTCTTCATATTCTGCTAGACAGAAGAATTCCCAGTAACTTCCTTGTGTTGTGTGTGTTCAACTCACAGAGTTGAACTTTCATTTACACAGAGCAGATTTGAAACACTCTTTTTGTGGAATTTGCAAGTGGAGATTTCAAGCGCTTTGAGGCCAAAGGCAGAAAAGGAAATATCTTCGTTTCAAAACTAGACTAGAATCATTCTCGGAAACTGCTCTGTGATGTGTGCGTTCAACTCTCAGAGTTTAACTTTTCTTTTCATTCAGCAGTTTGGAAACACTCTGTTTGTAAAGTCTGCACGTGGATATTTTGACCACCTAAAGGCCTTCGTTGGAAACGTGTTTTTTTCCTGTAAGGCTAGACAGAAGAATTCCCAGTAACTTCCTTGTGTTGTGTACATTCAACTCACAGAGTTGAACGTTCCCTTAGACAGAGCAGATTTGAAACACTCTTTTTGTGCAATTGGCAAGTGGTGATTTCAGCCGCTTTGAGGTCAATGGTATAAAAGGAAATATCTTCGTATTAAAACTAGACAGAATGATTCTCAGAAACTTCATTGGGATGTGTGCGTTCAACTCACAGAGTTTAACCTTTCTTTTCATAGAGCAGTTAGGAAACACTCTGTTTGTAAACTCTGCAAGTGGATATTCAGACCTCTTTGAGGCCTTCGTTGGAAACGGGATTTCTTCATACTGTGCTAGACAGAAGAATTCTCAGTAACTTCCTTGTGTTGTGTGCATTCAACTCACAGAGTTGAACGATCCTTTACACAGAGCAGATTAGAAACCCTCTTTTTGTGGAATTTGCAAGTGGAGATTTCAAGCACTTTGAGGTCAATGGTAGAAAAGGAAATATCTTCGTATAAAAACTAGACAGAATGATTCTCAGAAACTTCTTTGTGATGTGTGCGTTCAACTCACAGAGTTTAACCTTTCTTTTCATAGAGCAGTTAGGAAACACTCTGTTTGTAAACTCTGCAAGTGGATATTCAGACCTCTTTGAGGCCTTCGTTGGAAACGGGTTTTTTTCATATAAGGCTAGACAGAAGAGTTCTCAGTAACTTCCTTGTGTTGTGTGTATTCAACTGACAGAGTTGAACTTTCATTTAGAGAGAGCAGATTTGAAACACTGTTTTTGTGGAATTTGCAAGTGGAGATTTCAAGCGCTTTGGGGCCAAAGGCAGAAAAGGAAATATCTTCGTATAAAAACTAGACAGAATCATTCTCAGAAACTGCTGCGTGATGTGTGCGTTCAACTCTGAGAGTTTAACTTTTCTTTTCATTCAGCGGTTTGGAAACACTCTGTTTGTAAAGTCTGCACGTGGAAATTTTGACCACTTAGAGGCCTTCGTTGGAAACGGGATTTTTTCATGTAAGGCTAGACAGAAGAATTCTGAGTAACTTCCTTGTGTTGTGTGTATTCAACTGACAGAGTTGAACTTTCATTTAGAGAGAGCAGATTTGAAACACTGTTTTTGTGGAATTTGCAATTGGAGATTTCAAGCGCTTTGGGGCCAAAGGCAGAAAAGGAAATATCTTCGTATAAAAACTAGACAGAATCATTCTCAGAAACTGCTCTGCGATGTGTGCGTTCAACTCTCAGAGTTTAACTTTTCTTTTCATTCAGCAGTTTGGAAACACTCTGTTTGTAAAGTCTGCACGTGGATAATTTGACCACTTAGAGGCCTTCGTTGGAAACGGGTTTTTTTCATGTAAGGTTAGACAGAAGAATTCTCAGTAACTTTCCTTGTGTTGTGTGTATTCAACTCACACAGTTGAACGATCCTTTACACAGAGCAGACTTGTAACACTCTTTTTGTGGAATTTGCAAGTGGAGATTTCAGCCGCTTTGAAGTCAAAGGTAGAAAAGGAAATATCTTCCTATAAAAACTAGACAGAAATGATTCTCAGAAACTCCTTTGTGATGTGTGCGTTCAACTCACAGAGTTTAACCTTTCTTTTCATAGAGCAGTTAGGAAACACTCTGTTTGTAAAGTCTGCAAGTGGATATTCAGACCTCTTTGAGGCCTTCGTTGGAAACGGGATTTCTTCATACTATGCTAGACAGAAGAATTCTCAGTAATTTCCGCGTGTTGTGTGTATTCAACTCACAGAGTTGAACGATCCTTTACACAGAGCAGACTTGAAACACTCTTTTTGTGGAATTTGCAAGTGGAGATTTCAGCCGCTTTGAAGTCAAAGGTAGAAAAGGAAATATCTTCCTATAAAAACTAGACAGAATCATTCTCAGAAACTGCTGCGTGATGTGTGCGTTGAACTCTCAGAGTTTAACTTTTCTTTTCATTCAGCGGTTTGGAAACACTCTGTTTGTAAAGTCTGCACGTGGATATTTTGACCACTTAGAGGCCTTCGTTGGAAACCGGTTTTTTTCATGTAAGCCTAGACAGAAGAATTCCCAGTAACTTCCTTGTGTTGTGTGCATTCAACTCACAGAGTTGAACGTTCCCTTAGACAGAGCAGATTTGAAACACTCTATTTGTGCAATTTGCAAGTGTAGTTTTCAAGCTCTTTAAGGTCAACGGCAGAAAAGGAAATATCTTGGTTTCAAAACTAGACAGAATCATTCCCACAAACTGCGTTGTGATGTGTTCGTTCAACTCACAGAGTTTAACATTTCTGTTCATAGAGCAGTTAGGAACACTCTGTTTGTAAAGTCTGTAAGTGGATATTCTGACATCTTGTGGCCTTCGTTGGAAACGGGATTTCTTCATATTCTGCTAGACAGAAGAATTCTCAGTAACTTCCTTGTGTTGTGTGTATTCAATTCACAGTGTTGAACGATCCTTTACACAGAGCATACTTGAAACACTCTTCTTGTGGAATTTGCAAGTGGAGATTTCAGCCGATTTGAGGTCAATGGTAGAATAGGAAATATCTTCGTATAAAAACTAGACAGAATGATTCTCAGAAACTCCTTTGTGATCTGTGTGTTCAACTCACAGAGTTTAACCTTTCTTTTCATAGAGCAGTTAGGAAACACTCTGTTTCTAAAGTCTGCAAGTGGATATTCAGACCTCTTTGAGGCCTTCGTTGGAAACGGGTTTTTTTCATATAAGGCTAGACAGAAGAATTCTCAGTAACTTCATTGTGTTGTGTTTATTCAACTCACAGAGTTGAATGATCCTTTACACAGAGCAGACTTGAAACACTCTTTTTGTGGAATTTGCAAGTGGAGATTTCAGCCGCTTTGAGGTCAATGGTAGAAAAGTAAATATCTTCGTATAAAGACTAGACAGAATGATTCTCAGAAACTTCTTTGGGATGTGTGCGTTCAACTCACAGAGTTTAACCTTTCTTTTCATAGAGCAGTTAGGAAACACTCTGTTTGTAAACTCTGCAAGTGGATATTCAGACCTCTTTGAGGCCTTCGTTGGAAACGGGATTTCTTCATACTATGCTAGACAGAAGAATTCCCAGTAACTTCCTTGTGTTGTGTGTGTTCAACTCACAGATTTGAACTTTCATTTACACAGAGCAGATTTGAAACACTCTTTTTGTGGAATTTGCAAGTGGAGATTTCAATGGCTTTGAGGCCAAAGGCAGAAAAGGAAATATCTTCGTTTCAAAACTAGACAGAATCATTCTCAGAAACTGCTCTGCGATGTGTGCGTTCAACTCTCAGAGTTTAACTTTTCTTTTCATTCAGCAGTTTGGAAACACTCTGTTTTTAAAGTCTGCACGTGGATATTTTGACCACTTAGACGCCTTCGTTGGAAACTGGTTTTTTTCCAGTAAGGCTAGACAGAATAATTCTCAGTAACTTCCCTTGGGTTGTGTGTATTCAACTCACAGAGTTGAAGGATCCTTTACAGAGAGCAGGCTTGAAACACTCTTTTTGTCGAATTTGCAAGTGGAGATTTCAGCCGCTTTGTGGTCAATGGTAGAATAGGAAATATCTTCTTATAGAAACTAGACAGAATGATTCTGAGAAACTCCTTTGTGATGTGTGCGTTCAACTCACAGAGTTTAACCTTTCTTTTCATAGAGCAGTTAGGAAACACTCTGTTTCTAAAGTGTGCAAGTGGATATTCAGACCTCCTTGAGGCCTTCGTTGGAAACGGGATTTCTTCATATTATGCTAGACAGAAGAATTCCCAGTAACTTCCTTGTGTTGTGTGTGTTCAACTCACAGTGTTGAACTTTCATTTACACAGAGCAGATTGGAAACACTCTTTTTGTGGAATTTGCAAGTGGAGATTTCAAGCGCTTTGAGGCCAAAGGCAGAAAAGGAAATATCTTCGTATAAAAACTAGACAGAATGATTCTCAGAAACTTCTTTGTGATGTGTGCGTTCAACTCACAGAGTTTAACCTTTCTTTTCATAGAGCAGTTAGGAAACACTCTGTTTGTGAACTCTGCAAGTGGATATTCAGACCTGTTTGAGGCCTTCGTTGGAAACGGGATTTCTTCATACTATTCTAGACAGAAGAATTCTCAGAAACTCCCTTGTGTTGTGTGTATTCAACTGACAGAGTTGAACTTTCATTTAGACAGAGCAGATTTGAAACACTCTTTATGTGGAATTGGCAAGTGGAGATTTGAAGCGCTTTGAGACCAAAGGCAGAAAAGGAAATATCTTCGTTTCAAAACTAGACAGAATCATTCCCACAAACTGCGTTGTGATGTGTTCGTTCAACTCACAGGGTTTAACCTTTCTTTTCATAGAGCAGTTAGGAAACACTCTGTTTGTAAAGTCTGTAAGTGGATATTCTGACATCTTGTGGCCTTCTTTGGAAACGGGATTTCTTCATATTCTGCTAGACAGAAGAATTCTCAGTAACTTCCTTGTGTTGTGTGTATTCAACTGACAGAGTTGAAGGATCCTTTACAGAGAGCAGGCTTGAAACACTCTTTTTGTCGAATTTGCAAGTGGAGATTTCAGCCGCTTTGAGGTGAATGGTAGAATAGGAAATATCTTCTTATAGAAACTAGACAGAATGATTCTCAGAAACTCCTTTGTGATGTGTGCGTTCAACTCACAGAGTTTAACCTTTCTTTTCATAGAGCAGTTAGGAAACACTCTGTTTGTAAAGTCTGCACGTGGATATTTGGACTTCTTTGAGGCCTTCGTTGGAAACGGGTTTTTTTCATGTAAGGCTAGACGGAGGAATTCTCAGTAACTTCCTTGTGTTGTGTGTATTCAACTGACAGAGTTGAACTTTCATTTAGAGAGAGGAGATTTGAAACACTGTTTTTGTGGAATTTGCAAGTTTAGATTTCAAGCGCTTTGGGGCCAAAGGCAGAAAAGGAAATATCTTCGTATAAAAACTAGACAGAATCATTCTCAGAAACTGCTCTGCGATGTGTGCGTTCAACTCTCAGAGTTTAACTTTTCTTTTCATTCAGAAGTTTGGAAACACTCTGTTTGTAAAGTCTGCACGTGGATATTTTGACCATTTAGAGGCTTTCGTTGGAAACGGGTTTTTTTCTTGTAAGGCTAGACAGAAGAATTCTCAGTAACTTCATTGTGTTGTGTGTATTCAACTCACAGAGTTCAACGATCCTTTACACAGAGCAGACTTGAAACACTCTTTTTCTGGAATTTGCAAGTGGAGATTTCAGCCGCTTTGAGGTCAATGGTAGAAAAGAAATATCTTCCTATAAAAACTAGACAGAATGATTCTCAGAAACTCCTTTGTGATGTGTGCGTTCAACTCACAGAGGTTAACCTTTCTTTTCATAGAGCAGTTAGGAAACACTCTGTTTGTAAAGTCTGCAAGTGGAGATTCAGACCTGCTTGAGGCATTCGTTGGAAACGGGATTTCTTCATATTATGCTAGACAGAAGAATTCTCAGTAAGTTCCTTGTAGTGTGTGTATTCAACTCACAGAGTTGAACGATCCTTTACACAGAGCAGACTTGAAACACTCTTTTTGTGTAATTTGCAAGTGGAGATTTCAGCCGCTTTGAGGTCAATGGTAGAATAGGAAATATCTTCCTATAGAAACTAGACAGAATGATTCTCAGAAACTCCTTTGTGATGTGTGCGTTCAACTCACAGAGTTTAACCTTTCTTTTCATAGAGCAGTTGGGAAACACTCTGTTTGTATAGTGTGCAAGTGGATATTCAGACCTCTTTGAGGCCTTCGTTGGAAACGGGATTTCTTCATATTCTGCTAGACAGAAGAATTCCCAGTAACTTTCCTTGTGTTGTGTGTGTTCAACTCACAGAGTTGAACTTCCATTTACACAGAGCAGATTTGAAACACTCTTTTTGTGGAATTTGCAAGTGGAGATTTCAAGCGCTTTGAGGCCAAAGGCAGAAAAGGAAATATCTTCGTTTCAAAACTAGACAGAATCATTCTCAGAAACTGCTCTGCGATGTGTGCGTTCAACTCTCAGAGTTTAACCTTTCTTTTCATTCAGCAGTTTGGAAACACTCTGTTTGTAAAGTCTGCACGTGGATATTTTGACCATTTAGAGGCCTTCGTTGGAAACGGGTTTTTTTCTTGTAAGGCTAGACAGAAGAATTCCCAGTAACTTCCTTGTGTTGTGTACATTCAACTCACAGAGTTGAACGTTCCCTTAGACAGAGCAGATTTGAAACACTCTTTTTGTGCAATTGGCAAGTGGAGATTTCAAGCGCTTTAAGGTCAATGGCAGAAAAGGAAATATCTTCGTTTCAAAACTAGAGAGAATCATTCCCACAAACTGCGTTGTGATGTGTTCGTTCAACTCACAGAGTTTAACCTTTCTTTTCATAGAGCAGTTGGGAAACAGTCTGTTTGAAAATTCTGTAAGTGGATATTCTGACATCTTGTGGCCTTCGTTGGAAACGGGATTTCTTCATATTCTGCTAGACAGAAGAATTCTCAGTAACTTCCTTGTGTTGTGTGTATTCAACTCACAGAGTTGAACGATCCTTTACACAGAGCAGACTTGAAACACTCTTTTTGTGGAATTTGCAAGTGGAGATTTCAGCCGCTTTGAGGTCAATAGTAGAAAAGGAAATATCTTCGTAGAAAAACTAGACAAGAATGATTCTCAGAAACTCCTTTGTGATGTGTGCGTTCAACTCACAAAGTTCAACCTTTCTTTTCATAGAGCAGTTGGGAAACACTCTGTTTGTAAAGTCTGCAAGTGGATATTCAGACTTCTTTGAGGCCTTCGTTGGAAGCAGGGATTTCTTCATATTCTGCTAGACAGAAAAATTCTCAGTAACTTCCTTGTGTTGTGTGTATTCAACTCACAGAGTTGAACGATCCTTTACACAGAGCAGACTTGAAACACTCTTTTTGTCGAATTTGCAAGTGGAGATTTCAGCCGCTTTGAGGTCAATGGTAGAATAGGAAATATCTTCTTATAGAAACTAGACAGAACGATTCTCAGAAACTGCTTTGTGATGTGTGCGTTCAACTCACAGAGTTTAACCTTTCTTTTCATAGAGCAGTTAGGAAACACTCTGTTTGTAAAGTCTGCAAGTGGATATTCAGACCTCTTTGAAGCCTTCGTTGGAAACGGGATTGCTTCATATTCTGCTAGACAGAAGAATTCTCAGAAACTTCCTTGTGTTGTGTGTATTCAACTCACAGAGTTTAACGATCGTTTACACAGAACAGACTTGAGACACTCTTTTTGTGGAATTTGTAAGTGGAGATTTCAGCCACTTTGAGGTCAATGGTAGAAAAGGAAATATCTTCATATAAAAACTAGACAGAATAATTCTCAGAAACTGCTGCGTGATGTGTGCGTTCAACTCTCAGAGTTTAACTTTTCTTTTCATTCAGCGGTTTGGAAACACTCTGTTTGTAAAGTCTGCACGTGGTTATTTTGACCACTTAGAGGCCTTCGTTGGAAACGGGTTTTCTTCATGTAAGGCTAGACAGAAGAATTCCCAGTAACTTCCTTGTGTTGTGTACATTCAACTCACAGAGTTGAACGTTCCCTTAGACAGAGCAGATTTGAAACACTCTTTTTGTGCAATTGGCAAGTGGTGATTTCAGCCTCTTTGAGGTCAATGGTAGAAAAGGAAATATCTTCGTACAAAAACTAGACAGAATGATTCTCAGAAACTCCTTTGTGATGTGTGCGTTCCACTCACAGAGTTTAACCTTTCTTTTCATAGAGCAGTTAGGAAACACTCTGTTTGTAAAGTCTGCAAGTGGATATTCAGACCTCCTTGAGGCCTTCGTTGGAAACGGGATTTCTACATATTATGCTAGACAGAAGAATTCTCAGTAACTTCCTTGTGTTGTGTGTATTCAACTCACAGAGTTGAACGATCCTTTACACAGAGCAGACTTGAAACACTCTTTTTGTGAAATTTGCAAGTGGAGATTTCAGCCTCTTTGAGGTCAATGGTAGAATAGGAAATATCTTCCTATAGAAACTAGACAGAATGATTCTGAGAAACTCCTTTGTGATGTGTGCATTCAACTCACAGAGTTTAACCTTTCTTTTCATAGAGCAGTTAGGAAACACTCTGCTTGTAAAGTCTGCAAGTGGATACTCAGACCTCCTTGAGGCCTTCGTTGGAAACGGGATTTCTTCCTATTATGCTAGACAGAAGAATTCCCAGTAACTTCCTTGTGTTGTGTGTGTTCAACTCACAGAGTTGAACTTTGATTTACACAGAGCAGATTTGAAACACTCTTTTTGTGGAATTTGCAAGTGGAGATTTCAAGCGCTTTGAGGCCAAAGGCAGAAAAGGAAATATCTTCTGTATAAAAACTAGACTAGAATCATTCTCAGAAACTGCTGCGTGATGTGTGCGTTCAACTCTCAGAGTTTAACTTTTCTTTTCATTCAGCGGTTTGGAAACACCCTGTTTGTAAAGTCTGCACGTGGATATTTTGACCACTTAGAGGCCTTCGTTGGAAACGGGATTTTTTCATGTAAGGCTAGACAGAAGAATTCCCAGTAACTTCCTTGTGTTGTGTACATTCAACTCACAGAGTTGAACGTTCCCTTAGACAGAGCAGATTTGAAACACTCTTTTTGTGCAATTGGCAAATGGAGATTTCAAGCGCTTTAAGGTCAATGGCAGGAAAGGAAATATCTTCGTTTCAAAACTAGACAGAATGATTCTCAGAACCTTCTTTGTGATGTGTGCGTTCAACTCACAGAGTTTAACCTTTCTTTTCATAGAGCAGTTAGGAAACACTCTGTTTGTAAACTCTGCAAGTGGATATTCAGACCTCTTTGAGGCCTTCGTTGGAAACGGGATTTCTTCATACTATGCTAGACAGAAGAATTCTCAGTAACTTCCTTGTGTTGTGTGTATTCAACTCACAGAGTTGAACGATCCTTTACACAGAGCAGACTTGTAACACTCTTTTTGTGGAATTTGCAAGTGGAGATTTCAGCCGCTTTGAAGTCAAAGGTAGAAAAGGGAATATCTTCCTATAAAAACTAGACAGAATGATTCTCAGAAACTCCTTTGTGATGTGTGCGTTCAACTCACAGAGTTTAACTTTTCTTTTCATAGAGCAGTTAGGAAACACTCTGTTTGTAAAGTCTGCAAGTGGATATTCAGACCTCTTTGAGGCCTTCGTTTGAAATGGGATTTCTTCATATTATGCTAGACAGAAGAATTCTCAGTAACTTCCTTGTGTTGTGTGTATTCAACTGACAGAGTTGAACTTTCATTTAGAGAGAGCAGATTTGAAACACTGTTTTTGTGGAATTTGCAAGTGGAGATATCAAGCGCTTTGGGGCCAAAGGCAGAAAAGGAAATATCTTCGTATAAAAACTAGACAGAATCATTCTCAGAAACTGCTCTGTGATGTGTGCGTTCAACTCTCAGAGTTTAACTTTTCTTTTCATTCAGCAGTTTGGAAACACTCTGTTTGTAAAGTCTGCACGTGGATAATTTGACCACTTAGAGGCCTTCGTTGGAAACTGGTTTTTTTCATGTAAGGCTAGACAGAAAGAATTCCCAGTAACTTCCTTGTGTTGTGTACATTCAACTCACAGAGTTGAACGTTCCCTTAGACAGAGCAGATTTGAAACACTCTTTTTGTGCAATTGGCAAATGGAGATTTCAAGCGCTTTAAGTTCAATGGCAGAAAAGGAAATATCTTCGTTTCAAAACTAGACAGATCATTCCCACAAACTGCGTTGTGATGTGTTCGTTCAACTCACAGAGTTTAACCTTTCTTTTCGTAGAGCAGTTAGGAAACAGTCTGTTTGTAAATTCTGTAAGTGGATATTCTGACATCTTGTGGCCTTCGTTGGAAACGGGATTTCTTCATATTCTGCTAGACAGAAGAATTCTCAGAATCTTCCTTGTGTTGTGTGTATTCAACTCACAGAGTTGAACGATCCTTTACACAGAGCAGACTTGTAACACTCTTTTTGTGGAATTTGCAAGTGGAGATTTCTGCCGCTTTGAAGTCAAAGGTAGAAAAGGAAATATCTTCCTATAAAAACTAGACAGAATGATTCTCAGAAACTCCTTTGTGATGTGTGCGTTCAACTCACATAGTTTAACCTTTCTTTTCATAGAGCAGTTAGGAAACACTCTGTTTGTAAAGTCTGCAAGTGGATATTCAGACATCCTAGAGGCTTTCGTTGGAAACGGGATTTCTTCATATTCTGCTAGACAGAAGAATTCTCAGAAACTTCGTTGTGTTGTGTGTTTTCAACTCACAGAGTTCAACGATCCTTTACACAGAGTAGACTTGAAACACTCTTTTTGTGGAAGTGGCAGGGTGGAGATTTCAGCCGCTTTGAGGTCAATGGTAGAAAAGGAAATATCTTCGTATGAAAACTAGACAGAATGATTCTCAGAAACTCCTTTGTGATGTGTGCGTTCAACTCACAGAGTTTAACTTTTCTTTTCATACAGCAGTTAGGAAACACTCTGTTTGTAAAGTCTGCAAGTGGATATTCAGACCTCTTTGAGGCCTTCGTTGGAAACGGGATTTCTTCATATTATGCTAGACAGAAGAATTCTCAGTAACTTCCCTGTGTTGTGTGTATTCAACTCACAGAGTTGAACGATCCTTTACACAGAGCAGACTTGAAACACTCTTTTTGTGGAATTTACAAGTGGAGATTTCAGCCGATTTGAGGTCAATGGTAGAAAAGGAAATATCTTCCTATAGAAACTAGACAGAATGATTCTCAGAAACTCCTTTGTGATGTGTGCGTTCAACTCACAGAGTTTAACTTTCCTTTTCATAGAGCAGTTAGGAAACACTCTGTTTGTAAAGTCTTCATGTGGATATTCATTCCTCTTTGAGGCCTTCGTTGGAAACGGGATTTCTTCATATTCTGCTAGACAGAAGAATTCTCAGTAACTTCCTTGTGTTGTGTGTATTCAACTCACAGAGTTCAACGATCCTTTACACAGAGCAGACTTGAAACACTCTTTTTGTGGAATTTGCAAGTGGAGATTTCAGCCGCTTTGAAGTCAATGGTAGAAAAGGAAATATCTTCGTATAAAAACTAGACAGATAATCATTCCCACAAACTGCGTTGTGATGTGTTCGTTCAACTCACAGAGTTTAACCGTTCTTTTCATAGAGCAGTTAGGAAACACTCTGTTTGTAAATTCTGTAAGTGGATATTCTGACATCTTGTGGCCTTCGTTGGAAACGGGATTTCTTCATGTTCTGCTAGACAGAAGAATTCTCAGTAACTTCCTTGTGTTGTGTGTATTCAACTCACAGAGTTGAACAGTGGTTTACACAGAGCAGATTTGAAACACTCTTTTTGTGGAATTTGCAAGTGGAGATTTCAGCCGCTTTGAGGTCAATGGTAGAAAAGGAAATATCTTCGTATAAAAACTAGACAGAATGATTCTCATAAACTCCTTTGTGATGTGGGCGTTGAACTCACAGAGTTTAACCTTTCTTTTCATAGAGCAGTTAGGAACCACTCTGTTTGTAAAGTCTGCAAATGGATATTCAGACCTCTTTGAGGCCTTCTTTGGAAACGGGATTTGTTCATATTCTGCTAGACACAATAATTCTCAGTAACTTCCTTGTGTTGTGTGTATTCAACTCACAGAGTTGAACGATCCTTTATAGAGAGCAGACTTGAAACACTCTTTTTGTGGAATTTGCAAGTGGAGATTTCAGCCTCTTTGAGGTCAATGGTAGAATAGGAAATATCTTCCTATAGAAACTAGACAGAACGATTCTCAGAAACTCCTTTGTGATGTGTGCGTTCAACTCACAGAGTTTAACCTTTCTTTTCATAGAGCAGTTAGGAAACACTCTGTTTGTAAAGTCTGCACGTGGATATTCAGACGTCTTTGAGGCCTTCGTTAGAAACGGGATTTCTTCCTATTCTGCTAGACAGAAGAATTCTCAGTAACTTCCTTGTGTTGTGTGTATTCAACTCACAGAGTTGAACGATCCTTTACACAGAGCAGACTTGAAACACTCTTTTTGTGGAATTTGCAAGTGGAGATTTCAGCCGCTTTCAGGTCAAGAGAAGAAAAGGAAATATCTTCGTAGAAAAACTAGACAGAATGATTCTCAGAAACTCCTTTGTGATGTGTGCTTTCAAGTCACAGAGTTTAACCTTTCTTTTCATAGAGCAGTTAGGAAACACTCTGTTTGTAAAGTCTGCAAGTGGATATTCAGACGTCTTTGAGGCCTTCGTTGGAAACGGGATTTCTTCATATTCTGCTAGACAGAAGAATTCCCAGTAACTTCCTTGTGTTGTGTGTGTTCAACTCACAGAGTTGAACTTTCATTTACACAGAGCAGATTAGAAACACTCTTTTTGTGGAATTCGCAAGTGGAGATTTCAAGCGCTTTGAGGCCAAAGGCAGAAAAGGAAATATCTTCGTTTCAAAACTAGACAGAATCATTCTCAGAAACTGCTCTGCGATGTGTGCGTTCAACTCTCAGAGTTTAACTTTTCTTTTCATTCAGCAGTTTGGAAACACTCTGTTTGTAAAGTCTGCACGTGGATATTTTGACCACTTAGAGGCCTTCGTTGGAAACGGGTTTTATTCCTGTAAGGCTAGACAGAAGAATTCCCAGTAACTACCTTGTGTTGTGTGCATTCAACTCACAGAGTTGAACGTTCCCTTAGACAGAGCAGATTTGAAACACTCTATTTGTGCAATTTGCAAGTGTAGATTTCAAGCGCTTTAAGGTCAACGGCAGAAAAGGAAATATCTTCGTTTCAAAATTAGACAGAATCATTCCCACAAACTGCGTTGTGATGTGTTCGTTCAACTCACAGAGTTTAACCTTTCTGTTCATAGAGCAGTTAGGAAACACTCTGTTTGTAAAGTCTGTAACTGGATATTCTGACATCTTGTGGCCTTCGTTGGAAACGGGATTTCTTCATATTCTGCTAGACAGAAGAATTCTCAGTAACTTCCTTGTGTTGTGTGTATTCAACTCACAGAGTTGAACGACCCTTTACAGAGAGCAGACTTGAAACACTCTTTTTGTGGAATTTGCAAGTGGAGATTTCAGCCGCTTTGAGGTCAATGGTAGAAAAGGAAACTATCTTCGTATAAAGACTAGACAGAATGATTCTCAGAAACTGTTTTGTGATGTGTGCGTTCAACTCACAGAGTTCAACCTTTCTTTTCATAGAGCAGTTGGGAAACACTCTGTTTGTAAAGTCTGCAAGTGGATATTCAGACTTCTTTGAGGCCTTCGTTGGAAGCGGGATTTCTTCATATTCTGCTAGACAGAAGAATTCCCAGTAACTTCCTTGTGTTGTGTGTGTTCAACTCACAGAGTTGAACTTTGATTTACACAGAGCAGATTTGAAACACTCTTTTTGTGGAGTTTGCAAGTGGAGATTTCAAGCGCTTTGAGGCCAAAGGCAGAAAAGGAAATATCTTCGTATAAAAACTAGAGAGAATCATTCTCAGAAAGTGCTCTGCGATGTGTGCGTTCAACTCTCAGAGTTTAACTTTTCTTTTCATTCAGCAGTTTGGAAACACTCTGTTTGTAAAGTCTGCACGTGGATATTTTGACCACTTAGAGGCCTTCGTTGGAAACGGGTTTTTTTCTTGTAAGGCTAGACAGAAGAATTCCCAGTAACTTCCTTGTGTTGTGTGCATTCAACTCACAGAGTTGAACGTTCCCTTAGACAGAGCAGATTTGAAACACTCTATTTGTGTAATTTGCAAGTGTAGATTTCAAGCGCTTTAAGGTCAACGGCAGAAAAGGAAATATCTTCGTTTCAAAACTAGACAGAAATCATTCCCACAAACTGCGTTGTGATGTGTTCGTTCAACTCACAGTGTTTAACCTTTCTTTTCATAGAGCAGGTAGGAACCAGTCTGTTTGTAAATTCTGTAAGTGGATATTCTGACATCTTGTGGCCTTCGTTGGAAACGGGGTTTCTTCATATTTTGCTAGACAGAAGAATTCTCAGTAACTTCCTTGTGTTGTGTTTATTCAACTCACAGAGTTGAATGCTCCTTTACACAGAGCAGACTTGAAACACTCTTTTTGTGGAATTTGCAAGTGGAGATTTCAGAGGCTTTGAGGTCAATGGTAGAAAAGTAAATATCTTCGTATAAAGACTAGACAGAATGATTCTCAGAAACTCCTTTGTGATGTGTGCGTTCAAATCACAGAGTTTAACTTTTCTTTTCATAGAGCAGTTAGGAAACACTCTGTTTGTAAAGTGTGCAAGTGGATATTCAGACCTCTTTGAGGCCTTCGTTGGAAACGGGATTTCTTCATATTATGCTAGACAGAAGAATTCTCAGTAACTTCCCTTGTGTTGTGTGTATTCAACTCACAGAGTTGAACGATCCTTTACACAGAGCAGACTTGAAACACTCTTTTTGTGGAATTTGCAAGAGGAGATTTCAGCCGCTTTGAGGTCAATAGTAGAAAAGGAAACATCTTCGTAGAAAAACTAGACAGAATGATTCTCAGAAACTCCTTTGTGATGTGTGCGTTCAACTCACAGAGTTTAACTTTCCTTTTCATAGAGCAGTTAGGAAACACTCTGTTTGTAAAGTCTGCAAGTGGATATTCAGACCTCTTTGAGGCCTTCGTTGGAAACGGGATTTCTTCATATTCTGCTAGACAGAAGAATTCCCAGTAAGTTCCTTGTGTTGTGTGTGTTCAACTCACAGAGTTGAACTTTCATTTACACAGAGCAGATTTGAAACACTCTTTTTGTGGAATTTGCAAGTGGAGATTTCAAGCGCTTTGAGGCCAAAGGCAGAAAAGGAAATGTCTTCGTTTCAAAACTAGACAGAATCATTCTCAGAAACTGCTGCGTGATGTGTGCGTTCAACTCTCAGAGTTTAACTTTTCTTTTCATTCAGCGGTTTGGAAACACTCTGTTTGTAAAGTCTGCACGTGGATATTTTGACCCCTTAGAGGCCTTCGTTGGAAACGGGTTTTTTTCATGTAAGGCTAGACAGAAGAATTCTCAGTAAGTTCCTTGTGTTGAGTGTTTTCAACTCACAGAGTTGAACGATGCTTTACACAGAGTAGACTTGAAACACTCTTGTTGTGGAATTTGCAAGTGGAGATTTCAGCCGCTTTGAGGTCAATGGTAGAATAGGAAATATCTTCCTATAGAAACTAGACAGAATGATTCTCAGAAACTCCTTTGTGATGTGTGCATTCAACTCACAGAGTTTAACCTTTCTTTTCATAGAGCAGTTAGGAAACATTCTGTTTGTAAAGTCTGCAAGTGGATATTCAGACCTCTTTGAGGACTTCGTTGGAAACGGGATTTTTTCATATTATGCTAGACAGAAGAATTCTCAGTAACTTCCTTGTGTTGTGTGTATTCAACTCACAGAGTTGAACGATCCTTTACACAGAGCAGACTTGAAACACTCTTGTTGGGGAATTTGCAAGTGGAGATTTCAGCCGCTTTGAGGTCAATGGTAGAAAAGGAAATATCTTCCTATAAAAACTAGACAGAATGATTCTCAGAAACTCCTTTGTGATGTGTGCGTTCAACTCACAGAGTTTAACCTTTCTGTTCATAGAGCAGTTAGGAAACACTCTGTTTGTAAAGTCTGTAAGTGGATATTCAGACCTCCTTGAGGCCTTCGTTGGAAACGGGATTTCTTCATATTCTGCTAGACAGAAGAATTCCCAGTAACTTCCATGTGTTGTGTGTGTTCAACTCACAGAGTTGAAATTTCATTTACACAGAGCAGATTTGAAACACTCTTTTTGTGGAATTTGCAAATGGAGATTTCAAGCGCTTTGAGGCCAGAGGCAGAAAAGGAAATATCTTCGTATAAAAACTAGACAGAATCATTCTCAGAAACTGCTCTGCGATGTGTGCGTTCAACTCTCAGAGTTTAACTTTTCTTTTCATTCAGCAGTTTGGAAACACTCTGTTTGTAAAGTCTGCACGTGGATAATTTGACCACTTAGAGGTCTTCGTTGGAAACGGGTTTTTTTCATGTAAGGCTAGACAGAAGAATTCCCAGTAACTTCCTTGTGTTGTGTGCATTCAACTCACAGAGTTGAACGTTCCCTTAGACAGAGCAGATTTGAAACACTCTATTTGTGCAATTTACAAGTGTAGATTTCAAGCGCTTTAAGGTCAATGGCAGAAAAGGAAATATCTTCGTTTCAAAACTAGACAGAATGATTCTCATAAACTCCTTTGTGATGTGTGCGTTCAACACACAGAGTTTAACTTTTCTTTTCATAGAGCAGTTAGGAAACACTCTGTTTGTAAAGTCTGCAAGTGGATATTCAGACCTCTTTGAGGCCTTCGTTGGAAACGGGATTTCTTCATATTCTGCTAGACAGAAGAATTCTCAGTAACTTCCTTGTGTTGTGTGTATTCAACTCACAGAGTTGAACGATCCTTTACAGAGAGCAGACTTTAAACACTCTTTTTGTGGAATTTGCAAGTGGAGATTTCAGCCGCTTTGAGGTCAATGGTAGAAAAGGAAATATCTTCGTATAAAGACTAGACAGAATGATTCTCATAAACTCCTTTGTGATGTGTGCGTTCAACTCACAGAGTTTAACCTTTCTTTTCATAGAGCAGTTAGGAAACACTCTGTTTGTAAAGTCTGCAAGTGGATATTCAGACCTCCTTGAGGCCTTGGTTGGAAACGGGATTTCTTCATATTCTGCTTGACAGAAGAATTCTCAGTAACTTCCTTGTTTTGTGTGTATTCAACTCACAGAGTTGAACGATCCTTTACACAGAGCAGACTTGAAACACTCTTTTTGTGGAATTTGCAAGTGGAGATTTCAGCCGCGTTGAGGTCAATGGTAGAAAAGGAAATATCTTCGTATAAAAACTAGACAGAATGATTCTCAGAAACTCCTTTGTGATGTGTGCGTTCAACTCACAGAGTTTAACCTTTCTTTTCATAGAGCAGTTGGGAAACACTGTTTGTAAAGTCTGCAAGTGGATATTCAGACATCCTTGAGGCTTTCGTTGGAAACGGGATTTCTTCATATTCTGCTAGAAAGAAGAATTCTCAGTAACTTCCTTGTGTTGTGTGTATTCAACTCACAGAGTTGAACGATCCTTTACAGAGAGCAGACTTGAAACACTCTTTTTGTGGAATTTGCAAGTGGAGATTTCAGCCGCTTTGAGGTCAACGGTAGAAAAGGAAATATCTTCGTATAAAGACTAGACAGAATGATTCTCAGAAACTCCTTTGTGATGTGTGCGTTCAACACACAGAGTTTAACTTTTCTTTTCATAGAGCAGTTAGGAAATACTCTGTTTGTAAAGTCTGCAAGTGGATATTCAGACCTCTTTGAGGCCTTCGTTGGAAACGGAATTTCTTCATATTATGCTAGACAGAAGAATTCTCAGTAACTTCCTTGTGTTGTGTGTATTCAACTGACAGAGTTGAACTTTCTTTTAGAGAGAGCAGATTTGAAACACTGTTTTTGTGGAATTTGCAACTGGAGATTTCAAGCGCTTTGGGGCCAAAGGCAGAAAAGGAAATATCTTCGTATAAAAACTAGACAGAATCGTTCTCAGAAACTGCTCTGCGATGTGTGCGTTCAACTCTCAGAGTTTAACTTTTCTTTTCATTCAGCAGTTTGGAAACACTCTGTTTGTAAAGTCTGCACGTGGATAATTTGACCACTTAGAGGCCTTCGTTGGAAACGGGTTTTTTTCATGTAAGGCTAGACAGAATAATTCCCAGTAACTTCCTTGTGTTGTGTACATTCAACTCACAGAGTTGAACGTTCCCTTAGAGAGAGCAGATTTGAAACTCTCTTTTTGTGAAATTAGCAAGTGGAGATTTCAAGGGCTTTAAGGTCAATGGCAGAAAAGGAAATATCTTCGTTTCAAAACTAGACAGAATGATTCTCATAAACTCCTTTGTGATGTGTGCGTTCAACTCACAGAGTTTAACCTTTCTTTCCATAGAGCAGTTGGGAAACACTCTGTTTGTAATGTCTGCAAGTGGATATTCAGACTTCCTTGAGGCCTTCGTTGGAAACGGGATTTCTTCATATTCTGCTAGACAGAAGAATTCTCAGTAACTTCCTTGTGTTGTGTGTATTCAACTCACAGAGTTGAATGATCCTTTACACAGAGCAGACTTGAAACACTCTTTTTGTGGAATTTGCAAGTGGAGATTTCACCCGCTTTGAGGTCAACGGGAGAAAAGGAAACTATCTTCGTATAAAGACTAGACAGAATGATTCTCAGAAACTCCTTTGTGATGTGGGCGTTCAACTCACAGAGTTTAACCTTCCTTTTCATAGAGCAGTTAGGAAACACTCTGTTTGTAATGTCTACACGTGGATATTTGGATTTCTTTGAGGCCTTCGTTGGAAACGGGATTTTTTCATGTAAGGCTAGACGGAAGAATTCTCAGTAACTTCCTTGTGTTGTGTGTATTCAACTGACAGAGTTGAACTTTCATTTAGAGAGAGTAGATTTGAAACACTGTTTTTGTGGAATTTGCAAGTGGAGATTTCAAGCGCTTTGGGGCCAAAGGCAGAAAAGGAAATATCTTCGTATAAAAACTAGACAGAATCATTCTCAGAAACCGCTCTGTGATGTGTGCGTTCAACTCTCAGAGTTTAACTTTTCTTTCCATTCAGCAGTTTGGAAACACTCTGTTTGTAAAGTCTGCACGTGGATATTTTGACCACTTAGAGGTCTTCGTTGGAAACGGGTTTTTTTCATGTAAGGCTAGACAGAAGAATTCCCAGTAACTTCCCTTGTGTTGTGTGCATTCAACTCACAGAGATGAACGTTCCCTTAGACAGAGCAGATTTGAAACACTCTATTTGTGCAATTTGCAAGTGTAGATTTCAAGCGCTTTAAGGTCAATGGCAGAAAAGGAAATATCTTCGTTTCAAAACTAGACAGAATCATTCCCACAAACTGCGTTGTGATGTGTTCGTTCAACTCACAGAGTTTAAACTTTCTGTTCATAGAGCAGTTAGGAAACACTCTGTTTGTAAAGTCTGTAAGTGGATATTCCGACATCTTTTGGCCTTCTTTGGAAACGGGATTTCTTCATATTCTGCTAGACAGAAGAATTCTCAGTAACTTCCTTGTGTTGTGTTTATTCAACTCACAGAGTTGAATGATCCTTTACACAGAGCAGACTTGAAACACTCTTTTTGTGGAATTTGCAAGTGGAGATTTCAGCCGCTTTGTGGTCAATGGTAGAAAAGGAAATATCTTCCTATAAAGACTAGACAGAATGATTCTCAGAAACTCCTTTGTGATGTGTTCGTTCAACTCACAGAGTTTAACCTTTCTTTTCATAGAGGAGTTAGGAAACACTCTGTTTGTAAAGTCTGCAAGTGGATATTCAGACCTCTTTGAGGCCTTCGTTGGAAACGGGTTTTTTTCATATAAGGCTAGACAGAAGAATTCTCAGTAACTTCCCTTGTGTTGTGTGTATTCAACTGACAGAGTTGAACTTTCATTTAGAGAGAGCAGATTTGAAACTCTGTTTTTGTGGAATTTGCAAGTGGAGATTTCAAGCGCTTTGGGGCCAAAGGCAGAAAAGGAAATATCTTCGTATAAAAACTAGACAGAATCATTCTCAGAAACTGCTCTGCGATGTGTGCGTTCAACTCTCAGAGTTTAACTTTTCTTTTCATTCAGCAGTTTGGAAACACTCTGTTTGTAAAGTCTGCACGTGGATAATTTGACCACTTAGAGGCCTTCGTTGGAAACGGGTTTTTTTCATGTAAGGCTATACAGAAGAATTATAAGTAACTTCCTTGTGTTGTGTGTATTCAACTCACAGAGTTGAACGATCCTTTACACAGAGCAGACTTGAAACACTCTTTTTGTGGAATTTGCAAGTGGAGATTTCAGCCGCTGTGAGGTCAATGGTAGAATAGGACATATCTTCCTATAGAAACTAGACAGAATGATTCTCAGAAACTCCTTTGTGATGTGTGCGTTCAACTCACACAGTTTAACCTTTCTTTTCATAGAGCAGTTAGGAAACACTCTGTTTGTAAAGTCTGCAAGTGGATATACAGACCTCCTTGAGGCATTCGTTGGAAACGGGATTTCTTCATATTATGCTAGACAGAAGAATTCTCAGTAACTTCCTTGTGTTGTGTGTATTCAACTGACAGAGTTGAACTTTCATTTAGAGAGAGCAGATTTGAAACACTGTTTTTGTGGAATTTGCAAGTGGAGATTTCAAGCGCTTTGGGGCCAAAGGCAGAAAAGGAAATATCATCGTATAAAAACTAGACAGAATCATTCTCAGAAACTGCTGAGTGATGTGTGCGTTCAACTCTCAGAGTTTAACTTTTCTTTTCATTCAGCGGTTTGGAAACACTCTGTTTGTAAAGTCTGCACGTGGATATTTTGACCACTTAGAGGCCTTCGTTGGAAACGGGTTTTTTTCATGTAAGGCTAGACAGAAGAATTCCCAGTAACTTCCTTGTGTTGTGTACATTCAACTCACAGAGTTGAACGTTCCCTTAGACAGAGCAGATTTGAAACAGTCTTTTTGTGCAATTGGCAAGTGGTGATTTCAGCCGCTTTGTGGTCAATGGTATAAAAGGAAATATCTTCGTATAAAAACTAGACAGAATCATTCCCACAAACTGCGTTGGGATGTGTTCGTTCAACTCACAGAGTTTAACCTTTCTGTTCATAGAGCAGTTAGGAAACACTCTGTTTGTAAAGTCTGTAAGTGGATATTCTGACATCTTGTGGCCTTCGTTGGAAACGGGATTTCTTCATATTCTGCTAGACAGAAGAATTCTCAGTAACTTCCTTGTGTTGTGTGTATTCAACTCACAGAGTTGAACGATCCTTTACACAGAGCAGACTTGAAACACTCTTTTTGTGGAATTTGCAAGTGGAGATTTCAGCCGCGTTGAGGTCAATGGTAGAAAAGGAAATAACTTCGTATAAAAACTAGACAGAATGATTCTCAGAAACTCCTTTGTGATGTGTGCGTTCAACTCACAGAGTTTAACTTTTCTTTTCATAGAGCAGTTAGGAAACACTCTGTTTGTAAAGTCTGCAAGTGGATATTCAGACCTCCTTGAGGCCTTCGTTGGAAACAGGATTTCTTCATATTCTGCTAGACAGAAGAATTCTCAGTAACTTCCTTGTGTTGTGTGTATTCAACTGACAGAGTTGAACTTTCATTTAGAGAGAGCAGATTTGAAACACTGTTTTTGTGGAATTTGCAAGTGGAGATTTCAAGCGCTTTGGGGCCAAGGACAGAAAAGGAAATATCTTCGTATAAAAACTAGACAGAATCATTCTCAGAAACTGCTGCGTGATGTGTGCGTTCAACTCTCAGAGTTTAACTTTTCTTTTCATTCAGCGGTTTGGAAACACTCTGTTTGTAAAGTCTGCACGTGGATATTTTGACCACTTAGTGGCCTTCGTTGGAAACGGGTTTTTTTTCATGTAAGGCTAGACAGAAGAATTCCCAGTAACTTCCTTGTGTTGTGTACATTCAACTCACAGAGTTGAACGTTCCCTTAGACAGAGCAGATTTGAAACACTCTTTTTGAGAAATTGGCAAGTGGAGATTTCAAGCGCTTTAAGGTCAATGGCAGAAAAGGAAATATCTTCGTTTCAAAACTAGACAGAATCATTCCCACAAACTGCGTTGTGATGTGTTCGTTCAACTCACAGAGTTTAACCGTTCTTTTCATAGAGCAGTTAGGAAACACTCTGTTTGTAAATTCTGTAAGTGGATATTCTGACATCTTGTGGCCTTCGTTGGAAACGGGATTTCTTCATGTTCTGCTAGACAGAAGAATTCTCAGTAACTTCCTTTTATTGTGTGTATTCAACTCACAGAGTTGAACGATCCTTTACACAGAGCAGACTTGAAACACTCTTTTTGTGGAATTTGCAAGTGGAGATTTCAGCCGCTTTGAGGTCAATGGTAGAAAAGGAAATATCTTCGTATAAAAATTAGACAGAATGATTCTCAGAAACTCCTTTGTGATGTGTGCGTTCAACTCACAGAGTTTAACCTTTCTTTTCATAGAGCAGTTAGGAAACACTCTGTTTGTAAAGTCTGCAAGTGGATATTCAGACCTCTTTGAGGCCTTCGTTGGAAACGGGTTTTTTTCATATAAGGGTAGACAAAAGAATTACCACTAACATCCTTGTGTTGTGTGTGTTCAACTCACAGAGTTGAACTTTCATTTACACAGAGCAGATTTGAAAGACTCTTTTTGTGGAATTTGCAAATGGAGATTTCAAGCGCTTTGAGGCCAAAGACAGAAAAGGAAATATCTTCGTTTCAAAACTAGACAGAATCATTCTCAGAAACTGCTCTGCGATGTGTGCGTTCAACTCTCAGAGTTTAACTTTTCTTTTCATTCAGCAGTTTGGAAACACTCTGTTTGTAAAGTCTGCACGTGGATAACTTGACCACTTAGAGGCCTTCGTTGGAAACGGGTTTTATTCACGTAAGGCTAGACAGAAGATTTCCCAGTAAATTCCTTGTGTTGTGTACATTCAACTCACAGAGTTGAACGTTCCCTTAGACAGAGCAGATTTGAAACACTCTTTTTGTGCAATTGGGAAGTGGAGATTTCAAGCGCTTTAAGGTCAATGGCAGAAAAGGAAATATCTTCGTTTCAAAACTACACAGAATCATTCCCACAAACTGCGTTGTGATGTGTTCGTTCATCTCACAGAGTTTAACCTTTCTTTTCATAGAGCAGTTAGGAAACAGTCTGTTTGTAAATTCTGTAAGTGGATATCCTGACATCTTGTGGCCTTCGTTGGAAACGGGATTTCTTCATATTCTGCTAGACAGAAGAATTCTCAGAAACTTCCTTGTGTTGTGTGTATTCAACTCACAGAGTTGAACGATAGTTTACACAGAGCAGACTTGAAACACTCTTTTTGTGGAATTTGCAAGTGGAGATTTCAGCCGCTTTGAGGTCAATGTTAGAAAAGGAAATATCTTCGTATAAAAACTAGACAGAATGATTCTCAGAAACTTCTTTGTGATGTGTGCGTTCAACTCACAGAGTTTAACCTTTCTGTTCATAGAGCAGTTAGGAAACACTCTGTTTGTAAACTCTGCAAGTGGATATTCAGACCTCCTTTGAGGCCTTCGTTGGAAACGGGATTTCTCCATACTGTGCTAGACAGAAGAATTCCCAGTAACTTCCTTCTGTTGTGTGTGTTCAACTCACAGAGTTGAACTTTCATTTACACAGAGCAGATTTGAAACACTCTTTTTGTGGAATTTGCAAATGGAGATTTCAAGCGCTTTGAGGCCAAAGGCAGAAAAGGAAATATCTTCGTTTCAAAACTAGACAGAATCATTCTCAGAAACTGCTCTGCGATGTGTGCGTTCAACTCTCAGAGTTTAACTTTTCTTTTCATTCAGCAGTTTGGAAACACTCTGTTTGTAAAGTCTGCACGTGGATAATTTGACCACTTAGAGGCCTTCGTTGGAAACGGGGTTTTTTCATGTAAGGCTAGACAGAAGAATTCTCAGTAACTTCCTTGTGTTGTGTGTACTCAACTCACAGAGTTGAACGATCCTTTACACAGAGAGGACTTGAAACACTCTTTTTGTGGAATTTGCAAGTGGAGATTTCAGCCGCGTTGAGGTCAATGGTAGAAAAGGAAATATCTTCGTATAAAAACTAGACACAATGATTCTCAGAAACGCCTTTGTGATGTGTGTGTTCAACTCACAGAGTTTAACCTTTCTTTTCATAGAGCAGTTAGGAAACACTCTGTTGGTAAAGTCTGCAAGTGGATATTCAGACCTCTTTGAGGCCTTCGTTGGAAACGGGTTTTTTTCATATAAGGCTAGACAGAAGAATTCTCAGTAACTTTCCTTGTGTTGTGTGTATTCAACTGACAGAGTTGAACTTTCATTTAGAGAGAGCAGATTTGAAACACTGTTTTTGTGGAATTTGCAAGTGGAGATTTCAGCCGCTTTGAGGTCAATAGTAGAAAAGGAAATATCTTCGTAGAAAAACTAGACAGAATGATTCTCAGAAACTTCTTTGTGATGTGTGCGTTCAACTCACAGAGTTTAACCTTTCTTTTCATAGAGCAGTTAGGAAACACTCTGTTTGTAAACTCTGCAAGTGGATATTCAGACCTCTTTGAGGCCTTCGTTGGAAACAGGATTTCTTCATACTATGCTAGACAGAAGAATTCTCAGTAACTTCCTTGTGTTGTGTGTATTAAACTCACAGAGTTGAACGATCCTTTACACAGAGCAGACTTGAAACACTCTTTTTTTGGAATTTGCAAGTGGAGATTTCAGCCGCTTTGAGGTCAATGGTAGAATAGGAAATATCTTCCTATAGAAACTAGACAGAATGATTCTCAGAAACTTCTTTGTGATGTGTGCGTTCAACTCACAGAGTTTAACCTTTCTTTACATAGAGCAGTTAGGAAACACTCTGTTTGTAAACTCTGCAATTGGATATTCAGACCTCTTTGAGGCCTTCGTTGGAAACGGGATTTCTTCATACTATGTTAGACAGAAGAATTCCCAGTAACTTTCCTTGTGTTGTGTGTATTCAACTCACAGAGTTGAACTTTCATTTACACAGAGCAGATTGGAAACACTCTTTTTGTGGAATTTGCAAGTGGAGATTTCAAGCGCTTTGAGGCCAAATGCAGAAAAGGAAATATCTTCGTATAAAAACTAGACAGAATCATTCTCAGAAACTGCTCTGCGATGTGTGCGTTCAACTCTCAGAGTTTAACTTTTCTTTTCATTCAGCAGTTTGGAAACACTCTGTTTGTAACGTCTGCACGTGGATATTTTGACCACTTAGAGGCCTTCGTTGGAAACGGGTTTTTTTCATATAAGGCTAGACAGAAGAATTCCCAGTAACTTCCTTGTGTTGTGTACATTCAATTCACAGATTTGAAGGTTCCCTTAGACACAGCAGATTTGAAACACTCTTTTTGTGCAATTGGCAAGTGGAGATTTCAAGCGCTTTAAGGTCAATGGCAGAAAAGGGAATATCGTCGTTTCAAAACTAGACAGAATCATTCCCACAAACTGCGTTGTGATGTGTTCGTTCAACTCACAGAGTTTAACCTTTCTCTTCATAGAGCAGTTAGGAAACACTCTGTAAAGTCTGTAAGTGGATATTCTGACATCTTGTGGCCTTCGTTGGAAACGGGATTTCTTCATATTCTGCTAGACAGAAGAATTCCCAGTAACTTCCTTGTGTTGTGTGTATTCAACTCACAGAGTTGAACGATCCTTTACACAGAGCAGACTTGTAACACTCTTTTTCTGGAATTTGCAAGTGGAGATTTCAGCCGCTTTGAAGTCAAAGGTAGAAAAGGAAATATCTTCCTATAAAAACTAGACAGAATGATTCTCAGAAACTCCTTTGTGATGTGTGTGTTCAACTCACAGAGTTTAACCTTTCTTTTCATAGAGCAGTTAGGAAACACTCTGTTTGTAAAGTCTGCAAGTGGATATTCAGACCTCTTTGAGACCTTCGTTGGAAACGGGATTTTTTCATATAAGGCTAGACAGAAGAATTCCCAGTAACTTCCTTGTGTTGTGTGTGTTCAACTCACAGAGTTGAACTTTCATTTACACAGAGCAGATTTGAAACACTCTTTTTGTGGAATTTGCAAATGGAGATTTCAAGCGCATTGAGGCCAAAGGCAGAAAAGGAAATATCTTCGTATAAAAACTAGACAGAATCATTCTCAGAAACTGCTGCGTGATGCGTGCGTTCAACTCTCAAAGTTTAACTTTTCTTTTCATTCAGCGGTTTGGAAACACTCTGTTTGTAAAGTCTGCACGTGGATATTTTGACCACTTAGAGGCCTTCGTTGGAAACGGGTTTTTTTCATGTAAGGCTAGACAGAAGAATTCCCAGTAACTTCCTTGTGTTGTGTACATTCAACTCACAGAGTTGAACGTTCCCTTAGACAGAGCAGATTTGAAACACTCTTTTTGTGCAATTGGCAAGTGGTGATTTCAGCCTCTTTGAGGTCAATGGTAGAAAAGGAAATATCTTCGTATAAAAACTAGACAGAATCATTCCCACAAACTGCGTTGTTATGTGTTCGTTCAACTCACAGAGTTTAACCTTTCTTTTCATAGAGCAGTTAGGAAACAGTCTGTTTGTAAATTCTGTAAGTGGATATTCTGACATCTTGTGGCCTTCGTTGGAAACGGGATTTCTTCATATTCTGCTAGACAGAATAATTCTCAGTAACTTCCTTGTGTTGTGTGTATTCAACTCACAGAGTTGAACGATGCTTTACACAGAGCAGACTTGAAACATTCTTTTTGTGGAATTTGCAACTGGAGATTTCAGCCGCTTTGAGGTCAATGGTAGAATAGGAAACATCTTCCTATAGAAACTAGACAGAATGATTCTCAGAAACTCCTTTGTGATGTGTGTGTTCAACTCACAGAGTTTAACCTTTCTTTTCATAGAGCAGTTAGGAAACACTCTGTTTGTAAAGTCTGCAAGTGGATATTCAGACCTCTTTGAGGCCTTCGTTGGAAACGGGTTTTTTCATATAAGGCTAGACAGAAGAATTCCCAGTAACTTCCTTGTGTTGTGTGTGTTCAACTCACAGAGTTGAACTTTCATTTACACAGAGCAGATTTGAAACACTCTTTTTGTGGAATTTGCAGGTGGAGATTTCAAGCGCTTTGAGGCCAAAGGCAGAAAAGGAAATATCTTCATATAAAAACTAGACAGAATCATTCTCAGAAACTGCTCTGCGATGTGTGCGTTCAACTCTCAGAGTTTAACTTTTCTTTTCATTCAGCAGTTTGGAAACAATCTGTTTGTAAAGTCTGCACGTGGATAACTTGACCACTTAGAGGACTTCGTTGGAAACGGGTTTTTTTCCTGTAAGGCTAGACAGAAGAATTCCCAGTAACTTCCTTGTGTTGTGTACATTCAACTCACAGAGTTGAACGTTCCCTTAGACAGAGCAGATTTGAAACACTCTTTTTGTGCAATTGGCAAATGGAGATTTCAAGCGCTTTAAGGTCAATGGCAGAAAAGGAAATATTCTTCGTTTCAAAACTAGACAGAATCATTCCCACAAACTGCGTTGTGATGTGTTCGTTCAACTCACAGAGTTTAACCTTTCTGTTCATAGAGCAGTTAGGAAACACACTGTTTGTAAAGTCTGTAAGTGGATATTCTGACATCTTGTGGCCTTCGTTGGAAACGGGATTTCTTCATATTCTGCTAGACAGAAAGAATTCTCAGTAACTTCCTTGTGTTGTGTGTATTCAACTCACAGAGTTGAACGATCCTTTACACAGAGCAGACTTGAAACACTCTTTTTGTGGAATTTGCAAGTGGAGATTTCAGCCGCTTTGAGGTCAATGGTAGAATAGGAAATATCTTCCTATAGAAACTAGACAGATGATTCTCAGAAACTCCTTTGTGATGTGTGCGTTCAACTCACAGAGTTTAACCTTTCTTTTCATAGAGCAGTTAGGAAACACTCTGTTTGTAAAGTCTGCAGGTGGATATTCAGACATCCTTGAGGCTTTCGTTGGAAACGGGATTTCTTCATATTCTGCTAGAAAGAAGAATTCTCAGTAACTTCATTGTGTTGTGTGTATTCAACTCACAGAGTTCAACGATCCTTTACACAGAGCAGACTTGAAACACTCTTTTTGTGGAATTTGCAAGTGGAGATTTCAGCCGCTTTGAGGTCAATGGTAGAAAAGGAAATATCTTCCTATAAAAACTAGACAGAATGATTCTCAGAAACTCCTATGTGATGTGTTCGTTCAGCTCACAGAGTTTAACCTTTCTTTTCATAGAGCAGTTAGGAAACACTCTGTTTGTAAAGTCTGCAAGTGGATATTTAGACCTCTTTGAGGCCTTCGTTCGAAACGGGATTTCTTCATATTCTGCTAGAGAGAAGAATTCTCAGTAACTTCCCTTGTGTTGTGTGTATTCAACTCACAGAGTTGAACGATCCTTTACACAGAGCAGACTTGAAACACTCTTTTTGCGGAATTTGTAAGTGGAGATTTCAGCCGCTTTGAGGTCAATGGTAGAAAAGGAATTATCTTCGTATAAAAACTAGACAGAATGATTCTCAGAAACTCCTTTGTGATGTGTGCGTTCAACTCACAGAGTTTAACCTTTCTTTTCATAGAGCAGTTAGGAAACACTCTGTTTGTACAGTCTGCAAGTGGATATTCAGACATCCTTGAGGCTTTCGTTGGAAACGGGATTTCTTCATATTCTGCTAGAAAGAAGAATTCTCAGTAACTTCCTTGTGTTGTGTGTATTCAACTGACAGAGTTGAACTTTCATTTAGAGAGAGCAGATTTGAAACACTGTTTTTGTGGAATTTGCAAGTGGAGATTTCAAGCGCTTTGGGGCCAAAGGCAGAAAAGGAAATATCTTCGTATAAAGACTAGACAGAATGATTCTCAGAAACTTCATTGTGATGTGTGCGTTCAACTCACAGAGTTTAACCGTTCTTTTCATAGAGCAGTTAGGAAACACTCTGTTTGTAAACTCTGCAAGTGGATATTCAGACCTCTTTGAGGCCTTCGTTGGAAACGGTATTTCTTCATACTGTGCTAGACAGAAGAATACTCAGTAACTTCCTTGTGTTGTGTGTATTCAACTCACAGAGTTGAACGATGGTTTACACAGAGCAGATTTGAAACACTCTTTTTGTGGAATTAGCAATTGGAGATTTCAGCCGCTTTGAGGTCAATGGTAGAAAAGGAAATATCTTCGTATAAAAACTAGACAGAATGATTCTCAGAAACTCCTTTGTGATGTGTGCGTTCAACTCACAGAGTTTAACCTTTCTTTTCATAGAGCAGTTAGGAAACACTCTGTTTGTAAAGTCTGCAAGTGGATATTCAGACCTCTTTGAGGCCTTCGTTGGAAACGGGTTTTTTTCATATAAGTCTAGACAGAAGAATTCCCAGTAACTTCCTTGTGTTGTGTGTGTTCAAATCACAGAGTTGAACTTTCATTTACACAGAGCAGATTTGAAACACTCTTTTTGTGGAATTTGCAAGTGGAGATTTCAAGCGCTTTGGGGCCAAAGGCAGAAAAGGAAATATCTTCGTTTCAAAACTAGACAGAATCATTCTCAGAAACTGCTGCGTGATGTGTGCGTTCAACTCTCAGAGTTTAACTTTTCTTTTCATTCAGCGGTTTGGAAACACTCTGTTTGTAAAGTCTGCACGTGGAAATTTTGACCACTCAGAGGCCTTCGTTGGAAACGGGTTTTTTTCATGTAAGGCTAGACAGAAGAATTCCAAGTAACTTCCTTGTGTTGTGTGCATTCAACTCACAGAGTTGAACGTTCCCTTAGACAGAGCAGATTTGAAACACTCTATTTGTGCAATTTGCAAGTGTAGATTTCAAGCGCTTTAAGGTCAATGGCAGAAAAGGAAATATCTTCGTTTCAAAACTAGACAGAATCATTCCCACAAACTGCGTTGTGATGTGTTCGTTCAACTCACAGAGTTTAACCTTTCTGTTCATAGAGCAGTTAGGAAACACTCTGTTTGTAAAGTCTGAAAGTGCATATTCTGACATCTTGTGGCCTTCGTTGGAAACGGGATTTCTTCATATTCTGCTAGATAGAAGAATTCTCAGTAACTTCCTTGTGTTGTGTGTATTCAACTCACAGAGTTGAACGATCCCTTTACACAGAGCAGACTTGAAACACTCTTTTTGTGGAATTTGCAAGTGGAGATTTCAGCCGCTTTGAGGTCAATAGTCGAAAAGGAAATATCTTCGTAGAAAAACTAGACAGAACGATTCTCAGAAACTCCTTTGTGATGTGTGCGTTCAACTCACAGAGTTTAACCTTTCTTTTCATAGAGCAGTTAGGAAACACTCTGTTTGTAAAGTCTGCAAGTGGATATTCAGACCTCTTTGAGGCCTTCATTGGAAACGGGATTTCTTCATATTCTGCTAGACAGAAGAATTCCCAGTAACTTCCTTGTGTTGTGTGTGTTCAACTCACAGAGTTGAACTTTGATTTACACAGAGCAGATTTGAAACACTCTTTTTGTGGAATTTGCAAGTGGAGATTTCAAGCGCTGTGAGGCCAAAGGCAGAAAAGGAAATATCTTCGTATAAAAACTAGACAGAATCATTCTCAGAAACTGCTCTGCGATGTGTGCGTTGAACTCTCAGAGTTTAACTTTTCTTTTCATTCAGCAGTTTGGAAACACTCTGTTTGTAAAGTCTGCACGTGGATATTTTCACCACTTAGAGGCCTTCGTTGGAAACGGGTTTTTTTCCTGTAAGGCTAGACAGAAGAATTCCCAGTAACTTCCTTGTGTTGTGTGCATTCAACTCACAGAGTTGAACGTTCCCTTAGACAGAGCAGATTTGAAACACTCTCTTTGTGCAATTTGCAAGTGTAGATTTCAAGCGCTTTAAGGTCAACGGCAGAAAAGGAAATATCTTCGTTTCAAAACTAGACAGAATCATTCCCACAAACTTCGTTGTGATGTGTTCGTTCAACTCACAGAGTTTAACCTTCCTGTTCATAGAGCAGTTAGGAAACACTCTGTTTGTAAAGTCTGTAAGTGGATATTCTGACATCTTGTGGCCTTCGTTGGAAACGGGATTTCTTCATATTCTGCTAGACAGAAGAATTCTCAGTAACTTCCTTGTGTTGTGTGTATTCAACTCACAGAGTTGAACGATCCTTTACACAGAGCAGACTTGAAACACTCTTTTTGTGGAATTTGCAAGTGGAGATTTCAGCCGCGTTGAGGTCAATGGTAGAAAAGGAAATATCTTCATATAAAAACTAGACAGAATGATTCTCAGAAACTCCTTTGTGATGTGTGTGTTCAACTCACACAGTTTAACCTTTCTTTTCATAGAGCAGTTAGTAAACACTCTGTTTATAAAGTCTGCAAGTGGATATTCAGACCCCTTTGAGGCCTTCGTTGGAAACGGGATTTCTTCATATTATGCTAGACAGAAGAATTCCCAGTAACTTCCTTGTGTTGTGTGTGTTCAACTCACAGAGTTGAACTTTCATTTACCCAGAGCAGATTTGAAACACTCTTTTTGTGGAATTTGCAAGTGGAGATTTCAAGCGCTTTGAGGCCAAAGGCAGAAAAGGTAATATCTTCGTATAAAAACTAGACAGAACGATTCTCAGAAACTCCTTTGTGATGTGTGCGTTCAACTCACAGAGTTTAACTTTTCTTTTCATAGAGCCATTAGGAAACACTCTGTTTGTAAAGTCTGCAAGTGGATACTCAGACCTCTTTGAGGCCTTCGTTGGAAACGGGTTTTTTTCATGTAAGGCTAGACAGAAGAATTCCCAGTAACTTCCTTGTGTTGTGTGCATTCAACTCACAGAGTTGAACGTTCCCTTAGACAGAGCAGATTTGAAACACTCTATTTGTGCAATTTGCAAGTATAGATTTCAAGCGCTTTCAGGTCAACGGCAGAAAAGGAAATATCTTCGTTTCAAAACTAGACAGAATCATTCCCAAAAACTGCGTTGTGATGTGTTCGTTCATCTCACAGAGTTTAACCTTTCTTTTCATAGAGCAGTTAGGAAACAGTCTGTTTGTAAATTCTGTAAGTGGATATTCTGACATCTTGTGGCCTTCGATGGAAACGGGATTTCTTCATATTCTGCTAGACAGAAGAATTCTCAGTAACTTCCTTGTGTTGTGTGTATTCAACTCACAGAGTTGAACGATCCTTTACACAGAGCAGACTTGAAACATTCTTTTTGTGGAATTTGGAAGTGGAGATTTCAGCCGCTTTGAGGTCAATGGTAGAATAGGGAATATCTTCCTATAGAAACTAGACAGAATGATTCCCACAAAATCCTTTGTGATGTGTGTGTTCAACTCACAGAGTTTAACCTTTCTTTTCATAGAGCAGTTAGTAAACACTCTGTTTATAAAGTCTGCAAGTGGATATTCAGACCCCTTTGAGGCCTTCGTTGGAAACGGGATTTCTTCATATTATGCTAGACAGAAGAATTCTCAGTAACTTCCTTGTGTTGTGTGTATTCAACTGACAGAGTTGAACTTTCATTTAGAGAGAGCAGATTTGAAACACTGTTTTTGTGGAATTTGCAAGTGGAGATTTCAAGCGCTTTGGGGTCAAAGGCAGACAACGAAATATCTTCGTATAAAAACTAGACAGAATCATGCTCAGAAACTGCTCTGCGATGTGTGCCTTCAGCTCTCAGAGTTTAACTTTTCTTTTCATTCAGCAGTTTGGAAACACTCTGTTTGTAAAGCCTGCACGTGGATATTTTGACCACTTAGAGGTCTTCGTTGGAAACGGGTTTTTGTCATGTAAGGCTAGACAGAAGAATTACCAGTAACTTCCTTGTGTTGTGTGCATTCAACTCACAGAGATGAACGTTCCCTTAGACAGAGCAGATTTGAAACACTCTATTTGTGCAATTTGCAAGTGTAGATTTCAAGCGCTTAAAGGTCAATGGTAGAAAAGGAAATATCTTCGTTTCAAAACTAGACAGAATCATTCCCACAAACTGCGTTGTGATGTGTTCGTTCAACTCACAGAGTTTAACCTTTCTGTTCATAGAGCAGTTAGGAAACACTCTGTTTGTAAAGTCTGTAAGTGGATATTCTGACATCTTGTGGCCTTCGTTGGAAACGGGATTTCTTCGTATTGTGCTAGACAGAAGAATTCTCAGTAACTTCCTTGTGTTGTGTGTATTCAACTCACAGAGTTGAACGATCCTTTACACAGAGCGGACTTGTAACATTCTTTTTGTGGAATTTGCAAGTGGAGATTTCAGCCGCTTTGAAGTCAAAGGTAGAAAAGGAAATATCTTCCTATAAAAACTAGACAGAATGATTCTCAGAAACTCCTTTGTGATGTGTGCATTCAACTCACAGAGTTTAACCTTTCTTTTCATAGAACAGTTAGGAAACACTCTGTTTGTAAAGTCTTCAGGTGGATATTCAGACCTCTTAGAGGCCTTCGTTGGAAACAGGATTTCTTCATATAATGCTAGACAGAAGAATTCTCAGTAACTTCATTGTATTGTGTGTATTCAACTCACAGATTTCAACGATCCTTTACACAGAGCAGACTTGAAACACTCTTTTTCTGGAATTTGCAAGTGGAGATTTCAGCCGCTTTGAGGTCAATGGTAGAATAGGAAATATCTTCCTATAGAAACTAGACAGAATGATTCTCAGAAACTCCTTTGTGATGTGTGCGTTCAACTCACAGAGTTTAACCTTTCTTTTCATAGAGCAGTTAGGAAACACTCTGTTTGTAGAGTCTGCAAGTTGATATTCAGACCTCCTTGAGGCCTTCGTTGGAAACGGGATTTCTTCATATTATGCTAGACAGAAGAATTCCCAGTAACTTCCTTGTGTTGTGTACATTCAACTCACAGAGTTGAACGTTCCCTTAGACAGAGCAGACTTGTAACACACTTTTTGTGGAATTTGCAAGTGGAGATTTCAGCCGCTTTGAAGTCAAAGGTAGAAAAGGAAATATCTTCCTATAAAAACTAGACAGAATGATTCTCAGAAACTCCTTTGTGATGTGTGCGTTCAACTCACAGAGTTTAACCTTTCTTTTCATAGAGGAGTTAGGAAACACTCTGTTTGTAAAGTCTGCAAGTGGATATTCAGACCTCCTTGAGGCCTTTGTTGGAAACGGGATTTCTTCATATCCTGCTAGACAGAAGAATTCTCAGTAACTTCCTTGTGTTGTGTGTATTCAACTCACAGAGTTGAACGATCCTTTACAGAGAGCAGACTTGAAACACTCTTTTTGTGGAATTTGCAAGTGGAGATTTCAGCCGCTTTGAGATCAATGGTAGAATAGGAAATATCTTCCTATAGAAACTAGACAGAATCATTCTCAAAAACTGCTGCGTGATGTTTGCGTTCAACTCTCAGAGTTTAACTTTTCTTTTCATTCAGCGGTTTGGAAACACTCTGTTTGTAAAGTCTGCACGTGGATATTTTGACCACTTAGAGGCCTTCGTTGGAAACGGGTTTTTTTCATGTAAGGCTAGACAGAAGAATTCCCAGTAACTTCCTTGTGTTGTGTGCATTCAACTCACAGAGTTGAACGTTTCCTTAGACAGAGCAGATTTGAAACACTCTATTTGTGCAATTTGCAAGTGTAGATTTCAAGCGCTTTAAGGTCAATGGCAGAAAAGGAAATATCTTCGTTTCAAAACTAGACAGAATCATTCCCAAAAACTGCGTTGTGATGTGTTCGTTCAACTCACAGAGTTTAACCTTTCTGTTCATAGAGCAGTTAGGAAACACTCTGTTTGTAAAGTCTGTAAGTAGATATTCTGACATCTTGTGGCCTTCGTTGGAAACGGGATTTCTTCATATTCTGCTAGACAGAAAGAATTCTCAGTAACTTCCTTGTGTTGTGTGTATTCAACTCACAGAGTTGAACGATCCTTTACACAGAGCAGACTTGAAACACTCTATTTGTGGAATTTGCAAGTGGAGATTTCAGCCGCTTTGAGGTCAATGATAGAAAAGGAAATATCTTCGTATAAAAACTAGACAGAATGATTCTCATAAACTCCTTTGTGAAGTGTGCGTTCAACTCACAGAGTTTAACCTTTCTTTTCATAGAGCAGTTAGGAAACACTCTGTTTGTTAAGTCTGTAAGTGGATATTCAGACCTCCTTGAGGCCTTCGTTGGAAACGGGATTTCTTCATATTATGCTAGACAGAAGAATTCTCAGAATCTTCCTTGTGTTGTGTGTATTCAACTCACAGAGTTGAACGATGGTTTACACAGAGCAGATTTGAAACACTCTTTTTGTGGAATTTGCAAGTGGAGATTTCAGCCGCTTTGAGGTCAATGGTAGAAAATGAAATATCCTTCGTATAAAAACTAGACAGAATGATTCTCAGAAAATCTTTTGTGATGTGTGCGTTCAACTCACAGAGTTTAACTTTTCTTCTCATAGAGCAGTTAGGAAACACTCTGTTTGTAAAGTCTGCAAGTGGATATTCAGACCTCCTTGAGGCCTTCGTTGGAAACGGGATTTCTTCATATTATGCTAAACAGAAGAATTCCCAGTAACTTCCTTGTGTTGTGTGTATTCAACTCACAGAGTTGAACTTTCATTTACACAGAGCAGATTGGAAACACTCTTTTTGTGGAATTTGCAAGTGGAGATTTCAAGCGCTTTGAGGCCAAAGGCAGAAAAGGAAATATCTTCGTATAAAAACTAGACAGAATCATTCTCAGAAACTGCTCTGCGATGTGTGCCTTCAGCGCTCAGAGTTTAACTTTTCTTTTCATTCAGCAGTTTGGAAACACTCTGTTTGTAAAGTCTGCACGTGGATATTTTGACCACTTAGAGGCCTTCGTTGCAAGCGGGTTTTTGTCATGTAAGGTTAGACAGAAGAATTCCCAGTAACTTCCTTGTGTTGTATACATTCAACTCACAGAGTTGAACGTTCCCTTAGACAGAGCAGATTTGAAACACTCTTTTTGTGCAATTGGCAAGTGGAGATTTCAAGCGCTTTGAGGTCAATGGCAGAAAAGGAAATATCTTCGTTTCAAAACTAGACAGAATGATTCTCAGAAACTCCTTTGTGATGTGTGCGTTCAACTCACAGAGTTTAACCTTTCTATTCATAGAGCAGTTAGGAAACACTCTGTTTGTAAAGTCTGCAAGTGGATATTCAGACATCCTTGAGGCTTTCGTTGGAAACGGGATTTCTTCATATTCTGCTAGAAAGAAGAATTCTCAGAAACTTCCTTGTGTTGTGTGTATTCAACTCACAGAGTTGAACGATCCTTTACACAGAGCAGACTTGAAACACTCTTTTTGTGGAATTTGCAAGTGGAGATTTCAGCCGCTTTGAGGTCAATGGTAGAAAAGGAAATATCTTCGTATAAAAACTAGACAGAATGATTCTCAGAAACTCCTTTGAGATGTGTGTGTTCAACTCACAGAGTTTAACCCTTCTTTTCATAGAGCAGTTAGGAAACACTCTGTTTGTAAAGTCTGCAAGTGGATATTCAGACCTCTTTGAGGCCTTCGTTGGAAACCGGATTTCTTCATACTGTGCTAGACAGAAGAATTCCCAGTAACTTCCTTGTGTTGTGTGTGTTCAACTCACAGAGTTGAACTTCCATTTACACAGAGCAGATTTGAAACACTCTTTTTGTGGAATTTGCAAGTGGAGATTTCAAGCACTTTGAGGCCAAAGGCAGAAAAGGAAATATCTTCGTTTCAAAACTAGACAGAATGATTCTCAGAAACTCCTTTGTGATGTGTGCGTTCAACTCACAGAGTTTAACCTTTCTTTTCATAGAGCAGTTAGGAAACACTCTGGTTGTAAAGTCTGCAAGTGGATATTTTGACCACTTAGAGGCCTTCGTTGGAAACGGGTTTTTTTTCATGTAAGACTAGACAGAAGAATTCTCAGAAACTTCCTTGTGTTGTGTGTTTTCAACTCACAGAGTTGAACGATGCTTTACACAGAGTAGACTTGAAACACTCTTTTTGTGGAATTTGCAAGTGGAGATTTCAGCCGCTTTGAGGTCAATGGTAGAAAAGGAAATATCTTTGTATAAAAACTAGACAGAATGATTCTCAGAAACTCCTTTGTGATGTGTGCGTTCAACTCACAGAGTTTAACCTTTCTTTTCATAGAGCAGTTAGGAAACACTCTGTTTGTAAAGTGTGCAAGTGGATATTCAGACCTCTTTGAGGCCTTCGTTGGAAACGGGATTTCTTCATATTCTGCTAGAGAGAAGAATTCTCAGTAACTTCCTTGTGATGTGTGTATTCAACTCACAGAGTTCAACGATCCTTTACACAGAGCAGACTTGAAACACTCTTTTTGTGGAATTTGCAAGTGGAGATTTCAGCCGCTTTGAGGTCAATGGTAGAATAGGAAATATCTTCCTATAGAAACTAGACAGAATGATTCTCAGAAACTCCTTTGTGATGTGTGTGTTCAACTCACAGAGTTTAACCTTTCTTTTCATAGAGCAGTTAGTAAACACTCTATTTATAAAGTCTGCAATTGGATATTCAGACCCCTTTGAGGCCTTCGTTGGAAACGGGATTTCTTCATATTATGTTAGACAGAAGAATTCCCAGTAACTTCCTTGTGTTGTGTGTGTTCAACTCACAGAGTTGAACTTTCATTTCCACAGAGCAGATTTGAAACACTCTTTTTGTGGAATTTGCAAATGGAGATTTCAAGCGCTTTGAGGCCAAAGGCAGAAAAGGATATATCTTCGTATAAAAACTAGACAGAATCATTCTCAGAAACTGCTCTGCGATGTGTGCGTTCAACTCTCAGAGTTTAACTTTTCTTTTCATTCAGCAGTTTCGAAACACTCTGTTTGTAAAGTCTGCACGTGGATAATTTGACCACTTAGAGGCCTTCGTTGGAAACGGGTTTTTTTCATGTAAGGATAGACAGAAGAATTCCCAGTAACTTCCTTGTGTTGTGTACATTCAACTCACAGAGTTGAACGTTCCCTTAGACAGAGCAGATTTGAAACACTCTTTTTGTGCAACTGGCAAGTGGAGATTTCAAGCGCTTTGAGGTCAATGGCAGAAAAGGAAATATCTTCGTTTCAAAACTAGACAGAATCATTCCCACAAACTGCGTTGTGATGTGTTCGTTCAACTCACAGACTTTAACCTTTCTTTTCATAGAGCAGTTAGGAAACAGTCTGTTTGTAAATTCTGTAAGTGGATATTCTGACATCTTGTGGCCTTCGTTGGAAACGGGATTTCTTCATATTCTGCTAGACAGAAGAATTCTCAGTAACTTCCTTGTGTTGTGTGTATTCAACTCACAGAGTTGAACGATCCCTTACACAGAGCAGACTTGAAACACTCTTTTTGTGGAATTTGCAAGTGGAGATTTCAGCCGCTTTGAGGTCAATGGTAGAAAAGGAAATATCTTCGTATAAAAACTAGACAGAATGATTCTCAGAAACTCCTTTGTGATGTGTGTGTTCAACTCACAGAATTTAACCTTTCTTTTCATAGAGCAGTTAGTAAACACTCTGTTTATAAAGTCTGCAAGTGGATATTCAGACCCCTTTGAGGCCTTCGTTGGAAACGGGATTTCTTCATATTATGCTAGACAGAAGAATTCTCAGTAACTTCCCTGTGTTGTGTGTATTCAACTCACAGAGTTGAACGATCCTTTACAGAGAGCAGACTTGAAACACTCTTTTTGTGGAATTTGCAAGTGGAGATTTCAGCCGCTTTGAGGTCAATGGTAGAATAGGAAATATCTTCCTATAGAAACTAGACAGAATGATTCTCAGAAACTCCTTTGTGATGTGTGCGTTCAACTCACAGAGTTTAACCTTTCTTTTCATAGAGCAGTTAGGACACACTCTGTTTGTAAAGTCTGCAAGTGGATATTCAGACCTCTTTGAGGCCTTCGTTGGAAACGGGATTTCTTCATATTATGCTAGACAGAAGAATTCTCAGTCACTTCCTTGTGTTGTGTGTATTCAACTGACAGAGTTGAACTTTCATTTAGAGAGAGCAGATTTGAAACACTGTTTTTGTGGAATTTGCAAGTGGAGATTTCAAGCGCTTTGGGGCCAAAGGCAGAAAAGGATATATCTTCGTATAAAAACTGGACAGAATCATTCTCAGAAACTGCTCTGCGATGTGTGCGTTCAACTCTCAGAGTTTAACTTTTCTTTTCATTCAGCAGTTTGGAAACACTCTGTTTGTAAAGTCTGCTCGTTGATAATTTGACCACTTAGAGGCCTTCGTTGGAAACGGGTTTTTTTCATATAAGGCTAGACAGAAGAATTCCCAGTAACTTCCTTGTGTTGTGTGCATTCAACTCACAGAGTTGAACGTTCCCTTAGACAGAGCAGATTTGAAACACTCTATTTGTGCAATTTGCAAGTGTAGATTTCAAGCGCTTTCAGGTCAATGGCAGAAAAGGAAATATCTTCGTTTCAAAACTAGACAGAATCATTCCCACAAACTGCGTTGTGATGTGTTCGTTCAACTCACAGAGTTTAACCTTTCTTTTCATAGAGCAGTTAGGAAACAGTCTGTTTGTCAATTCTGTAAGTGGATATTCTGACATCTTGTGGCCTTCGTTGGAAACGGGTTTTCTTCATATTCTGCTAGACAGAAGAATTCTCAGTAACTTCCTTGTGTTGTGTGTATTCAACTCACAGAGTTCAACGATGCTTTACACAGAGTAGATTGAAACACACTTTTTTTTGAATTTGCAAGTGGAGATTTCAGCCGCTTTGAGGTCAATGGTAGAATAGGAAATATCTTCCTATAGAAACTAGACAGAATGATTCTCAGAAACTTCTTTGTGATGTGTGCGCTCAACTCACAGAGTTTAACCTTTCTTTTCATAGAGCATTTAGGAAACACTCTGTTTGTAAAGTCTGCAAGTGGATATTCAGACCTCTTTGAGGCCTTCGTAGGAAACGGGATTTCTTCATATTATGCTAGACAGAAGAATTCCCAGTAACATCCTTGTGTTGTGTGTGTTCAACTCACAGAGTTGAACTTTCATTTACACAGATCAGATTTGAAAGACTCTTTTTGTGGAATTTGCAAATGGAGATTTCAAGCGCTTTGAGGCCAAAGGCAGAAAAGGAAATATCTTCGTATAAAAACTAGACAGAATCATTCTCAGAAACTGCTCTGCGATGTGTGCGTTCAACTGTCAGAGTTTAACTTTTCTTTTCATTCAGCAGTTTGGAAACACTCTGGTTGTAAAGTCTGCACGTGGATATTTTGACCACTTAGAGGCCTTCGTTGGAAACGGGTTTTTTTCCTGTAAGGCTAGACAGAAGATTTCCCAGTAATTTCCTTGTGTTGTGTGCTTCAACTCACAGAATTGAACGTTCCGTTAGACAGAGCAGATTTGAAACACTCTATTTGTGCAATTTGCAAGTGTAGATTTCAAGCGCTTTAAGGTCGTTGGCAGAAAAGGAAATATCTTCGTTTCAAAAGTAGACAGAATGATTCTCAGAAACTTCATTGTGATGTGTGTGTTCAACTCACAGAGTTTAACCTTTCTTTTCATAGAGCAGTTGGGAAACAGTCTGTTTGTAAATTCTGTAAGTGGATATTCTGACATCTTGTGGCCTTCGTTGGAAACGGGATTTCTTCATATTCTGCTAGACAGAAGAATTCTCAGTAACTTCCTTGTGTTGTGTGTATTCAACCCACAGAGTTGAACGATCCTTTACACAGAGCAGACTTGAAACACTCTTTTTCTGGAATTTGCAAGTGGAGATTTCAGCCGCTTTGAGGTCAATGGTAGAATAGGAAATATCTTCCTATAGAAACTAGACAGAATGATTCTCATAAACTACTTTGTGATGTGTGCGTTCAACTCACAGAGTTTAACCTTTCTTTTCATAGAGCAGTTAGGAAACACTCTGTTTGTAAAGTCTGCAAGTGGATATTCAGACCTCTTTGAGGCCTTCGTTGGAAACGGGATTTCTTCATATTCTGCTAGACAGAAGAATTCTCAGTAACTTCCTTGTGTTGTGTGTATTCAACTCACAGAGTTGAACGATCCTTTACACAGAGCATTCTTGAAACACTCTTTTTGTGGAATTTGCAAGTGGAGATTTCAGCCGCTTTGAGGTCAATAGTAGAAAAGGAAATATCTTCGTAGAAAAACTAGACAGAAATCATTCTCAGAAACTGCTGCGTGATGTGTGCGTTCAACTCTCAGAGTTTAACTTTTCTTTTCATTCAGCGGTTTGGAAACACTCTGTTTGTAAAGTCTGCAAGTGGATATTTTGACCACTTAGAGGCCTTCGTTGGAAACGGGTTTTTTTCATGTAAGGCTAGACAGAAGAATTCCCAGTAACTTCCTTGTGTTGTGTGCATTCAACTCACAGAGTTGAACGTTCCCTTAGACAGAGCAGATTTGAAACACTCTATTTGTGCAATTTGCAAGTGTAGATTTCAAGCGCTTTAAGGTCAATGGCAGAAAAGGAAATGTCTTCGTTTCAAAACTAGACAGAATGATTCTCAGAAACTTCATTGTGATGTGTGCGTTCAACTCACAGAGTTTAACCTTTCTTTTCATAGAGCAGTTAGGAAACACTCTGTTTGTAAACTCTGCAAGTGGATATTCAGACCTCTTTGCTGCCTTCGTTGGAAACGGGATTTCTTCATACTGTGCTAGACAGAAGAATTCTCAGTAACTTCCTTGTGTTGTGTGTATTTAACTCACAAAATTGAACGATCCTTTACACAGAGCGGACTTGAAACACTCTTTTTGTGTAATTTGCAAGTGGAGATTTCAGCCGCGTTGAGGTCAACGGTAGAAAAGGAAATATCTTCGTATAAAAACTAGACAGAATGATTCTCAGAAACTGCTTTGTGATGTGTGCGTTCAACTCACAGAGTTCAACCTTTCTTTTCATAGAGCAGTTGGGAAACACTCTGTTTTTAAGTCTGCAAGTGGATATTCAGACTTCTTTGAGGCCTTCGTTGGAAGCGGGATTTCTTCATGTTCTGCTAGACAGAGGAATTCCCAGTAACTTCCTTGTGCTGTGTGTGTTCAACTCACAGAGTTGAACTTTCATTTACACAGAGCAGATTTGAAACACTCTTTTTGTGGAATTTGCAAATGGAGATTTCAAGCGCTTTGAGGCCAAAGGCAGAAAAGGAAATATCTTCGTTTCAAAACTAGACAGAATCATTCTCAGAAACTGCTCTGCGATGTGTGCCTTCAACTCTCAGAGTTTAACTTTTCTTTTCATTCAGCAGTTTGGAAACACTCTGTTTGTAAAGTCTGCACGTGGATATTTTGACCACTTAGAGGCCTTCGTTGGAATCGGGTTTTTTTCCTCTAAGGCTAGACAGAAGAATTCTCAGAAACTTCCTTGTGTTGTGTGTATTCAACTCACAGAGTTGAACGATCGTTTACACAGAGCAGACTTGAGACACTCTTTTTGTGGAATTTGTAAGTGGAGATTTCAGCCGCTTTGAGGTCAATGGTAGAAATGGAAATATCTTCATATAAAAACTAGACAGAATCATTCCCACAAACTGCGTTGTGATGTGTTCGTTCAACTCACAGACTTTAACCTTTCTGTTCATAGAGCAGTTAGGAAACACTCTGTTTGTAAAGTCTGCAAGTGGATATTCAGACCTCCTTGAGGCCTTCGTTGGAAACGGGATTTCTTCATATTCTGCTAGACAGAAGAATTCCCAGTAACTTCCTTGTGTTGTGTGTGTTCAACTCACAGAGTTGAACTTTCATTTACACAGCGCAGATTTGAAACACTCTTTTTGTGGAATTTGCAAGTGGAGATTTCAAGCGCTTTGAGGCCAAAGGCAGAAAAGGAAATATCTTCGTATAAAAACTAGACAGAATCATTCTCAGAAACTGCTGCGTGATGTGTGCGTTCAACTCTCAGAGTTTAACTTTGCTTTTCATTCAGCGGTTTGGAAACACTCTGTTTGTAAAGTCTGCACGTGGATATTTTGACCACTTAGTGGCCTTCGTTGGAAACGGGTTTTTTTCATGTAAGGCTAGACAGAAGAATTCCCAGTAACTTCCTTGTGTTGTGTACATTCAACTCACAGAGTTGAACGTTCCCTTAGACAGAGCAGATTTGAAACACTCTTTTTGTGCAATTGGCAAGTGGAGATTTCAAGCGCTTTGAGGTCAATGGCAGAAAAGGAAATATCTTCGTTTCAAAACTAGACAGAATGATTCTCATAAACTCCTTTTTGATGTGTGCGTTCAACACACAGAGTTTAACCTTTCTGTTCATAGAGCAGTTCGGAAACACTCTGTTTGTAAAGTTTGTAAGTGGATATTCTGACATCTTGTGGCCTTCGTTGGAAACGGGATTTCTTCATATTCTGCTAGACAGAAGAATTCTCAGAAACTTCCTTGTGTTGTGTGTATTCAACTCACAGAGTTGAATGATCCTTTACACAGAGCAGACTTGAAACACTCTTTTTGTGGAATTTGCAAGTGGAGATTTCAGCCGCTTTGTGGTCAATGGTAGAAAAGGAAATATCTTCGTATAAAGACTAGACAGAATGATTCTGAGAAACTCCTTTGTGATGTGTGCGTTCAACTCACACAGTTTAACCTTTCTTTTCATAGAGCAGTTAGGAAACACTCTGTTTGTAAAGTCTGCAAGTGGATATTCAGACCTCCTTGAGGCTTTCGTTGGAAACGGGATTTCTTCATATTCTGCTAGAAAGAAGAATTCTCAGTAACTGCCTTGTGTTGTGTGTATTCAACTCACAGAGTTGAACGATCCTTTACACAGAGCAGACTTGAAATACTCTTTTTGTGGAATTTGCAAGTGGAGATTTCAGCCGCTTTGAGGTCAATGGTAGAATAGGAAATATCTTCCTATAGAAACTAGACAGAATGATTCTCAGAAACTCCTTTGTGATGTGTACGTTCAACTCACAGAGTTTAACCTTTCTTTTCATAGAGCAGTTAGGAAACACTCTGTTTGTAAAGTCTGCAAGTGGATATTCAGACATCTTTGAGGCTTTCTTTGGAAACGGGATTTCTTCATATTCTGCTATACAGAAGAATTCTCAGAAACTTCCTTGTGTTGTGTGTTTTCAACTCACAGAGTTCAACGATCCTTTACACAGAGTAGACTTGAAACACTGTTTTTGTGGAATTGGCAAGTGGAGATTTCAGCCGCTATGAGGTCAATGGTAGAAAAGGAAATATCTTCGTATAAAAACTAGACAGAATGATTCTCAGAAACTCCTTTGTGATGTGTGCGTTCAACTCACAGAGTTTAACCTTTCTTTTCATAGAGCAGTTGGGAAACACTCTTTTTGTAAAGTCTGCAAGTGGATATTCAGACATCCTTGAGGCTTTCCTTGGAAACGGGATTTCTTCATATTCTGCTAGAAAGAAGAATTCTCAGTAACTTCCTTGTGTTGTGTGTATTCAACTCACAGAGTTGAATGATCCTTTACAAAGAACAGTCTTGAAACACTCTTTTTGTGGAATTTGCAAGTGGAGATTTCAGCCGCTTTGAGGTCAATGGTAGAATAGGAAATATCTTCTTATAGAAACTAGACAGAATGATTCTCAGAAACTACTTTGTGATGTGTGTGTTCAACTCACAGAGTTTAACCTTTCTTTTCATAGAGCAGTTAGTAAACACTCTGTTTATAAAGTCTGCAAGTGGATATTCCGACCCCTTTGAGGCCTTCGTTGGAAACGGGATTTCTTCATATTATGCTAGACAGAAGAATTCTCAGTAACTTCCTTGTGTTGTGTGTATTCAAGTGACAGAGTTGAACTTTCATTTAGAGAGAGCAGATTTGAAACACTGTTTTTGTGGAATTTGCAAGTGGAGATTTCAAGCGCTTTGGGGCCAAAGGCAGAAAAGGAAATATCTTCGTATATAAACTAGACAGAATGATTCTCAGAAACTCCTTTGTGATGTGTGCATTCAACTCACAGAGTTTAACCATTCTTTTCATAGAGCAGTTAGGAAACACTCTGTTTGTAAAGACTGCAAGTGGATATTCAGACCTCCTTGAGGCCTTCGTTGGAAACGGGACTTCTTCATATTATGCTACACAGAAGAATTCTCAGTAACTTCCTTGTGTTGTGTGTATTCAACTCACAGAGTTGAACGATCCTTTACACAGAACATACTTGAAACACTCTTTTTGTGGAATTTGCAAGTGGAGATTTCAGCCGCTTTGAGGTCAATGGTAGAATAGGAAATATCTTCCTATAGAAACTAGACAGAATGATTCTCAGAAACTCCTTTGTGAAGTGTGCGTTCAACTCACAGAGTTTAACCTTTCTGTTCATAGAGCAGTTAGGAAACACTCTGTTTGTAAAGTCTGCAAGTGGATATTCAGACCTCCTTGAGGCCTTCGTTGGAAACGGGATTTCTTCATATTCTGCTAGACAGAAGAATTCTCAGTAACTTCCTTGTGTTGTGTGTATTCAACTGAGAGAGTTGAACTATCATTTAGAGACAGCAGATTTGAAACACTGTTTTTGTGGAATTTGCAAGTGGAGATTTCAAGCGCTTTGGGGCCAAAGGCAGAAAAGGAAATATCTTCGTATAAAAACTAGACAGAATGATTCTCAGAAACTCCTTTGTGATGTGTGCGTTCAACTCACAGAGTTTAACCTTTCTTTTCATAGAGCAGTTAGGAAACACTCTGTTTGTAAAGTCTGCACGTGGATATTTTGACCACTTAGAGGCCTTCGTTGGAAACGGGTTTTCTTCCTGTAAGGCTAGACAGAAGAATTCCCAGTAACTTCCTTGTGTTGTGTACATTCAACTCACAGAGTTGAACGTTCCCTTAGACAGAGCAGATTTGAAACACTCTTTTTGTGCAATTGGCAAATGGAGATTTCAAGCGCTTTAAGGTCAATGGCAGAAAAGGAAATATCTTCGTTTCAAAAATAGACAGAATCATTCCCACAAACTGCGTTGTGATGTGTTCGTTCAACTCACAGAGTTTAACCTTTCTGTTCATAGAGCAGTTAGGAAACACTCTGTTTGTAAAGTCTGTAACTGGATATTCTGACATTTTGTGGCCTTCGTTGGAAACGGGATTTCTTCATATTCTGCTAGACAGAAGAATTCTCAGTAACTGCCTTGTGTTGTGTGTATTCAACTCACAGAGTTGAACGATCCTTAACACAGAGCAGACTTGAAACACTCTTTTTGTGGAACTTGCAAGTGGAGATTTCAGCCGCTTTGAGGTCAATGGTAGAATAGGAAATATCTTCCTATAGAAACTAGACAGAATGATTCTCATAAACTCCTTTGTGATGTGTGCGTTCAACTCACAGAGTTTAACCTTTCTGTTCATAGAGCAGTTAGGAAACACTCTGTTTGTAAAGTCTGCAAGTGGATATTCAGAACTCCTTGAGGCCTTCGTTGGAAACGGGATTTCTTCATATTCTGCTAGACAGAAGAATTCTCAGTAACTTCCTTGTGTTGTGTGTATTCAACTCACAGAGTTGAACGATCCTTTACACAGAGCAGACTTGAAACACTCTTTTTGTGGAATTTGCAAGGGGAGATTTCAGCCGCTTTGAGTTCAATGGTAGAATAGGAAATATCTTCCTATAGAAACTAGACAGAATGATTCTCAGAAACTCCTTTGTGATGTGTGCCTTCAACTCACAGAGTTTAACCTTTCTTTTCATAGAGCAGTTAGGAAACACTCTGTTTGTAAAGTCTGCAAGTGGATATTCAGACCTCTTTGAGGCCTTCGTTGGAAACGGGATTTCTTCATACTATGCTAGACAGAAGAATTCTCAGTAACTTCCTTGTGTTGTGTGTATTCAACTCACAGAGTTGAACGATCCTTTACACAGAGCAGACTTGAAACACTCTTTTTGTGGAATTTGCAAGGGGGGATTTCTGCCGCTTTGAGGTCAATGGTAGAATAGGAAATATCTTCCTATAGAAACTAGACAGAACGATTCTCAGAAACTCCTTTGTGATGTGAGCGTTCAACTCACAGAGTTTAACCTTTCTTTTCATAGAGCAGTTAGGAAACACTCTGTTTGTAAAGTCTGCAAGTGGATATTCAGACCTCTTTGAGGCCTTCTTTGGAAACGGGATTTCTTCATATTCTGCTAGACAGAAGAATTCTCAGTAACTTCCTTGTGTTGTGTGTATTCAACTGACAGAGTTGAACTTTCATTTAGAGAGAGCAGATTTGAAACACTGTTTTTGTGGAATTTGCAAGTGGAGATTTCAAGCGCTTTGGGGCCAAAGGCAAAAAAGGAAATATCTTCGTATAAAAACTAGACAGAATCATTCTCAGAAACTGCTCTGCGATGTGTGCGTTCAACTCTCAGAGTTTAACTTTTCTTTTCATTCAGCAGTTTGGAAACACTCTGTTTGTAAAGTCTGCACGTGGATATTTTGACCACTTAGAGGTCTTCGTTGGAAACGGGTTTTTTTCCTGTAAGGCTTGACAGAAGAATTCCCAGTAACTTCCTTGTGTTGTGTGCATTCAACTCACAGAGTTGAAAGTTCCCTTAGACAGAGCAGATTTGAAACACTCTATTTGTGCAATTTGCAAGTGTAGATTTCAAGCGCTTTAAGGTCAATGGCAGAAAAGGAAATATCTTCGTTTCAAAGCTAGACAGAATCATTCCCACAAACTGCGTTGTGATGTGTGCGTTCAACTCAAAGAGTTTAACCTTTCTTTTCATAGAGCAGTTAGGAAACACTCTGTTTGTAAAGTCTTCAAGTGGATATTCAGACCTCCTTGAGGCCTTCGTTGGAAACGGGATTTCTTCATATTCTGCTAGACAGAAGAATTCTCAGTAACTTCCTTGTGTTGTGTGTATTCAACTCACAGAGTTGAACGATCCTTTACACAGAGCAGACTTGAAACACTCTTTTTCTGGAATTTGCAAGTGGAGATTTCAGCCGCTTTGAGGTCAATTGTAGAATAGGAAATATCTTCCTATAGAAACTAGACAGAATGATTCTCAGAAACACTTTTGTGATGTGTGCGTTCAACTCACAGAGTTTAACCTTTCTTTTCATAGAGCAGTTAGGAAACACTCTGTTTGTAAAGTCTGCAAGTGGATATTCAGACCTCTTTGAGGCCTTCGTTGGAAACGGGATTTCTTCATATTCTGCTAGACAGAAGGATTCCCAGTAACTTCCTTGTGTTGTGTGTGTTCAACTCACAGAGTTGAACTTTCATTTACAAAGAGCAGATTTGAAACACTCTTTTTGTGGAATTTGCAATTGGAGATTTCAAGCGCTTTGAGGCCAAAGGCAGAAAAGGAAATATCTTCGTATAAAAACTAGACAGAATCATTCTCAGAAACTGCTCTGCGATGTGTGCGTTCAACTCTCAGAGTTTAACTTTTGTTTTCATTCAGCAGTTTGGAAACACTCTGTTTGTAAAGTCTGCACGTGGATAATTTGACCACTTAGAGTTCTTCGTTGGAAACGGGTTTTTTTCATGTAAGGCTAGACAGAAGAATTCTCAGTAACTTCCTTGTGTTGTGTGTATTCAACTCACAGAGTTGAACGATCCTTTACACAGAGCAGACTTGTAACACTCTTTTTGTGGAATTTGCAAGTGGAGATTTCAGCCGCTTTGAAGTCGAAGGTACAAAAGGAAATATCTTCCTATAAAAACTAGACAGAATGATTCTCAGAAACTCCTTTGTGATGTGTGCGTTCAACTCACAGAGTTTAACCTTTCTTTTCATAGAGCAGTTAGGAAACACTCTGTTTGTAAAGTCTGCAAGTGGATATTCAGACATCCTTGAGGCTTTCGTTGGAAACGGGATTTCTTCATGTTCTGCTAGAAAGAAGAATTCTCAATAACTTCCTTGTGTTGTGTGTATTCAACTGACAGAGTTGAACCTTCCTTCAGATAGAGCAGATTTGAAACACTCTTTTTGTGTAATTTGCAAGTGGAGATTTCAAGCGCTTTGAGGCCAAAGGCAGAAAAGGAAATATCTTCGTATAAAAACTAGACAGAATCATTCCCACAAACTGCGTTGTGATGTGTTCGTTCAACTCACAGAGTTTAACCTTTCTTTTCATAGAGCAGTTAGGAAACAGTCTGTTTGTAAATTCTGTAAGTGGATATTCTGACATCTTGCGGCCTTCGTTGGAAACGGGATTTCTTCATATTCTGCTAGACAGAAGAATTCCCAGTAACTTCCTTGTGTTTTGTACATTCAACCCACAGAGTTGAACGTTTCCTTAGACAGAGCAGATTTGAAACACTCTTTTTGTGCAATTGGCAAGTGGTGATTTCAACCACTTTCAGGTCAAAGGTAGAAAAGGAAATATCTTCCTATAAAAACTAGACAGAATCATTCCCACAAACTGCGTTGTGATGTGTTCCTTCAACTCACAGAGTTTAACGTTTCCGTTCATAGAGCAGTTAGGAAACACACTGTTTGTAAAGTCTGTAAGTGGATATTCTGACATCTTGTGGCCTTCGTTGGAAACGGGATTTCTTCATATTCTGCTAGACAGAAGAATTCTCAGTAACTTCCTTGTGTTGTGTGTATTCAACTCACAGAGTTGAATGATCCTTTACACAGAGCAGACTTGAAACGCTCTTTTTGTGGAATTTGCAAGTGGAGATTTCAGCCGCGTTGAGGTCAATGGTAGAAAAGGAAATATCTTCGTATAAAAACTAGACAGAATGATTCTCAGAAACTTCTTTGTGATGTGTGCGCTCAACTCACAGAGTTTAACTTTTCTTTTCATAGAGCAGTTAGGAAACACTCTGTTTGTAAACTCTGCAAGTGGATATTCAGACCTCTTTGAGGCCTTCGTTGGAAACGGGATTTCTTCATATTATGCCTGAGAGAAGAATTCTCAGTAACTTCCTTGTGTTGTGTGCATTCAACTCACAGAGTTGAACGTTCCCTTAGACAGAGCAGATTTGAAACACTCTATTTGTGCAATTTGCAAGTGTAGATTTCAAGCGCTTTGAGGCCAACGGCAGAAAAGGAAATATCTTCGTAGAAAAAATAGACGGAAATCATTCCCACAAACTGCGTTGTGATGTGTTCGTTCATCTCACAGAGTTTAAGCTTTCTTTTCATAGAGCAGTTAGGAAACACTCTGTTTGTAAATTCTGTAAGTGGATATTCTGACATCTTGTGGCCTTCGTTGGAAACGGGATTTCTTCATATTCTACTAGACAGAAGAATTCCCAGTAACTTCCTTGTGTTGTGTACATTCAACTCACAGAGTTGAACGTTCCCTTAGACAGAGCAGATTTGAAACACTCTTTTTGTGCAATTGGCAAGTGGAGATTTCAAGCGCTTTGAGGTCAATGGCAGAAAAGGAAATATCTTCGTTTCAAAACTAGACAGAATCATTCCCACAAACTGCGTTGTGATGTGTTCGTTCAACTCACAGAGTTTAACCTTTCTTTTCATAGAGCAGTTAGGAAACAGTCTGTTTGTGAATTCTGTAAGTGGATATTCTGACATCTTGTGGCCTTCGTTGGAAACGGGATTTCTTCATATTCTGCTAGACAGAAGAATTCTCAGAAACTTCCTTGTGTTGTGTGTATTCAACTCACAGAGTTGAACGATCCTTTACAGAGAGCAGACTTGAAACACTCTTTTTGTGGAATTTGCAAGTGGAGATTTCAGCCGCTTTGAGGTCAATGGTAGAATAGGAAATATCTTCCTATAGAAACTAGACAGAATGATTCTCAGAAACTCCTTTGTGATGTGTGCGTTCATCTCACAGAGTTTAACTTTTCTTTTCATGGAGCAGTTAGGAAACACTCTGTTTGTAAAGTCTGCAAGTGGATATTCAGACCTCTTTGAGGCCTTCGTTGGAAACGGGATTTCTTCGTATTCTGCTAGACAGAGGATTCCCAGTAACTTCCTTGTGTTGTGTGTGTTCAACTCACAGAGTTGAACTTTCATTTACAAAGAGCAGATTTGAAACACTCTTTTTGTGGAATTTGCAAGTGGAGATTTCAAGCGCTTTGAGGCCAAAGGCAGAAAAGGAAATATCTTCGTATAAAAACTAGACAGAATCATTCTCAGAAACTGCTGCGTGACGTGTGCGTTCAACTCTCAGAGTTTAACTTTTCTTTTCATTCAGCGGTTTGGAAACACTCTGTTTGTAAAGTCTGCACGTGGATATTTTGACCACTTAGAGGCCTTCGTTGGAAACGGGTTTTTTTCATGTAAGGCTAGACAGAAGAATTCCCAGTAACTTCCTTGTGTTGTGTGCATTCAACTCACAGAGTTGAACGTTCCCTTAGACAGAGCAGATTTGAAACACTCTATTTGTGCAATTTGCAAGTGTAGATTTCAAGCGCTTTAAGGTCAATGGCAGAAAAGAAAATATCTTCGTTTCAAAACTAGACAGAATCATTCCCACAAACTGCGTTGTGATGTGTTCGTTCAACTCACAGAGTTTAACCATTCTTTTCATAGAGCAGTTAGGAAACAGTCTGTTTGTCAATTCTGTAAGTGGATATTCTGACATCTTGTGGCCTTCGTTGGAAACGGGATTTCTTCATATTCTGCTAGACAGAAGAATTCTCAGAATCTTCCTTGTGTTGTGTGTATTCAACTCACAGAGTTGAACGATCCTTCACACAGAGCAGACTTGAAACACTCTTTTTGTGGAATTTGCAAGTGGAGATTTCAGCCGCTTTGAGGTCCATGGTAGAAAAGGAAATATCTTCGTATAAAAACTAGACAGAATGATTCTCAGAAACTCCTTTGTGATGTGTGCGTTCAACTCACAGAGTTTAACCTTTCTGTTCATAGAGCTGTTAGGAAACACTCTGTTTGTAAAGTCTGCAAGTGGGTATTCAGACCTCCTTGAGGCCTTCGTTGGAAACGGGATTTCTTCATATTTTGCTAGACAGAAGAATTCTCAGTAACTTCCTTGTGTTGTGTGTATTCAACTGACAGAGTTGAACTTTCATTTAGAGAGAGCAGTTTTGAAACACTGTTTTTGTGGAATTTGCAAGTGGAGATTTCAAGCGCTTTGGGGCCAAAGGCAGAAAAGGAAATATCTTCGTATAAAAACTAGACAGAATCATTCTCAGAAACTGCTCTGCGATGTGTGCGTTCAACTCTCAGAGTTTAACTTTTCTTTTCATTCAGCAGTTTGGAAACACTCTGTTTGAAAAGTCTGCACGTGGATATTTTGACCACTTAGAGGCCTTCGTTGGAAACGCGTTTTTTTCCTGTAAGGCTAGACAGAAGAATTCCCAGTAACTTCCTTGTGTTGTGTACATTCAACTCACAGAGTTGAACGTTCCCTTAGACAGAGCAGATTTGAAACACTCTTTTTGTGAAATTGGCAAGTGGTGATTTCAGCCGCTTTGAGGTCAATGGTAGAAAAGGAAATATCTTCGTATAAAAACTAGACAGAATCATTCCCACAAACTGCGTTGTGATGTGTTCGTTCAACTCACAGAGTTTAACCTTTCTGTTCATAGAGCAGTTAGGAAACACTCTGTTTGTAAAGTCTGCAAGTGGATATTCAGACCTCCTTGAGGCCTTCGTTGGAAACGGGGTTTCTTCATATTCTGCTAGACAGAAGAATTCTCAGTAACTTCCTTGTGTTGTGTGTATTCAACTCACAGAGTTGAACGATCCTTTACACAGAGCAGACTTGAAACATTCTTTTTGTCGAATTTGCAAGTGGAGATTTCAGCCGCTTTGAGGTCAATGGTAGAATAGGAAATATCTTCCTATAGAAACTAGACAGATAATGATTCTCAGAAACTCCTTTGTGATGTGTGCGTTCAACTCACAGAGTTTAACCTTTCTTTTCATAGAGCAGTTAGGAAACACTCTGTTTGTAAAGTCTGCAAGTGGATATTCAGACCTCTTTGAGGCCTTCGTTGGAAACGGGTTTTTTTCATATAAGGCTAGACAGAAGAATTCCCAGTAACTTCCTTGTGTTGTGTGTGTTCAACTCTGTGAGTTGAACTTCCATTTACACAGAGCAGATTTGAAACACTCTTTTTGTGGAATTTGCAAGTGGAGATTTCAAGCGCTTTGAGGCCAAAGGCAGAAAAGGAAATATCTTCGTTTCAAAACTAGACAGACTCATTCTCAAGAAACTGCTCTGCGATGTGTGCGTTCAACTCTCAGAGTTTAACTTTTCTTTTCATTCAGCAGTTTGGAAACACTCTGTTTGTAAAATCTGCACGTGGATATTTTGACCACTTAGAGGCCTTCGTTGGAAACGGGTTTCTTTCCTGTAAGGCTAGACAGAAGAATTCCCAGTAACTTACTTGTGTTGTGTACATTCAACTCACAGAGTTGAACGTTCCCTTAGACAGAGCAGATTTGAAACACTCTTTTTGTGCAATTGGCAAGTGGTGATTTCAGCTGCTTTGAGGTCTATGGTAGAAAAGGGAATATCTTCGGTATAAAAACTAGACAGAATCATTCCCACAAACTGCGTTGTGATGTGTTCGTTCAACTCACAGAGTTTAACCTTTCTGTTCATAGAACAGTTAGGAAACACTCTGTTTGTAAAGTCTGCAAGTGGATATTCAGACCTCCTTGAGGCCTTCGTTGGAAACGGGATTTCTTCATATTCTGCTAGACCGAAGAGTTCTCAGAATCTTCCTTGTGTTGTGTGTATTCAACTCACAGAATTGAACGATCCTTTACACAGAGCAGACTTGAAACACTCTTTTTGTGGAATTTGCAAGTGGAGATTTCAGCCGCTTTGAGGTCCATGGTAGAAAAGGAAATATCTTCGTATAAAAACTAGACAGAATGATTCTCAGAAACTCCTTTGTGATGTGTGCGTTCAACTCACAGAGTTTAACCTTTCTTTTCATAGAGCAGTTAGGAAACACTCTGTTTCTAAAGTCTGCAAGTGGATATTCAGACCTCTTTGAGGCCTTCGTTGGAAACGGGTTTTTTTCATATAAGGCTAGAGAGAAGAATTCCCAGTAACTTCCTTGTGTTGTGTGTGTTCAACTCACAGAGTTGAACTTTCATTTACACAGAGCAGATTTGAAACACTCTTTTTGTGGAATTTGCAAGTGGAAATTTCAAGCGCTGTGAGGCCAAAGGCAGAAAAGGAAATATCTTCGTATAAAAACTAGACAGAATCATTCTCAGAAACTGCTCTGCGATGTGTGCGTTCAACTCTCAGAGTTTAACTTTGCTTTTCATACAGCAGTTTGGAAACACTCTGTTTGTAAAGTCTGCACGTGGATAATTTGACCACTTAGAGGCCTTCGTTGGAAACGGGTTTTTTTCATGTAAGGCTAGACAGAAGAATTCTCAGTAACTTCCTTGTGTTGTGTGTATTCAACTCACAGAGTTGCACGATCCTTTACACAGAGCAGACTTGAAACACTCTTTTTGTGGAATTTGCAAGTGGAGATTTCAGCCGCTTTGAGGTCAATGGTAGAATAGGAAATATCTTCCTATAGACACTAGACAGAATGATTCTCAGAAACTGCTTTGTGATGTGTGTGTTCAACTCACAGAGTTTAACATTTCTTTTCATAGAGCAGTTAGGAAACACTCTGTTTGTAAAGTCTGCAAGTGGATATTCAGACCTCTTTGAGGCCTTCGTTGGAAACGGGTTTTTTTCATATAAGGCTAGACAGAAGAATTCTCAGTAACTTCCTTGTGTTGTGTGTATTCAACTGACAGAGTTGAACTTTCATTTAGAGAGAGCAGATTTGAAACACTGTTTTTGTGGAATTTGCAAGTGGAAATTTCAAGTGCTTTGGGGCCAAAGGCAGAAAAAGAAATATCTTCGTATAAAAACTTGACAGAATCACTCTCAGAAACTGCTCTGCGATGTGTGCGTTCAACTCTCAGAGTTTAACTTTTGTTTTCATTCAGCAGTTTGGAAACACTCTGTTTGTAAAGTCTGCACGTGGATATTTTGACCACTCAGAGGCCTTCGTTGGAAACGGGTTTTTTTCCTGTAAGGCTAGACAGAAAGAATTCCCAGTAACTTCCTTGTGTTGTGTGCATTCAACTCACAGAGTTGAACGTTCCCTTAGACAGAGCAGATTTGAAACACTCTATTTGTGCAATTTGAAAGTGTAGATTTCAAGCGCTTTAAGGTCAACGGCAGAAAAGGAAATATCTTCGTTTCAAAACTAGACAGATGATTCTCAGAAACTCCTTTGTGATGTGTGCGTTCAACTCACAGAGTTTAACCTTTCTTTTCATAGAGCAGTTAGGAAACATTCTGTTTGTAAAGTCTGCAAGTGGATATTCAGACATCTTTGAGGTTTTCGTAGGAAACGGGATTTCTTCATATTCTGCTAGACAGAAGAATTCTCAGAAACTTCCTTGTGTTGTGTTTATTCAACTCACAGAGTCGAACGATCCTTTACTCAGAGCAGACTTGAAACACTCCATTTGTGGAATTTGCAAGTGGAGATTTCAGCCGCTTTGAGGTCAATGGTAGAATAGGAAATATCTTCCTATGGAAACTAGACAGAATGATTCTCAGAAACTCCTTTGTGCTGTGTGCGTTCAGCTCACAGAGTTTAAACTTTCTTTTCATAGAGCAGTTAGGAAACACTCTGTTTGTAAAGTCTGCAAGTGGATATTCAGACATCTTTGAGGCTTTCGTTGGAAACGGGATTTCTTCATATTCTGCTAGACAGAAGAATTCTCAGAAACTTCCTTGTGTTGTGTGTTTTCAACTCACAGAGTTCAACGATCCATTACACAGAGTAGACTTGAAACACTCTTTTTGTGGAATTGGCAAGTGGAGATTTCAGCCGCTTTGAGGTCAATGGTAGAAAAGGAAATATCTTCGTATAAAAACTAGACAGAGTGATTCTCAGAAACTCCTTTGTGATGTCTGCGTTCAACTCACAGAGTTTAACCTTTCTTTTCATAGAGCAGTTAGGAAACACTCTGGTTGTAAAGTCTGCAAGTGCATATTCAGACCTCCTTGAGGCCTTCGTTGGAAACGGGATTTCTTCATATTCTGCTATACAGAAGAATTCTCAGAAACTTCCTTGTGTTTTGTGTATTCAACTCACAGAGTTGAACGATCCTTTACACAGAGCAGACTTGAAACACTCTTTTTGTGGAATTTGCAAGTGGAGATTTCAGCCGCTTTGAGGTCAATGGTAGAAAAGGAAATATCTTCGTATAAAAACTAGACAGAATGATTCTCAGAAACTCCTTTGTGATGTGTGCGTTCAACTCACAGAGTTTAACCTTTCTTTTCATAGAGCAGTTAGGAAACACTCTGTTGGTAAAGTCTGCAAGGGGATATTCAGACCTCTTTGAGGCCTTCTTTGGAAACGGGATTTCTTCATATTCTGCTAGACAGAAGAATTCTCAGTAACTTCCTTGTGTTGTGTGTATTCAACTCACAGAGTTGAATGATCCTTTACACAGAGCAGACTTGAAACACTCTTTTTGTGGAATTTGCAAGTGGAGATTTCAGCCGCTTTGAGGTCAATGGTAGAATAGGAAATAACTTCCTATAGAAACTAGACAGAATGATTCTCAGAAACTCCTTTGTGATGTGTGCGTTCAACTCGCAGAGTTTAACCTTTCTTTTCATAGAGCAGTTAGGAAACACTCTGGTTGTAAAGTCTGCAAGTGGATATTCAGACCTCCTTGAGGCCTTCGTTGGAAACGGGATTTCTTCATATTATGCTAGACAGAAAGCAATTCTCAGTAACTTCCTTGTGTTGTGTGTATTCAACTCACAGAGTTGAACGATCCTTTACACAGAGCAGACTTGAAACACTCTTTTTGTGGAATTTGCAAGTGGAGATTTCAGCCGCTTTGAGGTCAATGGTAGAAAAGGAAATATCTTCGTATAAAGACTAGACAGAATGATTCTCAGAAACTCCTTTGTGATGTGTGCGTTCAACTCACACAGTTTAACCTTTCTTTTCATAGAGCAGTTGGGAAACACTCTGTTTGTAAAGTCTGCAAGTGGATATTCAGACCTCCTTGAGGCCTTCGTTGGAAACGGGATTTCTTCATATTCTGCTAGACAGAAGAATTCTCAGTAACTTCCTTGTGTTGTGTGTATTCAACTCACAGAGTTGAACGATCCTTTACACAGAGCAGACTTGAAACACTCTTTTTGTGGAATTTGCAAGTGGAGATTTCAGCCGCTTTGTGGTCAATGGTAGAAAAGGAATTATCTTCGTATAAAGACTAGACAGAATGATTCTCAGAAAATCCTTTGTGATGTGTGCGTTCAACTAACAGAGTTTAACCTTTCTTTTCATAGAGCAGTTAGGAAACACTCTGTTTGTAAAGTCTGCAAGTGGATATTCAGACATCTTTGAGGCTTTCGTTGGAAACGGGATTTCTTCATATTCTGCTATACAGAAGAATTCCCAGTAACTTCCTCGTGTTGTGTGTGTTCAACTCACAGAGTTGAACTTTCATTTACACAGAGCAGATTTGAAACACTCTTTTTGTGGAATTTGCAAGTGGAGATTTCAAGCGCTTTGAGGCCAAAGGCAGAAAAGGAAATATCTTCGTATAAAAACTAGACAGAATCATTCTCAGAAACTGCTCTGCGATGTGTGCGTTCAACTCTCAGAGTTTAACTTTTCTTTTCATTCAGAAGTTTGGAAACACTCTGTTTGTAAAGTCTGCACGTGGATAACTTGACCACTTAGAGGCCTTCGTTGGAAACGGGTTTTTTTCCTGTAAGGCTAGACAGAAGAATTCTCAGTAAATTCCTTGTGTTGTGTGTATTCAACTCACAGAGTTGAACGATCCTTTACACAGAGCAGACTTGAAACACTCTTTTTGTGGAATTTGCAAGTGGAGATTTCAGCCGCTTTGAGGTCAATGGTAGAATAGGAAATATCTTCCTATAGAAACTAGACAGAATGATTCTCAGAAACTTCTTTGTGATGTGTGCGTTCAACTCACAGAGTTTAACATTTCTTTTCATGGAGCAGTTAGGAAACACTCTGTTTGTAAACTCTGCAAGTGGATATTCAGACCTCTTTGAGGCCTTCGTTGGAAACGGGATTTCTTCATACTGTGCTAGACAGAACAATTCCCAGTAACTTCCTTGTGTTGTGTGTGTTCAACTCACAGAGTTGAACTTTCATTTACACAGAGCAGATTTGAAACACTCTTTTTGTGGAATTTGCAAGTGGAGATTTCAAGCGCTTTGAGGCCAAAGGCAGAAAAGGAAATATCTTCGTATAAAAACTAGACAGAATCATTCTAAGAAACTGCTCTGCGATGTGTGTGTTCAACTCTCAGAGTTTAACTTTTCTTTTCCTTCAGCAGTTTGGAAACACTCTGTTTGTAAAGTCTGCACGTACATAATTTGACCACTTAGAGGCCTTCGTTGGAAACGGGTTTTTTTCATGTAAGGCTAGACAGAAGAATTCCCAGTAACTTCCTTGTGTTGTGTGCATTCAACTCACAGAGTTGAACGTTCCCTTAGACAGAGCAGATTTGAAACACTCTATTTGTGCAATTTGCAAGTGTAGAATTCAAGCGCTTTAAGGTGAATGGCAGAAAAGGAAATGTCTTCGTTTCAAAACTAGACAGAATCATTCCCAAAAACTGCGTTGTGATGTGTTCGTTCAACTCACAGAGTTTAACCTTTCTGTTCATAGAGCAGTTAGGAAACACTCTGTTTGTAAAGTCCGTAAGTGGATATTCTGACATCTTGTGGCCTTCGTTGGAAACGGGATTTCTTCATATTCTGCTAGACAGAAGAATTCTCAGTAACTTCCTTGTGTTGTGTGTATTCAACTCACAGAGTTGAACGATCCTTTACACAGAGCAGACTTGAAACACTCTTTTTGTGGAATTTGCAAGTGGAGATTTCAGCCGCGTTGAGGTCAACGGTAGAAAAGGAAATATCTTCGTATAAATACTAGACAGAATGATTCTCAGAAACTCCTTTGTGATGTTTGCGTTCAACTGACAGAGTTTAAACTTTCTTTTCATAGAGCAGTTAGGAAACACTCTGTTTGTAAAGTCTGCAAGTGGATATTCAGACCTCTTTGAGGCCTTCGTTGGAAACGGGATTTCTTCATATTCTGCTAGACAGAAGAATTCCCAGTAACTTCCTTGGGTTGTGTGTGTTCAACTCACAGAGTTGAACTTTCATTTACACAGAGCAGATTTGAAACACTCTTTTTGTGGAATTTGCAGGTGGAGATTTCAAGCGCTTTGAGGCCAAAGGCAGAAAAGGAAATATCTTCGTATAAAAACTAGACAGAATCATTCTCAGAAACTGCTCTGCGATGTGTGCGTTCAACTCTCAGAGTTTAACTTTTGTTTTCATTCAGCAGTTTGGAAACACTCTGTTTGTAAAGTCTGCACGTGGATAATTTGACCACTTAGAGGCCTTCGTTGTAAACGGGTTTTTTTCCTGTAAGGCTAGACAGAGGAATTCCCAGTAACTTCCTTGTGTTGTGTGCATTCAACTCACAGAGATGAACGTTCCCTTAGACAGAGCAGATTTGAAACACTCTATTTGTGTAATTTGCAAGTGTAGATTTCAAGCGCTTTAAGGTCAATGGCAGAAAAGGATATATCTCCGTTTCAAAACTAGACAGAATCATTCCCACAAACTGCGTTGTGATGTGTTCGTTCAACTCACAGAGTTTAACCTTTCTGTTCATAGAGCAGTTAGGAAACACTCTGTTTGTAAAGTCTGTAAGTGGATATTCTGACATCTTCTGGCCTTCGTTGGAAACGGGATTTCTTCATATTCTGCTAGACAGAAGAATTCTCAGAATCTTCCTTGTGTTGTGTGTATTCAACTCACAGAGTTGAACGATCCTTTACACAGAGCAGACTTGAAACACTCTTTTTGTGGAATTTGCAAGTGGAGATTTCAGCCGCTTTGAGGTCCACGGTAGAAAAGGAAATATCTTCGTATAAAAACTAGACGGAATGATTCTCAGAAACTCCTTTGTGATGTGTGCGTTCAACTCACAGAGTTTAACCTTTCTTTTCATAGAGCAGTTAGGAAACACTCTGTTTGTAAAGTCTGCAAGTGGATATTCAGACCTCTTTGAGGCTTTCGTTGGAAACGGGATTTCTTCATATTCTGCTAGACAGAAGAATTCTCAGTAACTTCCTTGTGTTGTGTGTATTCAACTGACAGAGTTGAACTTTCATTTAGAGAGAGCAGATTTGAAACACTGTTTTTGTGGAATTTGCACGTGGAGATTTCAAGCGCTTTGGGGCCAAAGGCAGAAAAGGAAATATCTTCGTATAAAAACTAGACAGAATCATTCTCAGAAACTGCTCTGCGATGTGTGCGTTCAACTCTCAGAGTTTAACTTTTCTTTTCATTCAGAAGTTTGGAAACACTCTGTTTGTAAAGTCTGCACGTGGATAACTTGACCACTTAGAGGCCTTCGTTGGAAACGGGTTTTTTTCATGTAAGGCTAGAGAGAAGAATTCCCAGTAACTTCCTTGTGTTGTGTACATTCAACTCACAGAGTTGAACGTTCCCTTAGACAGAGCAGATTTGAAACACTCTTTTTGTGCAATTGGCAAGTGGCGATTTCAGCCTCTTTGAGGTCAATGGTAGAAAAGGAAATATCTTCGTATAAAAACTAGACAGAATGATTCTCAGAAACTTCATTCTGATGTGTGTGTTCAACTCACAGAGTTTAACCTTTCTTTTCATAGAGCAGTTGGGAAACAGTCTGTTTGTAAATTCTGTAAGTGGATATTCTGACATCTTGTGGCCTTCGTTGGAAACGGGATTTCTTCATATTCTGCTAGACAGAAGAATTCTCAAGTAACTTCCTTGTGTTGTGTGTATTCAACTCACAGAGTTGAACGATCCTTTACACAGAGCGGACTTGAAACACTCGTTTTGTGGAATTTGCAAGTGGAGGTTTCTGCCGCGTTGAGGTCAATGGTAGAAAAGGAAATATCTTCGTATAAAAACTAGACAGAATGATTCTCAGAAACTCCTTTGTGATGTGTGCGTTCAACTCACACAGTTTAACCTTTCTTTTCATAGAGCAGTTAGGAAACACTCTGTTTGTAAAGTCTGCAAGTGGATATACAGACCTCCTTGAGGCCTTCGTTGGAAACGGGATTTCTTCATATTATGCTAGACAGAAGAATTCTCAGTAACTTCCTTGTGTTGTGTGTATTCAACTCACAGAGTTGAAGGATCCTTTACAGAGAGCAGGCTTGAAACACTCTTTTTGTCGAATTTGCAAGTGGAGATTTCAGCCGCTTTGAGGTCAATGGTAGAATAGGAAATATCTTCTAATAGAAACTAGACAGAATGATTCTCAGAAACTTCATTGTGATGTGTGCGTTCAACTCACAGAGTTTAACCTTTCTTTTCATAGAGCAGTTAGGAAACACTCTGTTTGTAAACTCTGCAAGTGGATATTCAGACCTCTTTGAGGCCTTCGTTGGAAACGGGATTTCTCCATACTTTGCTAGACAGAAGAATTCTCAGTAACTTCCTTGTGTTGTGTTTATTCAACTCACAGAGTTGAATGATCCTTTACACAGAGCAGACTTGAAACACTCTTTTTGTGGAATTTGCAAGTGGAGATTTCAGCCGCTTTGAGGTCAACGGTAGAAAAGTAAATATCTTCGTATAAAGACTAGACAGAATGATTCTCAGAAACTCCTTTGTGATGTGTGCGTTCAACTCACAGAGTTTAACCTTTCTTTTCATAGAGCAGTTAGGAAACACTCTGTTTGTAAAGTCTGCAAGTGGATATTCAGACCTCCTTGAGGCCTTCATTGGAAACGGGATTTCTTCATATTATGCTAGACAGAAGAATTCTCAGTAACTTCCTTGTGTTGTGTGTATTCAACTCACAGAGTTGAACGATCCTTTACACAGAGCATACTTGAAACACTCTTGTTGTGGAATTTGCAAGTGGAGATTTCAGCCGATTTGAGTTCAATGGTAGAATAGGAAATATCTTCCTATAGAAACTAGACAGAATGATTCTCAGAAACTCCTTTGTGATGTGTGCGTACAACTCACAGAGTTCAACCTTTCTTTTCATAGAGCAGTTGGGAAACACTCTGTTTGTAAAGTCTGCAAGTGGATATTCAGACTTCTTTGAGGCCTTCGTTGGAAGCGGGATTTCTTCATATTATGCTAGACAGAAGATTTCCCAGTAACTTCCTTGTGTTGTGTACATTCAACTCACAGAGTTGAACGTTCCCTTAGACAGAGCAGATTTGAAACACTCTTTTTGTGCAATTGGCAAATGGAGATTTCAAGCGCTTTAAGGTCAATGGCAGAAAAGAAAATATCTTCGTTTCAAAACTAGACAGAATCATTCCCACAAACTGCGTTGTGATGTGTTCGTTCAACTCACAGAGTTTAACCTTTCTGTTCATAGAGCAGTTAGGAAACACTCTGTTTGTAAAGTCTGTAAGTGGATATTCTGACATTTTGTGTCCTTCGTTGGAAATGGGATTTCTTCATATTCTGCTAGACAGAAGAATTCTCAGTAACTTCCTTGTGTTGTGTGTATTCAACTCACAGAGTTCAACGATGCTTTACACAGAGTAGACTTGAAACACACTTTTTGTTGAATTTGCAAGTGGAGATTTCAGCCGCTTTGAGGTCAATGGTAGAATAGGAAATATCTTCGTATAAAAAGTAGACAGAATGATTCTCAGAAACTCCTTTGTGATGTGTGTGTTCAACTCACAGAGTTTAACCTTTCTTTTCATAGAGCAGTTAGGAAACACTCTGTTTGTAAAGTCTGCAAGTGGATATTCAGACCTCTTGAGGCCTTCGTTGGAAACGGGTTTTTTTCATATAAGGCTAGACAGAAGAATTCCCAGTAACTTCCTTGTGTTGTGTGTGTTCAACTCACAGAGTTGAACTTTCATTTACACAGAGCAGATTTGAAACACTCTTTTTGTGGAATTTGCAAATGGAGATTTCAAGCGCTTTGAGGCCAAAGGCAGAAAAGGAAATATCTTCGTATAAAACCTAGACAGAATCATTCTCAGAAACTGCTCTGCGATGTGTGCGTTCAACTCTCAGAGTTTAACTTTTCTTTTCATTCAGCAGTTTGGAAACACTCTGTTTGTAAAGTCTGCACGTGGATAATTTGACCTCTTAGAGGCCTTCGTTGGAAACGGGTTTTTTTCCTGTAAGGCTAGACAGAAGAATTCTCAGTAACTTCCTTGTGTTGTGTGTATTCAACTCACAGAGTTGAACGATCCTTTACACAGAGCAGACTTGTAAGACTCTTTTTGTGGAATTTGCAAGTGGAGATTTCAGCCGCTTTGAAGTCAAAGGTAGAAAAGGAAATATCTTCCTATAAAAACTAGACAGAATGATTCTCAGAAACTTCTTTGTGATGTGTGCGTTCAACTCACAGAGTTTAACCTTTCTTTTCATAGAGCAGTTAGGAAACACTCTGTTTGTAAACTCTGCAAGTGGATATTCAGACCTCCTTGAGGCCTTCGTTGGAAACGGGATTTCTTCATACTGTGCTAGACAGAAGAATTCTCAGTAACTTCCTTGTGTTGTGTGTATTCAACTGACAGAGTTGAACTTTCATTTAGAGAGAGCAGATTTGAAACACTGTTTTTGTGGAATTTGCAAGTGGAGATTTCAAGCGCTTTGGGGCCAAAGGAAGAAAAGGAAATATCTTCGTATAAAAACTAGACAGAATCATTCTCAGAAAATCCTCTGTGATGTGTGCGTTCAACTCTCAGAGTTTAACTTTTCTTTTCATTCAGCAGTTTGGAAACACTCTGTTTGTAAAGTCTGCACGTGGATATTTTGACCACTTAGAGGCCTTCGTTGGAAACGGGTTTTTTTCATATAAGGCTAGACAGAAGAATTCCCAGTAACTTCCTTGTGTTGTGTGCATTCAACTCACAGAGTTGAACGTTCCCTTAGACAGAGCCGATTTGAAACACTCTATTTGTGCAATTTGCAAGTGTAGATTTCAAGCGCTTTAAGGTCAATGGCAGAAAAGGAAATATCTTCGTTTCAAAACTAGACAGAATCATTCCCACAAACTGCGTTGTGATGTGTTCGTTCAACTCACAGAGTTTAACCTTTCTGTTCATAGAGCAGTTAGGAAACACTCTGTTTGTAAAGTCTGTAAGTGGATATTCTGACATCTTGTGGCCTTCGTTGGAAACGGGATTTCTTCATATTCTGCTGGACAGAGGAATTCTCAGGAACTTCCTTGTGTTGTGTGTATTCAACTCACAGAGTTGAACGATCCTTTACACAGAGCAGACTTGAAACACACTTTTTGTGGAATTTGCAAGTGGAGATTTCAGCCGCTTTGAGTTCAAAGGTAGAATAGGAAATATCTTCCTATAGAAAGTACACAGAATGATTCTCAGAAACTGCTTTGTGATGTGTGCGTTCAACTCACAGAGTTCAACCTTTCTTTTCATAGAGCAGTTGGGAAACACTCTGTTTGTAAAGTCTGCAAGTGGATATTCAGACTTCTTTGAGGCCTTCGTTGGAAGCGGGATTTCTTCATATTCTGCTAGACAGAATAATTCTCAGTAACTTCCTTGTGTTGTGTGTATTCAACTCACAGAGTTGAACGATCCTTTACAGAGAGCAGACTTGAAACACTCTTTTTGTGTAATTTGCAAGTGGAGATTTCAGCCGCTTTGAGGTCAATGGTAGAATAGGAAATATCTTCCTATAGAAACTAGACAGAATGATTCTCAGAAACTCCTTTGTGATGTGTGCGTGCAACTCACAGAGTTTAACCTTTCTTTTCATAGAGAAGTTAGGAAACACTCTGTTTGTAAAGTCTGCAAGTGGATATTCAGACATCCTTGAGGCTTTCGTTGGAAACGGGATTTCTTCATATTCTGCTAGAAAGAAGAATTCTCATTAACTTCCTTGTGTTGTGTGTATTCAACTCACAGAGTTGAAGGATCCTTTACACAGAGCGGACTTGAAACACTCTTTTTGTGGAATTTGCAAGTGGAGATTTCAGCCGCGTTGAGGTCAATGGTAGAAAAGGAAATCTCTTCGTATAAAAAGTAGACAGAATGATTCTCAGAAACTCCTTTGTGATGTGTGTGTTCAACCCACAGAGTTTAACCTTTCTTTTCATAGAGCAGTTAGGAAACACTCTGTTTGTAAAGTCTGCAAGTGGATATTCCGATCTCTTTGAGGCCTTCGTTGGAAACGGGTTTTTTTCATATAAGGCTAGACAGAAGGATTCCCAGTAACTTCCCTTGTGTTGTGTGTGTTCAACTCACAGAGTTGAACTTTCATATACAAAGAGCAGATTTGAAACACTCTTTTTGTGGAATTTGCAAGTGGAGATTTCAAGCGCTTTGAGGCCAAAGGCAGAAAAGGAAATATCTTCGTATAAAAACTAGACAGAATCATTCTCAGAAACTGCTGTGTGATGTGTGCGTTCAACTCTCAGAGTTTAACTTTTCTTTTCATTCAGCGGTTTGGAAACACTCTGTTTGTAAAGTCTGCACGTGGATATTTTGACCACTTAGAGGCCTTCGTTGGAAACGGTTTTTTTTCATGTAAGGCTAGACAGAAGAATTCCCAGTAACTTCCTTGTGTTGTGTACATTCAACTCACAGAGTTGAACGTTCCCTTAGACAGAGCAGATTTGAAACACTCTTTTTGTGCAATTGGCAAGTGGTGATTTCAGCCGCTTTGAGGTCAATGGTAGAAAAGGAAATATCTTCGTATAATAACTAGACAGAATCATTCCCACAAACTGCGTTGTGATGTGTTCGTTCAACTCACAGAGTTTAACCTTTCTGTTCATAGAGCAGTTAGGAAACACTCTGTTTGTAAAGTCTGGAAGTGGATATTCAGACCTCCTTGAGGCCTTCGTTGGAAACGGGATTTCTTCATATTCTGCTAGACAGAAGAATTCTCAGTAACTTCCTTGTGTTGTGTGTATTCAACTCACAGAGTTGAACGATCCTTTACACAGAGCAGACTTGAAACACTCTTTTTGTGGAATTTGCAAGTGGATATTTCAGCCGCTTTGAGGTCAATGGTAGAATAGGAAATATCTTCCTATAGAAACTAGACAGAATGATTCTCAGAAACTCCTTTGTGATGTGTGCGTTCAACTCACACAGTTTAACCTTTCTTTTCATAGAGCAGTTAGGAAACACTCTGTTTGTAAAGTCTGCAAGTGGATATTCAGACCTCTTTGAGGCATTCGTTGGAAACGGGATTTCTACATATTATGCTAGACAGAAGAATTCCCAGTAACTTCCTTGTGTTGTGTGTGTTCGACTCACAGAGTTGAACTTTCATTTACACAGAGCAGATTTGAAACACTCTTTTTGTGGAATTTGCAAGTGGAGATTTCAAGCACTTTGAGGCCAAAGGCAGAAAAGGAAATATCTTCGTTTCAAAACTAGACAGAATTATTCTCAGAAACTCCTTTGTGATGTGTGCGTTCAACTCACAGAGTTTAACCTTTCTTTTCATAGAGCAGTTAGGAAACACTCTGTTTGTAAAGACTGCAAGTGGATATTCAGACCTCTTTGAGGCCTTCGTTGGAAACGGGTTTTTTTCCTGTAAGGCTAGACAGAAGAATTCCCAGTAACTTCCTTGTGTTGTGTACATTCAACTCACAGAGTTGAACGTTCCCTTAGACAGAGCAGATTTGAAACACTCTTTTTGTGCAATTGGCAAGTGGAGATTTCAAGCGCTTTACGGTCAATGGCAGAAAAGGAAATATCTTCGTTTCAAAACAAGACAGAATCATTCCCACAAACTGCGTTGTGATGTGTTCGTTCAACTCACAGAGTTTAACCTTTCTGTTCATAGAGCAGTTAGGAAACACTCTGTTTGTAAAGTCTGCAAGTGGATATTCAGACCTCTTTGAGGCCTTCGTTGGAAACGGGATTTCTTCATATTCTGCTAGACAGAAGAATTCTCAGTAACTTCCTTGTGTTGTGTGTATTCAACTCACAGAGTTGAACAATCCTTTACACAGAGCAGAGTTGAAACACTCTTTTTGTGGAATTTGCAAGTGGAGATTTCAGCTGCTTTGAGGTCAATGGTAGAATAGGAAATATCTTCCTATAGAAACTAGACAGAATGATTCTCAGAAACTCCTTTGTGATGTGTGCGTTCAAATCACAGAGTTTAACCTTTCTGTTCATAGAGCAGTTAGGAAACACTCTGTTTGTAAAGTCTGCCAGTGGATATTCAGACCTCCTTGATTCCTTCGTTGGAAATGGGATTTCTTCATATTCTGCTAGACAGAAGAATTCTCAGTAACTTCTTTGTGTTGTGTGTATTCAACTCACAGAGTTGAACGATCCTTTACACAGAGCAGACATGAAACACTCTTTTTGTGGAATTTGCAAGTGGAGATTTCTGCCGCTTTGAGGTCAATGGTAGAATAGGAAATATCTTCCTATAGAAAATAGACAGAATGATTCTCAGAAACTTCTTTGTGATGTGTACGTTCAACTCACAGGAGTTTAACCTTTCTTTTCTTAGAGCAGTTAGGAAACACTCTGTTTGTAAAGTCTGCAAGTGGATATTCAGACCTCTTTGAGGCCTTCGTTGGAAACGGGTTTTTTTCATATAAGGCTAGACAGAAGAATTCTCAGTAACTTCCTTGTGTTGTGTGTATTCAACTCACAGATTTCAACGATCCTTTACACAGAGCAGACTTGAAACACTCTTTTTCTGGAATTTGCAAGTGGAGATTTCAGCCGCTTTGAGGTCAATGGTAGAATAGGAAATATCTTCCTATAGAAACTAGACAGAATGATTCTCAGAAACTCCTTTGTGATGTGTGCGTTCAACTCACAGAGTTTAACGTTTCTTTTCACAGAGCAGTTAGGAAACACTCTGTTTGTAATGTCTGCAAGTGGATATTCAGAACCCTTTGAGGCCTTCGTTGGAAACGGGATTTCTTCATATTATGCTAGACAGAATAATTCTCAGTAACTTCCTTCTTTTGTGTGTATTCAACTCACAGAGTTGAACGATCCTTTACAGAGAGCAGACTTGAAACACTCTTTTTGTGGAATTTGCAAGTGGAGATTTCAGGCGCTTTGAGGTCAATGGTAGAATAGGAAATATCTTCCTATAGAAACTAGACAGAATGATTCTCAGAAACTCCTTTGTGATGTGTGCGTTCAACTCACAGAGTTTAAGCTTTCTTTTCATAGAGCAGTTAGGAAACACTCTGTTTGTAAAGTCTGCAAGTGGCTATTCAGACCCCTTTGAGGCCTTCTTTCGAAACGGGATTTCTTCATATTATGCTAGACAGAAGAATTCTCAGTAACTTCCTTGTGTTGTGTGTTTTCAACTGACAGAGTTAAACTTTCATTTAGAGAGAGCAGATTTGAAACACTGTTTTTGTGGAATTTGCAAGTGGAGATTTCAAGCGCTTTGTGGCCAAAGGTAGAAAAGGAAATATCTTCGTATAAAAACTAGACAGAATCATTCTCAGAAACTGCTCTGCGATGTGTGCGTTCAACTCTCAGAGTTTAACTTTTCTTTTCATAGAGCAGTTAGGAAACACTCTGGTTTGTAAAGTCTGCATGTGGATAATTTGACCACTTAGAGGTCTTTGTTGGAAACGGGTTTTTTCATGTAAGGCTAGACAGAAGAATTCCCAGTAACTTCCTTGTGTTGTGTGCATTCAACTCACAGAGTTGAACGTTCCCTTAGACAGAGCAGATTTGAAACACTCTATTTGTGCAATTTGCAAGTGTAGATTTCAAGCGCTTTAAGGTCAATGGCAGAAAAGGAAATTTCTTCGTTTTAAAACTAGACAGAATGATTCTCAGAAACTCCTTTGTGATGTGTGCGTTCAACTCACAGAGTTTAACGTTTCTTTTCATAGAGCAGTTAGGAAACACTCTGTTTGTAAAGTCTGCAAGGGGATATTCAGACCTCTCTGAGGCCTTCGTTGGAAACGGGATTTCTTCATATTCTGCTTCACAGAAGAATTCTCAGTAACTTCCCTTGTGTTGTGTGTATTCAACTCACAGAGTTGAACGATCCTTTACACAGAGCAGACTTGAAACACTCTTTTTGTGGAATTTGCAAGTGGAGATTTCAGCCGCTTTGAGGTCAATGGTTGAATAGGAAATATCTTCCAATAGAAACTAGACAGAATGATTCTCAGAAACTCCTTTGTGATGTGTGCGTTCAACTCACAGAGTTTAACCTTTCTTTTCATAGAGTAGTTAGGAAACACTCTGTTTGTAAAGTCTGCAAGTGGATATTCAGACCTCTTTGAGACCTTCGTTGGAAACGGGTTTTTTTCATATAAGGCTAGACAGAAGAATTCTCAGTAACTTCCTTGTGTTGTGTGTATTCAACTCACAGAGTTGAACGATCCTTTACACAGAGCAGACTTGAAACATTCTTTTTGTGGAATTTGCAAGTGGAGATTTCAGCCGCTTTGAGGTCAATGGTAGAAAAGTAAATATCTTCCTATAAAGACTAGACAGAATGATTCTCAGAAACTTCTTTGTGATGTTTGCGTTCAACTCACAGAGTTTAACCTTTCTTTTCATAGAGCAGTTAGGAAACACTCTGTTTGTAAAGTCTGCAAGTGGATATTCAGACCTCCTTGAGGCCTTCGTTGGAAGCGGGATTTCTTCATGTTCTGGTAGACAGAAGAATTCTCAGTAACATCTTTGTGTTGTGTGTATTCAACTCACAGAGTGGAACGATCCTTTACAGAGAGCAGACTTGAAACACTCTTTTTGTGGAATTTGCAAGTGGAGATTTCAGCCGCTTTGAGGTCAATGGTAGAATAGGAAATATCTTCCTATAGAAACTAGACAGAATGATTCTCAGAAACTCCTTTGTGATGCGTGCGTTCAACTCACAGAGTTTAACCTTTCTTTTCATAGAGCAGTTAGGAAACACTCTGTTTGTAAAGTCTGCAAGTGGATATTCAGACCTCTTTGAGGCCTTCGTTGGAAACGGGATTTCTTCATATTATGCTAGACAGAAGAATTCTCAGTAACTTCCTTGTGTTGTGTGTATTCAACTGACAGAGTTGAACTTTCATTTAGAGAGAGCAGATTTGAAACACTGTTTTTGTGGCATTTGCAAGTGGAGATTTCAAGCGCTTTGGGGCCAAAGGCAGAAAACGAAATATCTTCGTATAAAAACTAGACAGAATCATTCTCAGAAACTGCTCTGCGATGTGTGCGTTCAACTCTCAGAGTTTAACTTTTCTTTTCATTCAGCAGTTTGGAATCACTCTGTTTGTAAAGTCTGCACGTGGATATTTTGACCACTTAGAGGCCTTCGTTGGAAACGGGTTTTTTTCCTGTAAGGCTAGACAGAAGAATTCTCAGTAACTTCCTTGTGTTGTGTGTATTCAACTCACAGAGTTGAACGATCCTTTACACAGAGCAGACTTGTAACACTCATTTTGTGGAATTTGCAAGTGGAGATTTCAGCCACTTTGAAGTCAAAGGTAGAAAAGGAAATAACTTCCTATAAAAACTAGACAGAATCATTCCCACAAACTGCGTTGTGATGTGTTCGTTCAACTCACAGAGTTTAACCTTTCTGTTCATAGAGCAGTTAGGAAACACTCTGTTTGTAAAGTCTGTAAGTGGATATTCTGACATCTTGTGGCCTTCTTTGGAAACGGGATTTCTTCATATTCTGCTAGACAGAATAATTCTCAGTAACTTCTTTGTGTTGTGTGTATTCAACTCACAGAGTTGAAGGATCCTTTACAGAGAGCAGGCTTGAAACACTCTTTTTGTCGAATTTGCAAGTGGAGATTTCAGCCGCTTTGAGGTCAATGGTTGAATAGGAAATAGCTTCTTATAGAAACTAGACAGAATGATTCTCAGAAACTCCTTTGTGATGTGTGCGTTCAACTCACAGAGTTTAACCTTTCTTTTCATAGCGCAGTTGGGAAACACTCTGTTTGTAAAGTCTGCAAGTGGATATTCAGACATCCTTGAGGCTTTCGTTGGAAACGGGATTTCTTCATATTCTGCTAGAAAGAAGAATTCTCAGTAACTTCCTTGTGTTGTGTGTATTCAACTCACAGAGTTGAACGATCCTTTACACAGAGCAGACTTGAAACACTCTTTTTGTGGAATTTACAAGTGGAGATTTCAGCCGATTTGAGGTCAATGGTAGAAAAGGAAATATCTTCCTATAGAAACTAGACAGAATGATTCTCAGAAACTCCTTTGTGATGTGTGCGTTCAACTCACAGAGTTCAACCTTTCTTTTCATAGAGCAGTTGGGAAACACTCTGTTTGTAAAGTCTGCAAGTGGATATTCAGACCTCCTTGAGGCCTTCGTTGGCAACGGGATTTCTTCATATTCTGCTAGACAGAAGAATTCTCAGTAACTTCCTTGTGTTGTGTGTATTCAACTCACAGAGTTGAACGATCCTTTACACAGAGCCGACTTGAAACACTCTTTTTGTGGAATTTGCAAGTGGAGATTTCAGCCGCTTTGAGTTCAATGGTAGAATAGGAAATATCTTCCTATAGAAACTAGACAGAAAGATTCTCAGAAACTCCTTCGTGATGTGTGCGTTCAACTCACAGAGTTTAACCTTTCTTTTCAGAGAGCAGTTAGGAAACACTCTGTTTGTAAAGTCTGCAAGTGGATATTCAGACCTCTTTGAGGCCTTCGTTGGAAACGGGATTTCTTCATATTCTGCTAGACAGAAGAATTCCCAGTAACTTCCTTGTGTTGTGTGTGTTCAACTCACAGAGTTGAACTTTCATTTACACAGAGCAGATTTGAAACACTCTTTTTGTGGAATTTGCAAGTGGAGATTTCAAGCGATTTGAGGCCAAAGGCAGAAAAGGAAATATCTTCGTATAAAAAGTAGACAGAATCATTCTCAGAAACTGCTCTGAGATGTGTGCATTCAACTCTCAGAGTTTAACTTTTCTTTTCATTCAGCAGTTTGGAAACACTCTGTTTGTAAAGTCTGCACGTGGATAATTTGACCACTTAGAGGCCTTCGTTGGAAACGGGTTTTTTTCATGTAAGGCTAGACAGAAGAATTCCCAGTAACTTCCTTGTGTTGTGCGCATTCAACTCACAGAGTTGAACGTTCCCTTAGACAGAGCAGATTTGAAACACTCTATTTGTGCAATTTCCAAGTGTAGATTTCAAGCGCTTTAAGGTCAACGGCAGAAAAGGAAATATCCTTCGTTTCAAAACTAGACAGAATCATTCCCACAAACTGCGTTGTGATGTGTTCGTTCAACTCACAGTAGTTTAACCTTTCTTTTCATAGAGCAGTTAGGAAACAGTCTGTTTGTCAATTCTGTAAGTGGATATTCTGACATCTTGTGGCCTTCGTTGGAAACGGGATTTCTTCATATTCTCCTAGACAGAAGAATTCTCAGTAACTTCCTTGTGTTGTGTGTATTCAACTCACAGAGTTGAAAGATCCTTTACACAGAGCAGACTTGAAACACTCTTTTTGTGGAATTTGCAAGTGGAGATTTCAGCCGCTTTGATGTCACTGGTAGAAAAGGAAATATCTTCGTATAAAGACTAGACAGAATGATTCTCAGAAACTCCTTTGTGATGTGTGCGTTCAACTCACAGAGTTTAACCTTTCTTTTCATAGAGCAGTTAGGAAACACTCTGTTTGTAAAGTCTGCAAGTGGATATTCAGACCTCTTTGAGGAAATCGTTGGAAACGGGATTTCTTCACATTCTGCTAGACAGAAGAATTCCCAGTAACTTCCTTGTGTTGTGTGTGTTCAACTCACAGAGTTGAACTTTCATTTACACAGAGCAGATTTGAAACACTCTTTTTGTGGAATTTGTAAGTGGAGATTTCAAGCGCTTTGAGGCCAAAGGCAGAAAAGGAAATATCTTCGTTTCAAAACTAGACAGAATCATTCTCAGAAACTGCTGCGTGATGTGTGCTTTCAACTCTCAGAGTTTAACTTTTCTTTTCATTCAGCGGTTTGGAAACACTCTGTTTGTAAAGTCTGCACGTGGATATTTTGACCACTTAGAGGCCTTCGTTGGAAACGGGTTTTTTTCATGTAAGGGTAGACAGAATAATTCTCAGTAACTTCCTTGTGTTGTGTGTATTCTACTCACAGAGTTGAACGATCCTTTACACAGAGCAGACTTGAAACACTCTTTTTGTGGAATTTGCAAGTGGATATTTCAGCCGCTTTGAGGTCAATGGTAGAATAGGAAATATCTTCCTATAGAAACTAGACCGAATGATTCTCAGAAACTCCTTTGTGATGTGTGCGTTCAACTCACAAGAGTTTAACCTTTCTTTTCTTAGAGCAGTTAGGAAACACTCTGTTTGTAAAGTCTGCAAGTGGATATTCAGACCTCCTTGAGGCCTTCGTTGGAAACGGGTTTTTTTCATATAAGGCTAGACAGAAGAATTCCCAGTAACTTCCTTGTGCTGTGTGTGTTCAACTCACAGAGTTGAACTTTCATTTACACAGAGCAGATTTGAAACACTCTTTTTGTGGAATTTGCAAGTGGAGATTTCAAGCGCTTTGAGGCCAAAGGCAGAAAAGGAAATATCTTCGTTTCAAAACTAGACAGAATCATTCTCAGAAAATCCTCTGTGATGTGTGCGTTCAACTCTCAGAGTTTAACTTTTCTTTTCATTCAGCAGTTTGGAAACACTCTGTTTGTAAAGTCTGCACGTGGATATTTTGACCACTTACAGGCCTTCGTTGGAAACGGGTTTTTTCATGTAAGGGTAGACAGAAGAATTCCCAGGAACTTCCTTGTGTTGTGTACATTCAACTCACAGAGTTGAACGTTCCCTTAGACAGAGCAGATTTGAAACACTCTTTTTGTGCAATTGGCAAGTGGTGATTTCAGCCGCTTTGAGGTCAATGGTAGAAAAGGAAATATCTTCGTAGAAAAACTAGACAGAATGATTCTCAGAAACTCCTTTGTGATGTGTGCGTTCAACTCACAGAGTTTAACCTTTCTTTTCATAGAGCAGTTAGGAAACACTCTGTTTGTAAAGTCTGCAAGTGGATATTCAGACCTCCTTGAGGCCTTCGTTGGAAACGGGATTTCTTCATATTCTGCTAGATAGAAGAATTCTCAGTAACTTCCTTGTGTTGTGTGTATTCAACTTACAGAGTTGAACGATTCTTTACACAGAGCAGACTTGAAACACTCTTTTTGTGGAATTTGCAAGTGGAGATTTCAGCCGCTTTGAGGTCAATGGTAGAAAAGGAAATATCTTCGTATAAAGACTAGACAGAATGATTCTCAGAAACTCCTTTGTGCTGTGTGCGTTCAACTCACAGAGTTTAACCTTTCTTTTCATAGAACAGATAGTAAACACTCTGTTTGTAAAGTCTGCAAGTGGATATTCAGACATCTTTGAGGCTTTCGTTGGAAACGGGATTTCTTCATATTCTGCTAGACAGAATAATTCTCAGTAACTTCCTTGTGTTGTGTGTATTCAACTCACAGAGTTGAACGATCCTTTACACAGAGCAGACTTGAAACACTCTTTTTGTGGAATTTGCAAGTGGAGATTTCAGCCGCGTTGAGGTCAATGGTAGAATAGGAAATATCTTCCTATAGAAACTAGACAGAATCATTCTCAGAAACTGCTGCGTGATGTGTGCGTTCAACTCTCAGAGTTTAACTTTTCTTTTCATTCAGCGGTTTGGAAACACTCTGTTTGTAAAGTCTGCACAGTGGATATTTTGACCACTTAGAGGCCTTCGTTGGAAACGGGTTTTTTTCAAGTAAGGCTAGACAGAAGAATTCCCAGTAACTTCCTTGTGTTGTGTACATTCAACTCACAGAGTTGAACGTTCCCTTAGACAGAGCAGATTTGAAACACTCTTTTTGCGCAATTGGCAAGTGGAGATTTCAAGCGCTTTAAGATCAATGGCAGAAAAGGAAATATCTTCGTTTCAAAACTAGACAGAATGATTCTCAGAAACTCCTTTGTGATGTGTTCGTTCAACTCACAGAGTTTAACCTTTCTTTTCATAGAGCAGTTAGGAAACACTCTGTTTGTAAAGTCTGCAAGTGGATATTCAGACATCCTTGAGGCTTTCGTTGGAAACGGGATTTCTTCATATTCTGCTAGAAAGAAGAATTCTCAGTAACTTCCTTGTGTTGTGTGTATTCAGCTCACAGAGTTGAACGATCCTTTACACAGAGCAGACTTGAAACACTCTTTTTGTGGAATTTGCAAGTGGAGATTTCAGCCGCTTTGAGGTCAATGGTAGAATAGGAAATATCTTCCTATAGAAACTAGACAGAATGATTCTCAGAAAAACCTTTGTGATGTGTGTGTTCAACTCACAGAGTTTAACCTTTCTTTTCATAGAGCAGTTAGGAAACACTCTGTTTTTAAAGTCTGCAAGTGGATATTGAGACCTCTTTCAGGCCTTCGTTGGAAACGGGATTTCTTCATATTATGCTAGACAGAAGAATTCTCAGTAACTTCCTTGCGTTGTGTGTATTCAACTGACAGAGTTGAACTTTCATTTAGAGAGAGCAGATTTGAAACACTGTTTTTGTCGAATTTCCAATGGAGATTTCAAGCGCTTTGGGGCCAAAGGCAGAAAAGGAAATATCTTCGTATAAAAACTAGACAGAATCATTCTCAGAAACTGCTGCGTGATGTGTGCGTTCAACTCCTCAGAGTTTAACTTTTCTTTTCATTCAGCGGTTTGGAAACACTCTGTTTGTAAAGTCTGCACGTGGAAATTTTGACCACTTAGAGGCCTTCGTTGGAAACGGGTTTTTTTCATGTAAGGCTAGACAGAAGAATTCCCAGTAACTTCCTTGTGTTGTGTGCATTCAACTCACAGAGTTGAACGTTCCCTTAGACAGAGCAGATTTGAAACACTCTATTTGTGCAATTTGCAAGTGTAGTTTTCAAGCTCTTTAAGGTCAACGGCAGAAAAGGAAATATCTTCGTTTCAAAACTAGACAGAATCATTCCCACAAACTGCGATGTGATGTGTTCGTTAAACTCACAGAGTTTAACCTTTCTGTTCATAGAGCAGTTAGGAAACACTCTGTTTGGAAAGTCTGTAAGTGGATATTCTGACATCTTGTGGCCTTCGTTGGAAACGGGATTTCTTCATATTCTGCTAGACAGAAGAATTCTCAGAATCTTCCTTGTGTTGTGTGTATTCAACTCAAAGAGTTGAACGATCCTTTACACAGAGCAGACTTGAAACACTCTTTTTGTGGAATTTGCAAGTGGAGATTTCACCCGCTTTGAGGTCCATGGTAGAAAAGGAAATATCTTTGTATAAAAACTAGACAGAATGATTCTGAGAAACTCCTTTGTGATGTGTGCGTTCAACTCACAGAGTTTAACCTTTCTTTTCATAGAGCAGTTAGGAAACACTCTGTTTGTAAAGTCTGCAAGTGGATATTCAGACCTCTTTGAGGCCTTCGTTGGAAACGGGATTTCATCATATTCTGCTAGACAGAAGAATTCTCATTAACTTCCTTGTGTTGTGTGTATTCAACTCACAGAGTTGAACGATCCTTTACACAGAGCGGACTTGAAACACTCTTTTTGTGTAATTTGCAAGTGGAGATTTCAGCCGCGTTGAGGTCAATGGTAGAAAAGGAGATCTCTTCGTATAAAAACTAGACAGAATGATTCTCAGAAACTCCTTTGAGATGTGTGCGCTCAACTCACAGAGTTTAACCTTTCTTTTTATAGAGCAGTTAGGAAACACTCTGTTTGTAAAGTCTGCAAGTGGATATTCAGACCTCTTTGAGGCCTTCGTTGGAAACGGGTTTTTTTCATATAAGGCTAGACAGAAGAATTCCCAGTAACTTCCTTGTGTTGTGTGCATTCAACTCACAGAGATGAACGTTCGCTTAGACAGAGCAGATTTGAAACACTCTATTTGTGCAATTTGCAAGTGTAGATTTCAAGCGCTTTAAGGTCAATGGCAGAAAAGGAAATATCTTCGTTTCAAAACTAGACAGAATCATTCCCACAAACTGCGTTGTGATGTATTCGTTCAACTCACAGAGTTTAACCTTTCTGTTCATAGAGCAGTTAGGAAACACTCTGTTTGTAAAGTCTGTAAGTGGATATTCTGACATCTTGTGGCCCTTCGTTGGAAACGGGATTTCTTCATATTCTGCTAGACAGAAGAATTCCCAGTAACTTCCTTGTGTTGTGTGTATTCAACTCACAGAGTTGAACGATCCTTTACACAGAGCAGACTTGAAACACTCTTTTTGTGGAATTTGCAAGTGGAGATTTCAGCCGCTTTGAGGTCAATGGTAGAAAAGGAAATATCTTCGTAGAAAAACTAGACAGAATGATTCTCAGAAACTCCTTTGTGATGTGTGTGTTCAACTCACAGAGTTTAACCTTTCTTTTCATAGGGCAGTTAGGAAACACTCTGTTTGTAAAGTCTGCAAGTGGATATTCAGACCTCCTAGAGGCCTTCGTTGGAAACGGGATTTCTTCATATTCTGCTACACAGAAGAATTCCCAGTAACTTCCTTGTGTTGTGTGTGTTCAACTCACAGAGTTGAACTTTCATTTACCCAGAGCAGATTTGAAACACTCTTTTAGTGGAATTTGCAAGTGGAGATTTCAAGCGCTTTGAGGCCAAAGGCAGAAAAGGAAATATCTTCGTTTCAAAATTAGACAGAATCATTCTCAGAAACTGCTGCGTGATGTGTGCGTTCAACTCTCAGAGTTTAACTTTTCTTTTCATTCAGCGGTTTGGAAACACTCTGTTTGTAAAGTCTGCACGTGGTTATTTTGACCACTTAGACGCCTTCGTTGGAAACGGGTTTTTTTCATGTAAGGCTAGACAGAAGAATTCCCAGTAACTTCCTTGTGTTGTGTGCATTCAACTCACAGAGTTGAACGTTCCGTAGACAGAGCAGATTTGAAACACTCTATTTGTGCAATTTGCAAGTGTAGATTTCAAGCGCTTTAAGGTCAATGGCAGAAAAGGAAATATCTTCGTTTCAAAACTAGACAGAATGATTCTCAGAAAATCTTTTGTGATGCGTGCGTTCAACTCACAGAGTTTAACTTTTCTTCTCATAGAGCAGTTAGGAAACACTCTGTTTGTAAAGTCTGCAAGTGGATATTCAGACCTCTTTGAGGCCTTCGTTGGAAACGGGATTTCTTCATATTATGCTAGACAGAATAATTCTCAGTAACTTCCTTGTGTTGTGTGTATTCAACTCACAGAGTTGAAGGATCCTTTACAGAGAGCAGGCTTGAAACACTCTTTTTGTCGAATTTGCAAGTGGAGAATTCAGCCGCTTTGAGGTCAATGGTAGAATAGGAAATATCTTCTTATAGAAACTAGACAGAATGATTCTCAGAAACTCCTTTGTGATGTGTGCGTTCAACACACAGAGTTCAAACTTTCTTTTCATAGAGCAGTTGGGAAAAACTCTGTTTGTAAAGTCTGCAAGTGGATATTCAGACTTCTTTGAGGCCTTCGTTGGAAGCGGGATTTCTTCATATTCTGCTAGACAGAAGAATTCTCAGTAACCTCCTTGTGTTGCGTGCATTCAACTGACAGGGTTGAAATTTCATTTAGACAGAGCAGATTTGAAACACTGTTTTTGTGGAATTTGCAAGTGGAGATGTCAAGCGCTTTGGGGCCAAAGGCAGAAAAGGAAATATCTTCGTATAAAAACTAGACAGAATCATTCTCAGAAACTGCTCTGCGATGTGTGCGTTCAACTCTCAGAGTTTAACTTTTCTTTCCATTCAGCAGTTTGGAAACACTCTGTTTGTAAAGTCTGCACGTGGATAATTTGACTACTTAGAGGCCTTCGTTGGAAACGGGTTTTTTTCCTGTAAGGCTAGAGAGAAGAATTCCCAGTAACTTTCTTGTGTTGTGTACATTCAACTCACAGAATTGAACGTTCCCTTAGACAGAGCAGATTTGAAACACTCTGTTTGTGCAATTGGCAAGTGGTGATTTCATCCGCTTTGAGGTCAATGGTAGAAAAGGAAATATCTTCGTATAAAAACTAGACAGAATCTTTCCCACAAACTGCCTTGTGATGTGTTCGTTCAACTCACAGAGTTTAACCTTTCTGTTCATAGAGCAGTTAGGAAACACTCTGTTTGTAAAGTCTGCAAGTGGATATTCAGACCTCCTTGAGGCCTTCGTTGGAAACGGGATTTCTTCATATTCTGCTAGACAGAATAATTCTCAGTAACTTCCTTGTGTTGTGTGTTTTCAACTCACAGAGTTGAACGATCCTTTACACAGAGCAGACTTGAAACACTCTTTTTGTGGAATTTGCAAGTGGAGATTTCAGCCGCTTTGAGGTCAATGGTAGAATAGGAAATATCTTCCTATAGAAACTAGACAGAATGATTCTCAGAAACTCCTTTGTGATGTGTGCGTTCAACTCACAGAGTTTAACCTTTCTTTTCATAGAGCAGTTAGGAAACACTCTGTTTTTATAGTCTGCAAGTGGATATTCAGACATCTTTGAGGCCTTCGTTGGAAACGTGATTTCTTCATATTCTGCTATACAGAAGAATTCTCAGAAACTTCCTTGTGTTGTGTGTTTTCAACTCACAGAGTTGAACGATGCTTTACACAGAGTAGACTTGAAACACTCTTTTTGTGTAATTTGCAAGTAGAGATTTCAGCCGCTTTGAGGTCAATGGTAGAAAAGGAAATATCTTCGTATAAAAACTAGACAGAATCATTCTCAGAAACTGCTGCGTGATGTGTGCGTTCAACTCTCAGAGTTTAACTTTTCTTTTCATTCAGCGGTTTGGAAACACTCTGTTTGTAAAGTCTGCACGTGGATATTTTGACCACTTAGAGGCCTTCGTTGGAAACGGGTTTTTTTTCATGTAAGGCTAGACAGAAGAATTCCCAGTAACTTCCTTGTGTTGTGTGCATTCAACTCACAGAGTTGAACGTTCCCTTAGACAGAGCAGATTTGAAACACTCTATTTGTGCAATTTGAAAGTGTAGATTTCAAGCGCTTTAAGGTCAACGGCAGAAAAGGAAATATCTTCGTTTCAAAACTAGACAGAATCATTCCCACAAACTGCGTTGTGATGTGTTCGTTCAACTCACAGAGTTTTACCTTTCTGTTCATAGAGCAGTTAGGAAACACTCTGTTTGTAAAGTCTGCAAGTGGATATTCAGACCTCCTAGAGGCCTTCGTTGGAAACGGGATTTCTTCATATTCTGCTAGACAGAAGAATTCTCAGTAACTTCCTTGTGTTGTGTGTATTCAACTCACAGAGTTGAACGATCCTTTACACAGAGCAGACTTGAAACACTCTTTTTGTGGAATTTGCAAGTGGAGATTTCAGCCGCTTTGAGGTCAATGGTAGAATAGGAAATATCTTCTTATAGAAACTAGACAGAATGATTCTCAGAAACTCCTTTGTGATGTGTGCGTTCAACTCACAGAGTTTAACCTTTCTTTTCATAGAGCAGTTAGGAAACACTCCGTTTGTAAAGTCTGCAAGTGGATATTCAGACCTCTTTGAGGCCTTCGTTGGAAACGGGTTTTTTTCATATAAGGCTAGACAGAAGAATTCTCAGTAACTTCCTTGTGTTGTGTGTATTCAACTCACAGAGTTGAACGATCTTTTACACAGACCAGACTTGAAACACTCTTTTTGTGGAATTTGCAAGTGGAGATTTCAGCCGCTTTGAGGTCAATGGTAGAATAGGAAATATCTTCCTATAGAAACTAGACAGAATCATTCTCAGAAACTCCTTTGTGATGTGTGCGTTCAACTCACAGAGTTTAACCTTTCTTTTCATAGAGCACTTAGGAAACACTCTGTTTGTAAAGTCTGCAAGTGGATATTCAGACCTCCTTGAGGCCTTCGTTGGAAACGGGATTTCTTCATATTATGCTAGACAGAAGAATTCTCAGTAACTTCCTTGTGTTGTGTGTATTCAACTGACAGAGTTGAACTTTCATTTAGAGAGAGCAGATTTGAAACACTGTTTTTGTGGAATTTGTAAGTGGAAATTTCAAGCGCTTTGGGGCCAAAGGCAGAAAAGGAAATATCTTCGTATAAAAACTAGACAGAATCATTCTCAGAAACTGCTCTGCGATGTGTGCGTTCAACTCTCAGAGTTAAACTTTTCTTTTCATTCAGCAGTTTGGAAACACTCTGTTTGTAAAGTCTGCACGTGGATAATTTGACCACTTAGAGGCCTTCGTTGGAAACGGTTTTTTTTAATGTAAGGCTAGACAGAAGAATTCCCAGTAACTTCCTTGTGTTGTGTGCATTCAACTCACAGAGTTGAACGTTCCCTTAGACAGAGCAGATTTGAAACACTCTATTTGTGCAATTTGCAAGTGTAGATTTCAAGCGCTTTAAGGTCAATGGCAGAAAAGGAAATATCTTCGTTTCAATACTAGACAGAATGATTCTCAGAAACTCCTTTGTGATGTGTGCGTTCAAGTCGCAGAGTTTAACCTTTCTTTTCATAGAGCAGTTAGGAAACACTCTGTTTGTAAAGTGTGCAAGTGGATATTCAGACCTCTTTGAGGCCTTCGTTGGAAACGGGATTTCTTCATATTCTGCTAGACAGAAGAATTCTCAGTAACTTCCTTGTGTTGTGTGTATTCAACTCACAGAGTTCAACGATCCTTTACACAGAGCAGACTTGAAAAAATCTTTTTGTGGAATTTGCAAGTGGAGATTTCAGCCGCTTTGAGGTCAATGGTAGAAAAGGAAATATCTTCGTATAAAAACTAGACAGAATGATTCTCAGAAACTCCTTTGTGATGTGTGCGTTCAACTCACAGAGTTTCACCTTTCTTTTCATAGAGCAGTTAGGAAACACTCTGTTTGTAAAGTCTGCAAGTGGATATTCAGACCTCCTTGAGGGCTTCGTTGGAAACGGGATTTCTTCATATTCTGCTAGACAGAAGAATTCCCAGTAACTTCCTTGTGTTGTGTGTGTTCAACTCACAGAGTTGAACTTTCATTTACACAGAGCAGATTTGAAACACTCTTTTTGTGGAATTTGCAAGTGGAGATTTCAAGCGCTGTGAGGCCAAAGGCAGAAAAGGAAATATCTTCGTATAGAAACTAGACAGAATCATTCTCAGAAACTGCTGCGTGATGTGTGCGTTCAACTCACAGAGTTTAACTTTTCTTTTCATTCAGCGGTTTGGAAACACTCTGTTTGTAATGTCTGCACGTGGATATTTTGACCACTTAGAGGCCTTCGTTGGAAACGGGATTTTTTCATGTAAGGCTAGACAGAAGAATTCCCAGTAACTTCCTTGTGTTGTGTACATTCAACTCACAGAGTTGAACGTTCCCTTAGACAGAGCAGATTTGAAACACTCTTTTTGTGCAATTGGCAAGTGGAGATTTCAAGCGCTTTAAGGTCAATGGCAGAAAAGGAAATATCTTCGTTTCAAAACTAGAGAGAATCATTCCCACAAACTGCGTTGTGATGTGTTCGTTCAACTCACAGAGTTTAACCTTTCTGTTCATAAAGCAGTTAGGAAACACTCTGTTTGTAAAGTCTGTAAGTGGATATTCTGACATCTTGTGGCCTTCGTTGGAAACGGGATTTCTTCATATTCTGCTAGACAGAAGAATTCTCAGTAACTTCCTTGTGTTGTGTGTATTCAACTCACAGATTTGAACGATCCTTTACACAGAGCAGTCTTGAAACACTCTTTTTGTGGAATTTGCAAGTGGAGATTTCAGCCGCTTTGAGGTCAATAGTAGAAAAGGAAATATCTTCGTAGAAAAACTAGACAGAATGATTCTCAGAAAATCTTTTGTGATGTGTGCGTTCAACTCACAGAGTTTAACTTTTCTTCTCATAGAGCAGTTAGGAAACACTCTGTTTGTAAAGTCTGCAAGTGGATATTCAGACCTCTTTGAGGCCTTCGGTGGAAACGGGATTTCTTCATATTATGCTAGACAGAAGAATTCTCAGTAACTTCCTTGTGTTGTGTGTGTTCAACTCACAGAGTTGAACTTTCATTTACACAGAGCAGACTTTAAACACTCTTTTTGTGGAATTTGCAAGTGGAGATTTCAAGCGCTTTGAGGCCAAAGGCAGAAAAGGAAATATCTTCGTATAAAAACTAGACAGAATCATTCTCATAAACTGCTGCGTGATGTGTGCCTTCAACTCTCAGAGTTTAACTTTTCTTTTCATTCAGCGGTTTGGAAACACTCTGTTTGTAAAGTCTGCACGTGGATATTTTTGACCACTTAGAGGCCTTCGTTGGAAACGGGTTTTTTTCATGTAAGGCTAGACGGAAGAATTCCCAGTAACTTCCTTGTGTTGTGTGCATTTAACTCACAGAGTTGAACGTTCCCTTAGACAGAGCAGATTTGAAACACTCTATTTGTGCAATTTGCAAGTGTAGATTTCAAGCGCTTTAAGGTCAATGGCAGAAAAGGAAATATCTTCGTTTCAAAACTAGACAGATAATCATTCCCACAAACTGCGTTGTGATGTGTTCGTTCAACTCACAGAGTTTAACCTTTCTTTTCATAGAGCAGTTAGGAAACAGTCTGTTTGTAAATTCTGTAAGTGGATATTCTGACATCTTGTGGCCTTCGTTGGAAACGGGATTTCTTCATATTCTGCTAGACAGAAGAATTCTCAGTAACTTCGTTGTGTTGTGTGTATTCAACTCACAGAGTTGAACGATCCTTTACACAGAGCAGACTTGAAACACTCTTTTTGTGGAATTTGCAAGTGGAGATTTCAGCCGCTTTGAGGTCAATGGTAGAATAGGAAATATCTTCCTATAGAAACTAGACAGAATGATTCTCAGAAACTGCTTTGTGATGTATGCGTTCAACTCACAGAGTTCAACCATTCTGTTCATAGAGCAGTTAGGAAACACTCTGTTTGTAAAGTCTGCAAGTGGATATTCAGACCTCTTTGAGGCCTTCGTTGGAAACGGGATTTCTTCATATTCTGCTAGACAGAAGAATTCTCAGTAACTTCCTTGTGTTGTGTGTATTCAACTGACAGAGTTGAACTTTCATTTAGAGAGAGCAGATTTGAAACACTGTTTTTGTGGAATTTGCAATTGGAGATTTCAAGCGCTTTGGGGCCAAGGGCAGAAAAGGAAATATCTTCGTATAAAAACTAGACAGAATCATTCTCAGAAACTGCTGCGTGATGTGTGCGTTCAATTCTGAGAGTTTAACTTTTCTTTTCATTCAGCGGTTTGGAAACACTCTGTTTGTAAAGTCTGCACGTGGAAATTTTGACCACTTAGAGGCCTTCGTTGGAAACGGGTTTTTTTCATGTAAGGCTAGACAGAAGAATTCCCAGTAACTTCCTTGTGTTGTGTGCATTCAACTCACAGAGTTGAACGTTCCCTAAGACAGAGCAGATTTGAAACACTCTATTTGTGCAATTTGCAAGTGTAGATTTCAAGCGCTTTAAGGTCAACGGCAGAAAAGGAAATATCTTCGTTTCAAAACTAGACAGAATCATTCCCACAAACTGCGTTGTGATGTGTGTGTTCAACTCACAGAGTTTCACCTTTCTTTTCATAGAGCAGTTAGGAAACAGTCTGTTTGTCAATTCTGTAAGTGGATATTCTGACATCTTGTGGCCTTCGTTGGAAACGGGATTTCTTCATATTCTGCTAGACAGAAGAATTCTCAGTAACTTCCTTGTGTTGTGTGTATTCAACTCACAGAGTTGAACGATCCTTTACACAGAGTAGACTTGAAACACTCTTTTTGTGGAATTTGCAAGTGGAGATTTCAGCCGCTTTGAGGTCAATGGTAGAAAAGGAAATATCTTCGTATAAAAACTAGACAGAATGATTCTCAGAAACTTCTTTGTGATGTGTGCGTTCAACTCATAGAGTTTAACCTTTCTTTTCATAGAGCAGTTAGGAAACACTCGGTTTGTAAACTCTGCAAGTGGATATTCAGACCTCTTTGAGGCCTTCGTTGGAAACGGGATTTCTTCATACTGTGCTAGACAGAAGAATTCTCAGTAACTTCCCTTGTGTTGTGTGTATTCAACTCACAGAGTTGAACGATCCTTTACACAGAGCGGACTTGAAACACTCTTTTTGTGAAATTTGCAAGTGGAGATTTCAGCCGCGTTGAGGTCAATGGTAGAAAAGGAAATATCTTCGTATAAAAACTAGACAGAATCATTCTCAGAAACTGCTGCGTGATGTGTGCGTTCAACTCTCAGAGTTTAACTTTTCTTTTCATTCAGCGGTTTGGAAACACTCTGTTTGTAAAGTCTGCACGTGGATATTTTGACCACTTAGAGGCCTTCGTTGGAAACGGGTTTTTTTCATGTACGGCTAGACAGAAGAATTCCCAGTAACTTCCTTGTTTTGTGTACATTCAACTCACAGAGTTGAACGTTCCCTTAGATAGAGCAGATTTGAAACACTCTTTTTGTGCAATTGGCAAGTGGTGATTTCAGCCGCTTTGAGGTCAATGGTAGAAAAGGAAATATCTTCGTATAAAAACTAGACAGAATCATTCCCACAAACTGCGTTGTGATGTGTTCGTTCAACTCACAGAGTTTAACCTTTCTGTTCATAGAGCAGTTAGGAAACACTCTGTTTGTAAAGTCTGTAAGTGGATATTCTGACATCTTGTGGCCTTCGTTGGAAACGGGATTTCTTCATATTCTGCTACACAGAAGAATTCTCAGTAACTTCCTTGTGTTGTGTGTATTCAACGCACAGAGTTGAACGATCCTTTACACAGAGCAGACTTGAAACACTCTTTTTGTGGAATTTGCAAGTGGAGATTTCAGCCGCTTTGAGGTCAATGGTAGAAAAGGAAACTATCTTCATATAAAGACTAGACAGAATGATTCTCAGAAACTCCTTTGTGCTGTGTGCGTTCAACTCACAGAGTTTAACCTTTCTTTTCATAGAGCAGTTAGGAAACACTCTGTTTGTAAAGTCTGCAAGTGGATATTCAGACATCTTTGAGGCTTTCGTTGGAAACGGGATTTCTTCATATTCTGCTAGACAGAAGAATTCCCAGTAACATCCTTGTGTTGTGTGTGTTCAACTCACAGAGTTGAACTTTCATTTACACAGAGCAGATTTGAAACACTCTTTTTGTGGAATTTGCAAGTGGAGATTTCAAGCGCTTTGAGGCCAAAGGCAGAAAAGGAAATATCTTCGTTTCAAAACTAGACAGAATCATTCTCAGAATCTGCTGCGTGATGTGTGCGTTCAACTCTCAGAGTTTAACTTTTCTTTTCATTCAGCGGTTTGGAAACACTCTGTTTGTAAAGTCTGCACGTGGAAATTTTGACCACTTAGAGGCCTTCGTTGGAAACGGGTTTTTTTCATGTAAGGCTAGACAGAAGAATTCCCAGTAACTTCCTTGTGTTGTGTGCATTCAACTCACAGAGTTGAACGTTCCCTTAGACAGAGCAGATTTGAAACACTCTATTTGTGCAATTTGCAAGTGTAGTTTTCAAGCTCTTTAAGGTCAACGGCAGAAAAGGAAATATCTTCGTTTCAAAACTAGAGAGAACGATTCTCAGAAACTCCTTTGTGATGTGTGCGTTCACCTCACAGAGTTTAACTTTTCTTTTCATAGAGCAGTTAGTAAACACTCTGTTTGTAAAGTCTGCAAGTGGATATTCAGACCTCTTTGAGGCCTTCGTTGGAAACGGGATTTCTTCATATTCTGCTAGACAGAAAAATTCTCAGTAACTTCCTTGTGTTGTGTGTATTCAACTCACAGAGTTGAACGATCCTTTACACATAGCAGACTTGAAACACTCTTTTTGTGGAATTTGCAAGTGGAGATTTCAGCCGCTTTCAGGTCAATAGTAGAAAAGGAAATATCTTCGTAGAAAAACTAGACAGAATGATTCTCAGAAACTCCTTTGTGATGTGTGTGTTCAACTCACAGAGTTTAACCTTTCTTTTCATAGAGCAGTTAGTAAACACTCTGTTTATAAAGTCTGCAAGTGTATATTCAGACCCCTTTGAGGCCTTCGTTGGAAACGGGATTTCTTCATATTATGCTAGACAGAAGAATTCTCAGAAACTTCCTTGTGTTGTGTGTATTCAACTCACAGAGTTGAACGATCCTTTACACACAGCAGACTTGAGACACTCTTTTTGTGGAATTTGTAAGTGGAGATTTCAGCCGCTTTGAGGTCAATGGTAGAAAAGGAAATATCTTCATATAAAAACTAGACAGAATCATTCTCAGAAACTGCTCTGCGATGTGTGCGTTCAACTCTCAGAGTTTAACTTTGCTTTTCATTCAGCAGTTTGGAAACACTCTGTTTGTAAAGTCTGCACGTGGATATTTTGACCACTTAGAGGCCTTCGTTGGAAACGGGTTTCTTTCCTGTAAGGCTAGATAGAAGAATTCTCAGTAACTTCCTTGTGTTGTGTACATTCAACTCACAGAGTTGAACGTTCCCTTAGACAGAGCAGATTTGAAACACTCTTTTTGTGCAATTGGCAAGTGGTGATTTCAGCCGATTTGAGGTCAATGGTAGAAAAGGAAATATCTTCGTAGAAAAACTAGACAGAATCATTCCCACAAACTGCGTTGTGATGTGTTCGTTCAACTCACAGAGTTTAACCATTCTTTTCATAGAGCAGTTAGGAAACAGTCTGTTTGTAAATTCTGTAAGTGGATATTCTGACATCTTGTGGCCTTCGTTGGAAACGGGATTTCTTCATATTCTGCTAGACAGAAGGATTCTCAGTAACTTCCTTGTGTTGTGTGTATTCAACTCACAGAGTTGAACGATCCTTTACACAGAGCAGACTTGAAACACTCTTTTTGTGGAATTTGCAAGTGCAGATTTCAGCCGCTTTGAGGTCAATGGTAGAAAAGGAGATATCTTCGTATAAAAACTAGACAGAAATGATTCTCAGAAACTCCTTTGTGATGTGTGCGTTCAACTCACAGAGTTTAACCTTTCTGTTCATAGAGCAGTTAGGAAACACTCTGTTTGTAAAGTCTGCAAGTGGATACTCAGAACCTCCTTCAGGCATTCGTTGGAAACGGGATTTCTTCATATTCTGCTAGACAGAAGAATTCTCAGTAACTTCCCTTGTGTTGTGTGTATTCAACTGACAGAGTTGAACTTTCAGTTAGAGAGAGCAGATTTGAAACACTGTTTTTGTGGAATTTGCAAGTGGAGATTTCAAGCGCTTTGGGGCCAAAGGCAGAAAACGAAATATCTTCGTATAAAAAGTAGACAGAATCATTCTCAGAAACTGCTCTGCGATGTGTGCGTTCAACTCTCAGAGTTTAACTTTTCTTTTCATTCAGCAGTTTGGAAACACTCTGTTTGTAAAGTCTGCACGTGGATATTTTGACCAGTTAGAGGCCTTCGTTGGAAACGGGTTTTTTTCCTGTAAGGCTAGACAGAAGAATTCCCAGTAACTTCCTTGTCTTGTGTACATTCAACTCACAGAGTTGAACGTTCCCTTAGACAGAGCAGATTTGAAACACTCTTTTTGTGCAATTGGCAAGTGGAGATTTCAAGCGCTTTAAGGTCAATGGCAGAAAAGGAAATATCTTCGTTTCAAAACTAGAGAGAATCATTCCCAAAAACTGCGTTGTGATGTGTTCGTTCATCTCACAGAGTTTAACCTTTCTTTTCATACAGCAGTTAGGAAACAGTCTGTTTGTAAATTCTGTAAGTGGATATTCTGACATCTTGTGGCCTTCGTTGGAAACGGGATTTCTTCATATTCTGCTAGACAGAAGAATTCTCAGTAACTTCCTTGTGTTGTGTGTATTCAACTCACAGAGTTGAACGATCCTTTACACAGGGCGGACTTGAAACACTCTTTTTGTGGAATTTGCAATTGGAGATTTCAGCCGCTTTGAGGTCAATGGTAGAAAAGGAAATATCTTCGTATAAAAACTAGACAGAATGATTCTCAGAAACTTCATTGTGACGTGTGCGTTCAACTCACAGAGTTTAACATTTCTTTTCATAGAGCAGTTAGGAAACACTCTGTTTGTAAAGTCTGCAAGTGGATATTCAGACCTCTCTGAGGCCTTCGTTGGAAACGGGATTTCTTCATACTGTGCCAAACAGAAGAATTCCCAGTAACTTCCTTGTGTTGTGTGTGTTCAACTCACAGAGTTGAACTTTCATTTACACAGAGCAGATTGGAAACACTCTTTTTGTGGAATTTGCAAGTGGAGATTTCAAGCGCTTTGAGACCAAAAGCAGAAAAGGAAATATCTTCGTATAAAAACTAGACAGAATCATTCTCAGAACCTGCTCTGCGATGTGTGCGTTCAACTCTCAGAGTTTAACTTTTCTTTTCATTCAGCAGTTTGGAAACACTCTGTTTCTAAAGTCTGCACGTGGATATTTTGACCACTTAGAGGCCTTCGTTGGAAACGGGTTTTTTTCCTGTAAGGCTTGACAGAAGAATTCCCAGTAACTTCCTTGTGTTGTGTACATTCAACTCACAGAGTTGAACGTTCCCTTAGACAGAGCAGATTTGAAACACTCTTTTTGTGCAATTGGCAAGTGGTGATTTCAGCCGCTTTGAGGTCAATGGTAGAAAAGGAAATATCTTCGTATAAAAACTAGACAGAATGATTCTCAGAAACTTCATTGTGATGTGTGCGTTCAACTCACAGAGTTTAACCTTTCTTTTCATAGAGCAGTTAGGAAACACTCTGTTTGTAAACTCTGCAAGTGGATATTCAGACCTCTTTGCTGCCTTCGTTGGAAACGGGATTTATTCATACTGTGCTAGACAGAAGAATTCTCAGTAACTTCCTTCTGTTGTGTGTATTCAACTCACAGAGTTGAACGATCCTTTACACAGAGCGGACTTGAAACACTCTTTTTGTGGAATTTGCAAGTGGAGATTTCAGCCGCGTTGAGGTCAATGGTAGAAAAGGAAATATCTTCGTATAAAAATTAGACAGAATGATTCTCATAAACTCCTTTGTGATGTGTGCATTCAACTCACAGAGTTTCACCTTTCTTTTCATAGAGCAGTTGGGAAACACTCTGTTTGTAAAGTCTGCAAGTAGATATTCAGACCTCCTTGAGGCCTTCGTTGGAAACGGGATTTCTTCATATTCTGCTAGACAGAAGAATTCTCAGTAACTTCCTTGTGTTGTGTGTATTCAACTGACAGAGTTGAACTTTCATTTAGAGAGAGCAGATTTGAAACACTGTTTTTGTGGAAGTTGCAAGTGGAGATTTCAAGCGCTTTGGGGCCAAGGGCAGAAAAGGAAATATCTTCGTATAAAAACTAGACAGATAATCATTCTCAGAAACTGCTCTGCGATGTGTGCGTTCAACTCTCAGAGTTTAACTTTTCTTTTCATTCAGCAGTTTGGAAACACTCTGTTTGTAAAGTCTGCACGTGGATATTTTGACCATTTAGAGGCCTTCGTTGGAAACGGGTTTTTTTCTTGTAAGGCTAGACAGAAGAATTCCCAGGAACTTCCTTGTGTTGTGTACATTCAACTCACAGAGTTGAACGTTCCCTTAGACAGAGCAGATTTGAAACACTCTTTTTGTGCAATTGGCAAGTGGTGATTTCAGCCGCTTTGAGGTCAATGGTAGAAAAGGAAATATCTTCGTATAAAAACTAGACAGAATCATTCCCACAAACTGCGTTGTGATGTGTTCGTTCAACTCACAGAGTTTAACCTTTCTTTTCATAGAGTAGTTAGGAAACACTCTGTTTGTAAAGTCTGCAAGTGGATATTCAGACCTCTTTGAGGCCTTCGTTGGAAACGGGATTTCTTCATGTTCTGCCAGACAGAATAATTCTCAGTAACTTCCTTGTGTTGTGTGTATTCTACTCACAGAGTTGAACGATCCTTTACACAGAGCAGACTTGAAACACTCTTTTTGTGGAATTTGCAAGTGGAGATTTCAGCCGCTTTGAGGTCAATGGTAGAATAGGAAATATCATCCTATAGAAACTAGACCGAATGATTCTCAGAAACTCCTTTGTGATATGTGCTTTCAACTCATAGAGTTCAACCTTTCTTTTCATAGAGCACTTGGGAAACACTCTGTTTGTAAAGTCTGCAAGTGGATATTCAGACTTCTTTGAGGCCTTCGTTGGAAGCGGGATTTCTTCATGTTCTGCTAGACAGAAGAATTCTCAGTAACTTACCTTGTGTTGTGTGTATTCAACTCACAGAGTTGAATGATCCTTTACACAGAACAGTCTTGAAACACTCTTTTTGTGGAATTTGCTAGTGGAGATTTCAGCCGCTTTGATGTCAATGGTAGAATAGGAAATATCTTCCTATAGAAACTAGACAGAATGATTCTCAGAAACTCCTTTGTGATGTGTGTGTTCAACTCACAGAGTTTAACCTTTCTTTTCATAGAGCAGTTAGGAAACACTCTGTTTGTAAAGTCTGCAAGTGGATATTCAGACCTTTTTGAGACCTTCGTTGGAAACGGGATTTTTTCATATAAGGCTAGACAGAAGAATTCCCAGTAACTTCCTTGTGTTGTGTGTGTTCAACTCACAGAGTTGAACTTTGATTTACACAGAGCAGATTTGAAACACTCTTTTTGTGGAATTTGCAAGTGGAGATTTCAAGCGCTTTGAGGCCAAAGGCAGAAAAGGAAATATCTTCGTATGAAAACTAGACAGAATCATTCTCAGAAACTGCTGCGTGATGTGTGCGTTCAACTCTCAGAGTTTAACTTTTCTTTTCATTCAGCGGTTTGGAAACACTCTGTTTGTAAATTCTGCACGTGGAAATTTTGACCACTTAGAGGCCTTCGTTGGAAACGGGTTTTTTTCATGTAAGGCTAGACAGAAGAATTCCCAGTAACTTCCTTGTGTTGTGTACATTCAACTCACAGAGTTGAACGTTCCCTTAGACAGAGCAGATTTGAAACACTCTTTTTGTGCAATTGGCAAATGGAGATTTCAAGCGCTTTAAGGTCAATGGCAGAAAAGGAAATATCATCGTTTCAAAACTAGACAGAATCATTCCCACAAACTGCGTTGTGATGTGTTCGTTCAACTCACAGAGTTTAACCTTTCTGTTCATAGAGCAGTTAGGAAACACTCTGTTTGTAAAGTCTGAAAGTGGATATTCTGACATCCTTGTGGCCTTCGTTGGGAACGGGATTTCTTCATATTCTGCTAGACAGAAGAATTCTCAGTAACTTCCTTGTGTTGTGTGTATTCAACTCACAGAGTTGAACGATCCTTTACACAGAGCAGACTTGAAACACTCTTGTTGTGTAATTTGCAAGTGGAGATTTCAGCCGCTTTGAGGTCAATGGTAGAATAGGAAATATCTTCCTATAGAAACTAGACAGAATGATTCTCAGAAACTCCTTTGTGATGTGTGCGTTCAACTCACAGAGTTTAACCTTTCTTTTCATAGAGCAGTTAGGAAACACTCTGTTTGTAAAGTCTGCAAGTGGATATACAGACCTCTTTGAGGCCTTCGTTGGAAACCGGATTTCTTCATATTCTGCTAGAGAGAAGAATTCTCAGTAACTTCCTTGTGTTGTGTGTATTCAACTTACAGAGGTGAACGATCCTTTACACAGAGCAGACTTGAAACACTCTTTTTGTGGAATTTGCAAGTGGAGATTTCAGCCGCTTTGAGGTCAATGGTAGAAAAGGAAATATCTTCGTATAAAAACTAGACAGAATGATTCTCAGAAACTCCTTTGTGATGTGTGTGTTCAACTCACAGAGTTTAACCTTTCTTTTCATAGAGCAGTTAGGAAACACTCTGTTTGTAAAGTCTGCAAGTGGATATTTTGACCTCTTTGAGGCCTTCGTTGGAAACGGGTTTTTTCATGTAAGGCTAGACAGAAGAATTCTCAGTAACTTCCTTGTGTTGTGTGTATTCAACTGACAGAGTTGAACTATCATTTAGAGAGAGCAGATTTGAAACACTGTTTTTGTGGAATTTGCAAGTGGAGATTTCAAGCGCTTTGGGGCCAAAGGCAGAAAAGGAAATATCTTCGTATAAAAACTAGACACAATCATTCTCAGAAACTGCTCTGCGAAGTGTGCGTTCAACTCTCAGAGTTTAACTTTTCTTTTCATTCAGCAGTTTGGAAACACTCTGTTTGTAAAGTCTGCACGTGGATAATTTGACCACTTAGAGGCCTTAGTTGGAAACGGGTTTTTTTCATGTAAGGCTAGACAGAAGAATTCCCAGTAACTTCCTTGTGTTGTGTGCATTCAACTCACAGAGTTGAACTTTCCTTTAGACAGAGCAGATTTGAAACACTCTATTTGTGCAATTTGCAAGTGTAGATTTCAAGCGCTTTAAGGTCAATGGCAGAAAAGGAAATATCTTCGTTTCAAAACTAGACAGAATCATTCCCACAAACTGCGTTGTGATGTGTTCGTTCAACTCACAGAGTATTAACCTTTCTGTTCATAGAGCAGTGAGGAAACACTCTGTTTGTAAAGTCTGTAAGTGGATATTCTGACATCTTGTGGCCTTCGTTGGAAACGGGATTTCTTCATATTCTGCTAGACAGAAGAATTCTCAGTAACTTCTTTGTGTTGTGTGTATTCAACTCACAGAGTTGAACGATCCTTTACACAGAGCAGACTTGAAACACTCTTTTTGTGGAATTTGCAAGTGGAGATTTCAGCCGCTTTGAGGTCAATGGTAGAATAGGAAATATCTTCCTATAGAAACTAGACAGAATGATTCTCAGAAACTCCTTTGTGATGTTTGCGTTCAACTCACAGAGTTTAACATTTCTTTTCATAGAGCAGTTAGGAAACACTCTGTTTATATAGTCTGCAAGTGGATATTCAGACCTCCTTGAGGCCTTCGTTGGAAACGGGGTTTCTTCATATTCTGCTAGACAGAAGAATTCTCAGTAACTTCCTTCTGTTGTGTGTATTCAACTGACAGAGTTGAACTTTCATTTAGAGAGAGCAGATTTGAAACACTGTTTTTGTGGAATTTGCAAGTGGAGATTTCAAGCGCTTTGGGGCCAAAGGCAGAAAGGAAATATCTTCGTATAAAAACTAGACAGAATCATTCTCAGAAACTGCTCTGTGATGTGTGCGTTCAACTCTCAGAGTTTAACTTTTCTTTTCATTCAGCAGTTTGGAAACACTCTGTTTGTAAAGTCTGCACGTGGATATTTTGACCACTTAGAGGCCTTCGTTGGAAACGGGTTTTCTTCATGTAAGGCTAGACAGAAGAATTCCCAGTAACTTCCTTGTGTTGTGTGCATTCAATTCACACAGATGAACGTTCCCTTAGACAGAGCAGATTTGAAACACTCTATTTGTGCAATTTGCAAGTGTAGATTTCAAGCGCTTTAAGGTCAATGGCAGAAAAGGAAATATCTTCGTTTCAAAACTAGACAGAATGATTCTCAGAAACTCCTTTGTGATGTGTGCGTTCAACTCACAGAGTTTAACCTTTCTTTTCATAGAGCAGTTAGGAAGCACTCTGTTAGTAAAGTCTGCAAGTGGATATTCAGACCTCCTTGAGGCCTTCGTTGGAAAGGGGATTTCTTCATATTATGCTACACAGAAGAATTCTCAGTAACTTTCCTTGTGTTGTGTGTATTCAACTCACAGAGTTGAACGATCCTTTACACAGAGCAGACTTGAAACACTCTTTTTGTGGCATTTGCAAGTGGAGATTTCAGCCGCTTTGAGTTCAATGGTAGAATAGGAAATATCTTCCTATAGAAACTAGACAGAATGATTCTCAGAAACTCCTTTGTGATGTGTGTGTTCAACTCACAGAGTTTAACCTTTCTTTTCATAGAGCAGTTGGGAAACACTCTGTTTGTAAAGTCTGCAAGTGGATATTCAGACATCCTTGAGGCTTTCGTTGGAAACGGGATTTCTTCATATTCTGCTAGAAAGAAGAATTCTCAGAATCTTCCTTGTGTTGTGTGTATTCAACTCACAGAGTTGAACGATCCTTTACACAGAGCAGACCTGAAACACTCTTTTTGTGGAATTTACAAGTGGAGATTTCAGCCGCTTTGAGGTCAATGGTAGAAAAGGAAATATCTTCGTATAAAAACTAGACAGAATGATTCTCAGAAACTCCTTTGTGATGTGTGCGTTCTACTCACAGAGTTTAACCTTTCTTTTCATAGAGCAGTTAGGAAACACTCTGTTTGTAAAGTCTGCAAGTGGATATTCAGACATCTTTGAGACTTTCGTTGGAAACGGGATTTCTTCATATTCTGCTAGACAGAAGAATTCCCAGTAACTTCCTTGTGTTGTGTGTGTTCAACTCAGAGAGTTGAACTTTCATTTACACAGAGCAGATTTGAAACACTCTTTTTGTGGAATTTGCAAGTGGAGATTTCAAGCGCTTTGAGGCCAAAGGCAGAAAAGGAAATATCTTCGTATAAAAACTAGACAGAATCATTCTCAGAAACTTCTCTGCGATGTGTGCGTTCAACTCTCAGAGTTTAACTTTTCTTTTCGTTCAGCAGTTTGGAAACACTCTGTTTGTAAAGTCTGCACGTGGATATTTTGACCACTTAGAGGCCTTCGTTGGAAACGGGTTTTTTTCCTGTAAGGCTAGACAGAAGAATTCCCAGTAACTTCCTTGTGTTGTGTACATTCAACTCACAGAGTTGAACGTTCCCTTAGACAGAGCAGATTTGAAACACTCTTTTTGTGCAATTAGCAAGTGGAGATTTCAAGCGCTTTAAGGTCAATGGCAGAAAAGGAAATATCTTACTTTCAAAACTAGACAGAAATCATTCCCACAAACTGCGTTGTGATGTGTTCGTTCAACTCACAGAGTTTAACCTTTCTGTTCATAGAGCAGTTAGGAAACACTCTGTTTGTAAAGTCTGTAAGTGGATATTCTGATATCTTGTGGCCTTCGTTGGAAACGGGATTTCTTCATATTCTGCTAGACAGAAGCAATTCTCAGTAACTTCCTTGTGTTGTGTGTATTCAACTCACAGAGTTGAAGGATCCTTTACAGAGGGCAGGCTTGAAACACTCTTTTTGTCGAATTTGCAAGTGGAGATTTCAGCCGCTTTGAGGTCAATGGTAGAATAGGAAATATCTTCTTATAGAAACTAGACAGAACGATTCTCAGAAACTCCTTTGTGATGTGTGCGTTCAACTCACAGAGTTTAACCTTTCTTTTCATAGAGCAGTTACGAAACACTCTGTTTGTAAAGTCTGCAAGTGGATATTCAGACCTCTTTGAGGCCTTCGTTGGAAACGGGATTTCTTCATATTCTGCTAGACAGAAGAATTCTCAGTAACTTCCTTGTGTTGTGTTTATTCAACTCACAGAGTTGAATGATCCTTTACACAGAGCAGACTTGAAACACTCTTTTTGTGGAATTTGCAAGTGGAGATTTCAGCCGCTTTGAGGTCAATGGTAGAAAAGTAAATACCTTCCTATAAAGACTAGACAGAATGATTCTCAGAAACTCCTTTGTGATGTGTGCCTTCAACTCACAGAGTTTAACCTTTCTTTTCATAGAGCAGTTAGGAAACACTCTGTTTGTAAAGTCTGCAAGTGGATATTCAGACCTCTTTGAGGCCTTCGTTGGAAACGGGTTTTTTTCATATAAGGCTAGACAGAAGAATTCTCAGAAACTTTCCTTGTGTTGTGTGTATTCAACTCACAGAGTAGAACGATCCTTTACACAGAGCAGACTTGAAACACTCTTTTTGTGGAATTTGCAAGTGGAGATTTCAGCCGATTTGAAGTCAATGGTAGAAAGGGAAATATCTTCGTATAGAAACTAGACAGAATTATTCTCAGAAACTCCTTTGTGATGTGTGCGTTCAACTCACAGAGTTTAACCTTTCTGTTCATAGAGCAGTTAGGAAACACTCTGTTTGTAAAGTCTGCAAGTGGATATTCAGACCTCCTTGAGGCCTTCGTTGGAAACGGGATTTCTTCATATTCTGCTAGACAGAAGAATTCTCAGAAACTTCCTTGTGTTGTGTGTATTCAACTCACAGAGTTGAAGGATCCTTTACACAGAGCAGACTTGAAACACTCTTTTTGTGGAATTTGCAAGTGGAGATTTCAGCCGCTTTGTGGTCAATGGTAGAAAAGGAAATATCTTCGTATAAAGACTAGACAGAATGATTCTCAGAAACTTCTTTGTGATGTGTGCGTTCAGCTCACAGAGTTTAACCTTTCTTTTCATAGAGCAGTTAGGAAACACTCTGTTTGTAAACTCTGCAAGTGGATATTCAGACCTCTTTGAGGCCTTCGTTGGAAACGGGATTTCTTCATACTATGCTAGACAGAAGAATTCCCACTAACTTCCTTGTGTTGTGTGTGTTCAACTCACAGAGTTGAACTTTCATTTACACAGAGCAGATTTGAAACACTCTTTTTGTGGAATTTGCAAGTGGAGATTTCAAGCGCTGTGAGGCCAAAGGCAGAAAAGGAAGTATCTTCGTATAAAAACTAGACAGAATCATTCTCAGAAACTGCTCTGTGATGTGTGCGTTCAACTCTCAGAGTTTAACTTTTCTTTTCATTCAGCAGTTTGGAAACACTCTGTTTGTAAAGTCTGCACGTGGATAATTTGACCACTTAGAGGCCTTCGTTGGAAACGGGTTTTTTTCATGTAAGGCTAGACAGAAGAGTTCTCAGTAACTTCCTTGTGTTGTATGTATTCAACTCACACAGTTGAACGATCCTTTACAGAGAGCAGACTTGTAACACTCTTTTTGTGGAATTTGCAAGTGGAGATTTCAGCCGCTTTGAAGTCAAAGTAGAAAAGGAAATATCTTCCTATAAAAACTAGACAGAATGATTCTCAGAAAATCTTTTGTGATGTGTGCGTTCAACTCACAGAGTTTAACTTTTCTTCTCATAGAGCAGTTAGGAAACACTCTGTTTGCAAAGTCTGCAAGTGGATATTCAGACCTCTTTGAGGCCTTCGTTGGAAACGGGATTTCTTCAAATTATGCTAGACAGAAGAATTCTCAGTAACTTCCTTGTGTTGTGTGTATTCAACTCACAGAGTTGAACGATCCTTTACACACAGCAGACTTGAAACACTCTTTTTGTGTAATTTGCAACTGGAGATTTCAGCCGCTTTGAGGCCAATAGTAGAAAAGGAAGTATCTTCGTAGAAAAACTAGACAGAATGATTCTCAGAAAATCTTTTGTGATGTGTGCGTTCAACTCACAGAGTTTAACTTTTCTTCTCATAGAGCAGTTAGGAAACACTCTGTTTGTAAAGTCTGCATGTGGATATTCAGACCTCTTTGAGGCCTTCGTTGGAAACGGGATTTCTACATATTATGCTAGACAGAAGAATTCTCAGTAACTTCCTTGTGTTGTGTGTATTCAACTGACAGAGTTGAACTTTCATTTAGAGAGAGCAGATTTGAAACACTGTTTTTGTGGAATTTGCAAGTGGAGATTTCAAGCGCTTTGGGGCCAAAGGCACAAAAGGAAATATCTTCGTATAAAAACTAGACAGAATCATTCTCAGCAAACTGCTGCGTGATGTGTGCGTTCAACTCTCAGAGTTTAACTTTTCTTTTCATTCAGCGGTTTGGAAACACTCTGTTTGTAAAGTCTGCACGTGGAAATTTTGACCACTTAGAGGCCTTCGTTGGAATCGGGTTTTTTTCATGTAAGGCTAGACAGAAGAATTCCCAGTAACTTCCTTGTGTTGTGTACATTCAACTCACAGAGTTGAACGTTCCCTTAGACAGAGCAGATTTGAAACACTCTTTTTGTGCAATTGGCAAGTGGAGATTTCAAGCGCTTTAAGGTCAATGGCATAAAAGGAATTATCTTCGTTTCAAAACTAGACAGAATCATTCCCAAAAACTGCGTTGTGATGTGTTCGTTCAACTCACAGAGTTTAACCTTTCTGTTCATAGAGCAGTTAGGAAACACTCTGTTTGTAAAGTCTGTAAGTAGATATTCTGACATCTTGTGGCCTTCGTTGGAAACGGGATTTCTTCATATTCTGCTAGACAGAAGAAATCTCAGTAACTTCCTTGTGTTGTGTGTATTCAACTCACAGAGTTGAACGATCCTTTACACAGAGCGGACTTGAAACACACTTTTTGTGGAATTTGCAAGTGGAGATTTCAGCCGCGTTGAGGTCAATGGTAGAAAAGGAAATATCTTCGTATAAAAACTAGACAGAATGATTCTGAGAAACTCCTTTGTGATGTGTGCGTTCAACTCACAGAGTTTAACCTTTCTTTTCATAGAGCAGTTAGGAAACACTCTGTTTGTAATGTGTGCAAGTGGATATTCAGACCTCCTTGAGGCCTTTGTTGGAAACGGGATTTCTTCATATTATGCTAGACAAAAGAATTCTCAGTAACTTCCTTGTGTTGTGTGTATTCAACTCACAGAGTTGAACGATCCTTTACACAGATTGGACTTGAAACACTCTTTTTGTGGAATTTGCAAGTGGAGATTTCAGCCGCGTTGAGGTCAATGGTAGAAAAGGAAATATCTTCGTATAAAAACTAGACAGAATGATTCTCAGAAACTCCTTTGTGATGTGTGTGTTCAACTCACAGAGTTTAACCTTTCTTTTCATAGAGCAGTTAGGAAACACTCTGTTTGTAAAGTCTGCAAGTGGATATTCAGACCTCTTTGAGGCCTTCGTTGGAAACGGGATTTTTTCATATAAGGCTAGACAGAAGAATTCCCAGTAACTTTCCTTGTGTTGTGTGTGTTCAACTCACAGAGTTGAACTTTCATTTACACAGAGCAGATTTGAAACACTCTTTTTGTGGAATTTGCAAGTGGAGATTTCAAGCGCTTTGAGGCCAAAGGCAGAAAAGGAAATATCTTCGTTTGAAAACTAGACAGAATCATTCTCAGAAACTGCTCTGCGATGTGTGCGTTCAACTCTCAGAGTTTAACTTTTCTTTTCATTCAGCAGTTTGGAAACACTCTGTTTGTAAAGTCTGCACGTGGATAACTTGACCACTTAGAGGCCTTCGTTGGAAACGGGTTTTTTCATGTAAGGCTAGACAGAAGAATTCCCAGTAACTTCCTTGTGTTGTGTACATTCAACTCACAGAGTTGAACGTTCCCTTAGACAGAGCAGATTTGAAACACTCTTTTTGTGCAATTGGCAAGTGGAGATTTCAAGCGCTTAAGGTCAATGGCAGAAAAGGAAATATCTTCGTTTCAAAACTAGACAGAATGATTCTCAGAAACTCCTTTGTGATGTGTACGTTCAACTCACAGAGTTTAACCTTTCTTTTCATAGAGCAGTTAGGAAACACTCTGTTTGTAAATTCTGTAAGTGGATATTCTGACATCTTGTGGCCTTCGTTGGAAACGGGATTTCTTCATATTCTGCTAGACAGAAGAATTCTCAGTAGCTTCCTTGTGTTGTGTACTTTCAACTCACAGAGTTGAACGATCCTTTACACAGGAGCAGATTAGAAACACTCTTTTTGTGGAATTTGCAAGTGGAGATTTCAGCCGCTTTGAGGTCAATGGTAGAAAAGGAAATATCTTCATAAAAAAACTAGACAGAATGATTCTCAGAAACTCCTTTGTGATGTGTCTGTTCAACTCACAGAGTTTAACCTTTCTTTTCATAGAGCAGTTAGGAAACACTCTGTTTGTAAAGTCTGCAAGTGGATATTCAGACCTCTTTGAGGCCTTCGTTGGAAACGGGTTTTTTTCATATAAGGCTAGACAGAAGAATTCCCAGTAACTTCCTTGTGTTGTGTGTGTTCAACTCACAGAGTTGAACTTTCATTTACACAGAGCAGATTGGAAACACTCTTTTTGTGGAATTTGCAAGTGGAGATTTCAAGCGCTTTGAGGCCAAAGGCAGAAAAGGAAATATCTTCGTATAAAAACTAGACCGAATCATTCTCAGAAACTGCTCTGTGATGTGTGCGTTCAACTCTCAGAGTTTAACTTTTCTTTTCATTCAGCAGTTTGGAAACACTCTGTTTGTAAAGTCTGCACGTGGATAATTTGACCACTTAGAGGCCTTCGTTGGAAACGGGTTTTTTTCATGTAAGGCTAGACAGAAGATTTCTCAGTAACTTCCTTGTGTTGTGTGTATTCAACTCACACAGTTGAACGATCCTTTACACAGAGCAGACTTGTAACACTCTTTTTGTGGAATTTGCAAGTGGAGATTTCAGCCGCTTTGAAGTCAAAGGTAGAAAAGGAAATATCTTCCTATAAAAACTAGACAGAATCATTCCCACAAACTGCGTTGTGATGTGTTCGTTCAACTCACAGAGTTTAACCTTTCTGTTCATAGAGCAGTTAGGAAACACTCTGTTTGTAAAGTCTGTAAGTGGATATTCTGACATCTTGAGGCCTTCGTTGGAAACGGGATTTCTTCATATTCTGCTAGAGAGAAGAATTCTCAGAAACTTCCTTGTGTTGTGTGTATTCAACTCACAGAGTTGAACGATCCTTTACACAGAGCAGACTTGAAACACACTTTTTTTGGTATTTTCAAGTGGAGATTTCAGCAGCTTTGAGTTCAATGGTAGAAAAGGAAATATATTCGTATAAAGACTAGACAGAATGATTCTCAGAAACTACTTTGCGATGTGTGCGTTCAACTCACAGAGTTTAACCTTTCTTTTCATAGAGCAGTTAGGAAACACTCTGTTTGTAAAGTCTGCAAGTGGATATTCAGACCTCCTTGAGGCCTTCGTTGGAAACTGGATTTCTTCATATTATGCTAGACAGAATAATTCTCAGTAACTTCCTTGTGTTGTGTGTATTCAACTCACAGAGTTGAAGGATCCTTTACAGAGAGCAGGCTTGAAACACTCTTTTTCTCGAATTTGCAAGTGGAGATTTCAGCTGCTTTGAGGTCAATGGTAGAATAGGAAATATCTTCTTATAGAAACTAGACAGAATCATTCTCAGAAACTGCTCTGCGATGTGTGCGTTCAACTCTCAGAGTTTAACTTTTCTTTTCATTCAGCAGTGTGGAAACACTCTGTTTGTAAAGTCTGCACGTGGATATTTTGACCACTTAGAGGCCTTCGTTGGAAACGGGTTTTTTTCCCTGTAAGGCTAGACAGAAGAATTCCCAGTAACTTCCTTGTGTTGTGTGCATTCATCTCACAGAGTTGAACGTTCCCTTAGACAGAGCAGATTTGAAACACTCTATTTGTGCAATTTGCAAGTGTAGATTTCAAGCGCTTTAAGGTCAATGGCAGAAAAGGAAATATCTTCGTTTCAAAACTAGACAGAATCATTCCCACAAACTGCGTTGTGATGTGTTCGTTCAACTCACAGAGTTTAACCTTCCTTTTCATAGAGCAGTTAGGAAACACTCTGTTTGTAAAGTCTGCAAGTGGATATTCAGACCTCCTTGAGGCCTTCGTTGGAAACGGGATTTCTTCATATTCTGCTAGACAGAAGAATTCTCAGTAACTTCCTTGTGTTGTGTGTATTCAACTCACAGAGTTGAACGATCCTTTACACAGAGCAGACTTGAAACACTCTTTTTGTGGAATTTGCAAGTGGAGATTTCATCCGCTTTGAGGTCAATGGTAGAATAGGAAATATCTTCCTATAGAAAATAGACAGAATGATTCTCAGAAACTCCGTTGTGATGTGTGCGTTCAACTCACAGAGTTTAACCTTTCTTTTCATAGAGCAGTTGGGAAACACTCTGTTTGTAAAGTCTGCAAGTGGATATTCAGACCTCCTTGAGGCTTTCGTTGGAAACGGGATTTCTTCATATTCTGCTAGAAAGAAGATTTCTCAGAAACTTCCTTGTGTTGTGTGTTTTCAACTCACAGAGTTGAACGATCCTTTACACAGAGCAGACTTGAAACACTCTTTTTGTGGAATTTGCAAGTGGAGATTTCAGCCGCTTTGAGGTCAATTGTAGAAAAGGAAATATCTTCGTATAAAAACTAGACAGAATGATTCTCAGAAACTCCTTTGTGATGTGTGCATTCAACTCACAGAGTTTAACCTTTCTTTTCATAGAGCAGTTAGGAAACACTCTGTTTGTAAAGTCTGCAAGTGGATATTCAGACCTCTTTGATGCCTTCGTTGGAAACGGGATTTCTTCATATTCTGCTAGACAGAAGAATTCCCAGTAACTTACCTTGTGTTGTGTACATTCAACTCACAGAGTTGAACGTTCCCTTAGACAGAGCAGATTTGAAACACTCTTTTTGTGCAATTGGCAAGTGGAGATTTCAAGCGCTTTAAGGTCAATGGCAGAAAAGGAAATATCTTCGTTTCAAAACTAGACAGAATCATTCCCACAAACTGCGTTGTGATGTGTTCGTTCAACTCACAGAGTTTAACCTTTCTGTTCATAGAGCAGTCAGGAAACACTCTGTTTGTAAAGTCTGTAAGTGGATATTCTGACATCTTGTGGCCTTCGTTGGAAACGGGATTTCTTCATATTCTGCTAGACAGAAGAATTCTCAGTAACTTCCTTGTGTTGTGTTTATTCAACTCACAGAGGTGAATGATCCTTTACACAGAGCAGACTTGAAACACTCTTTTTGTGGAATTTGCAAGTGGAGATTTCAGCCGCTTTGAGGTCAATGGTAGAAAAGTAAATATCTTCGTATAAAGACTAGACAGAATGATTCTCAGAAACTCCTTTGTGATGTGTGCGTTCAACTCACAGAGTTTAACTTTTCTTTTCATAGAGCAGTTAGGAAACACTCTATTTGTAAAGTCTGCAAGTGGATATTCAGACCTCTTTGAGGCCATCGTTGGAAACGGGATTTCTTCATATTATGCTAGACAGAAGAATTCTCAGTAACTTCCTTGTGTTGTGTGTATTCAACTCACAGAGTTGAACGATCCTTTACACAGAGCAGACTTGAAACACTCTTTTTGTGGAATTTGCAAGTGGAGATTTCAGCCGCTTTGAGGTCAATGGTAGAATAGGAACTATCTTCCTATAGAAACTAGACAGAACGATTCTCAGAAACTCCTTTGTGATGTGTGCGTTCAACTCACAGAGTTTAACCTTTCTTTTCATAGAGCAGTTAGGAAACACTCTGTTTGTAAAGTCTGCAAGTGGATATTCAGACCCCTTTGAGGCCTGCGTTGGAAACGGGATTTCTTCATATTCTGCTAGACAGAAGAATTCCCAGTAACTTCCTTGTGTTGTGTGTGTTCAACTCACAGAGTTGAACTTTGATTTACACAGAGCAGATTTGAAACACTCTTTTTGTGGAATTTGCAAGTGGAGATTTCAAGCGCTTTCAGGCCAAAGGCAGAAAAGGAAATATCTTCGTATAAAAACTAGACAGAATCATTCTCAGAAACTCCTCTGCGATCTGTGCGTTCAACTCTCAGAGTTTAACTTTTCTTTTCATTCACCAGTTTGGAAACACTCTGTTTGTAAAGTCTGCACGTGGATATTTTGACCACTTAGAGGCCTTCGTTGGAAACGGGTTTTTTTCCTGTAAGGCTAGACAGAAGAATTCCCAGTAACTTCCTTGTGTTGTGTGCATTCAACTCACAGAGTTGAACGTTCCCTTAGACAGAGCAGATTTGAAACACTCTATTTGTGCAATTTGCAAGTGTAGATTTCAAGTGTTTAAGGTCAATGGCAGAAAAGGAAATATCTTCGTTTCAAAACTAGACAGAATCATTCCCACAAACTGCGTTGTGATGTGTTCGTTCAACTCACAGAGTTTAACCTTTCTTTTCATAGAGCAGTTAGGAAACACTCTGTTGGTAAATTCTGTAAGTGGATATTCTGACATCTTGTGGCCTTCGTTGGAAACGGGATTTCTTCATATTCTGCTACACAGAAGAATTCTCAGAATCTTCCTTGTGTTGTGTGTATTCAACTCACAGAGTTGAACGATCCTTTACACAGAGCAGACTTGAAACACTCTTTTTGTAGAATTTGCAAGTGGAGATTTCAGCCGCTTTGAGGTCAATGGTAGAAAAGGAAATATCTTCGTATAAAAACTAGACAGAATGATTCTCAGAAACTCCTTTGTGATGTGTGCGTTCAACTCACAGAGTTTAAACCTTTCTTTTCATAGAGCAGTTAGGAAACACTCTGTTTGTAAAGTCTGCAAGTGGATATTCAGACATCTTTGAGGCTTTCGTTGGAAACGGGATTTCTTCATATTCTGCTAGACAGAAGAATTCTCAGTAACTTCCTTGTGTTGTGTGTATTCAACTCACAGAGTTGAACGATCCTTTACACAGAGCAGGCTTGAAACACTCTTTTTGTGGAATTTGCAAGTGGAGATTTCAGCCGCTTTGAGTTCAATGGTAGAAATGGAAATATCTTCCTATAGAAACTAGACAGAATGATTCTCAGAAACTTCTTTGTGATGTGTGTGTTCAACTCACAGAGTTTAACCTTTCTTTTCATAGAGCAGTTAGGAAACACTCTGTTTGTAAAGTCTGCAAGTGGATATTCAGACCTCTTTGAGGCCTTCGTTGGAAACGGGTTTTTTTCATATAAGGCTAGACAGAAGAATTCCCAGTAACTTCCCTTGTGTTGTGTGTGTTCAACTCACAGAGTTGAACTTTCATTTACCCAGAGCAGATTTGAAACACTCTTTTTGTGGAATTTGCAAGTGGAGATTTCAAGCGCTTTGAGGCCAAAGGCAGAAAAGGAAATATCTTCGTTTCAAAACTAGACAGAATCATTCTCATAAACTGCTGCGTGATGTGTGCGTTCAACTCTCAGAGTTTAACTTTTCTTTTTATTCAGCGGTTTGGAAACACTCTGTTTGTAAAGTCTGCACGTGGATATTTTGACCACTTAGAGGCCTTCGTTGGAAACGGGTTTTTTTCATGTAAGGCTAGACAGAAGAATTCCCAATAACTTCCTTGTGTTGTGTACATTCAACTCACAGAGTTGAACGTTCCCTTAGACAGAGCAGATTTGAAACACTCTTTTTGTGCAATTGGCAAGTGGAGATTTCAAGCGCTTTAAGGTCAATGGCAGAAAAGGAAATCTCTTCGTTTCAAAACTAGACAGAAATCATTCCCACAAACTGCGTTGTGATGTGTTCGTTCAACTCACAGTAGTTTAACCTTTCTGTTCATAGAGCAGTTAGGAAACACTCTGTTTGTAAAGTCTGTAAGTGGATATTCTGACATCTTGTGGCCTTCGTTGGAAACGGGATTTCTTCGTATTCTGCTAGACAGAAGAATTCTCAGTAACTTCCTTGTGTTGTGTGTATTCAACTCACAGAGTTGAACGATCCTTTACACAGAGCGGACTTGAAACACACTTTTTGTGGAATTTGCAAGTGGAGATTTCAGCCACGTTGAGGTCAATGGTAGAAAAGGAAATATCTTCGTATAAAAACTAGACAGAATGATTCTCAGAAACTCCTTTGTGATGTGTGTGTTCAACTCACAGAGTTTAACCTTTCTTTTCATAGAGCAGTTAGGAAACACTCTGTTTGTAAAGTCTGCAAGAGGATATTCAGACCTCTTTGAGGCCTTCGTTGGAAACGGGTTTTTTTCATATAAGGCTAGACAGAAGAATTCCCAGTAACTTCCTTGTGTTGTGTGTGTTCAACTCACAGAGTTGAACTTTCATTTACACAGAGCAGATTTGAAACACTCTTTTTGTGGAATTTGCAAGTGGAGATTTCAAGCGCTTTGAGGCCAAAGGCAGAAAAGGAAATATCTTCTTTTCAAAACTAGACAGAATCATTCTCAGAAACTGCTCTGCGATGTGTGCGTTCAACTCTCAGAGTTTAACTTTTCTTTTCATTCAGCAGTTTGGAAACACTCTGGTTGTAAAGTCTGCACGTGGATAACTTGACCACTTAGAGGCCTTCGTTGGAAACGGGTTTTTTTCCTGTAAGGCTAGACAGAAGAATTCCCAGTAACTTCCTTGTGTTGTGTACATTCAACTCACAGAGTTGAACGTTCCCTTAGACAGAGCAGATTTGAAATACTCTTTTTATGCAATTGGCAAGTGGAAATTTCAAGCGCTTTAAGGTCAATGGCAGAAAAGGAAATATCTTCGTTTCAAAACTAGACAGAATCATTCCCACAAACTGCGTTGTGATGTGTTCGTTCAACTCACAGAGTTTAACCTTTCTGTTCATAGAGCAGTTAGGAAACACTCTGTTTGTAAAGTCTGTAAGTGGATATTCTGACATCATGTGGCCTTCGTTGGAAACGGGATTTCTTCATATTCTGCTAGACAGAAGAATTCTCAGTAACTTCCTTGTGTTGTGTTTATTCAACTCACAGAGTTGAATGATCCTTTACACAGAGCAGACTTGAAACACTCTTTTTGTGGAATTTGCAAGTGGAGATTTCAGCCGCTTTGAGGTCAATGGTAGAAAAGTAAATATCTTCGGATAAACACTAGACAGAATGATTCTCAGAAACTCCTTTGTGATGTGTGTGTTCAACTCACAGAGTTTAACTTTTCTTTTCATAGAGCAGTTAGGAAACACTCTGTTTGTAAAGTCTGCAAGTGGATATTCAGACCTCTTTGAGGCCTTCGTTGGAAACGGGATTTCTTCATATTCTGCTAGACAGAAGAATTCCCAGTAACTTCCTTGTGTTGTGTGTGTTCAACTCACAGAGTTGAACTTTCATTTACACAGAGCAGATTTGAAACACTCTTTTTGTGGAATTTGCAAGTGGAGATTTCAAGCGCTTTGAGGCCAAAGGCAGAAAAGGAAATATCTTCGTTTCAAAACTAGACTGAATCATTCTCAGAAACTGCTCTGCGATGTGTGCGTTCAACTCTCAGAGTTCAACTTTTCTTTTCATTCAGCAGTTTGGAAACACTCTGTTTGTAAAGTCTGCACGTGGATAATTTGACCACTTAGAGGCCTTCGTTGGAAACGGTTTTTTTTTCATGTAAGGCTAGACAGAAGAATTTCCCAGTAACTTCCTTGTGTTGTGTGCATTCAACTCACAGAGTTGAACGTTCCCTTAGACAGAGCAGATTTGAAACACTCTATTTGTGCAATTTGCAAGTGTAGATTTCAAGCGCTTTAAGGTCAATGGCAGAAAAGGAAATATCTTCGTTTCAAAACTAGACAGAATCATTCCCACAAACTGCGTTGTGATGTGTTCGTTCAACTCACAGAAGTTTAACCTTTCTTTTCATAGAGCAGTTAGGAAACAGTCTGTTTGTCAATTCTGTAAGTGGATATTCTGACATCTTGTGGTCTTCGTTGGAAACGGGATTTCTTCATATTCTGCTAGACAGAAGAATTCTCAGTAACTTCCTTGTGTTGTGTGTATTCAACTCACAGAGTTGAACGATCTTTTACACAGAGCAGACTTGAAACATTCTTTTTGTGGAATTTGCAAGTGGAGATTTCAGCCGCTTTGAGGTCAATGGTAGAATAGGAAATATCTTCCTATAGAAACTAGACAGAATGATTCTCATAAACTCCTTTGTGATGTGTGCATTCAACTCACAGAGTTTCACCTTTCTTTTCATAGAGCAGTTAGGAAACACTCTGTTTGTAAAGTCTGCAAGTGGATATTCAGGCCTCTTGAGGCCTTCGTTGGAAACGGGATTTCTTCATATTCTGCTAGACAGAATAATTCTCAGTAACTTCCTTCTGTTGTGTGTATTCAACTCACAGAGTTGAAGGATCCTTTACAGAGAGCAGGCTTGAAACACTCTTTTTGTCGAATTTGCAAGTGGAGATTTCAGCCGCTTTGAGGTCAATGGTAGAATAGGAAATATCTTCTTATAGAACCTAGACAAAATGATTCTCAGAAACTTCTTTGTGATGTGTGCGTTCAACTCACAGAGTTTAACCTTTCTTTTCATAGAGCAGTTAGGAAACACTCTGTTTGTAAACTCTGCAAGTGGATATTCAGACCTCTTTGAGGCCTTCGTTGGAAACGGGATTTCTTCATACTATGATAGACAGAAGAATTCTCAGTAACTTCTTTGTGTTGTGTGTATTCAACTCACAGAGTTGAACGATCCTTTACACAGAGCAGACTTGAAACACTCTATTTGTAGAATTTGCAAGTGGAGATTTCAGCCGCTTTGAGGTCAATAGTAGAAAAGGAAATATCTTCGTAGAAAAACTAGACAGAACGATTCTCAGAAACTCCTTTGTGATGTGTGCGTTCAACTCACAGAGTTTAACCTTTCTTTTCATAGAGCAGTTAGGAAACACTCTGTTTGTAAAGTCTGCAAGTGGATATTCAGACCTCTTTGAGACCTTCGTTGGAAACGGGATTTCTTCATATTCTGCTAGACAGAAGAATTCTCAGTAACTTTCCTTGTGTTGTGTGTATTCAACTGACAGAGTTGAACTTTCATTTAGAGAGAGCAGATTTGAAACACTGTTTTTGTGGAATTTGCCAGTGGAGATTTCAAGCGCTTTGGGGCCAAAGGCAGAAAAGGAAATATCTTCGTATAAAAACTAGACAGAATCATTCTCAGAAACTGCTCTGCGATGTGTGCCTTCAGCTCTCAGAGTTTAACTTTTCTTTTCATTCAGCAGTTTGGAAACACTCTGTTTGTAAAGTCTGCACGTGGATATTTTGACCACTTAGAGGTCTTCGTTGGAAACGGGTTTTTGTCATGTAAGGCTAGACAGAAGAATTCCCAGTAACTTCCTTGTGTTGTGTGCATTCAACTCACAGAGTTGAACGTTCCCTTAGACACAGCAGATTTGAAACACTCTATTTGTGCAATTTGCAAGTGTAGATTTCAAGCGCTTTAAGGTCAATGGCAGAAAAGGAAATATCTTCGTTTCAAAACTAGACAGAATCATTCCCACAAACTGCGTTGTGATGTGTTCGTTCAACTCACAGAGTTTAACCTTTCTGTTCATAGAGCAGTTAGGAAACACTCTGTTTGTAAAGTCTGTAAGTGGATATTCAGACCTCCTTGAGGCTTTCGTTGGAAACGGGATTTCTTCATATTCTGCTAGACAGAGGAATTCTCAGTAACTTCCTTGTGTTGTGTGTATTCAACTCACAGAGTTGAACGATCCTTTACCCAGAGCAGACTTGAAACACTCTTTTTGTGGAATTTGCAAGTGGAGATTTCAGCCGCTTTGAGGTCAATGGTAGAATAGGAAATATCTTCCTATAGAAACTAGACAGAATTATTCTCAGAAACTCCTTTGTGATGTGTGCGTTCAACTCACAGAGTTTAACCTTTCTTTTCATAGAGCAGTTAGGAAACACTCTGTTTGTAAAGTCTGCAAGTGGATATTCAGACCTCTTTGAGGCCTTCGTTGGAAACGTGATTTCTTCATATTCTGCTAGACAGAAAGAATTCTCAGTAACTTCCTTGTGTTGTGTGTATTCAACTCACAGAGTTGAACGATCCTTTACACAGAGCAGACTTGAAACACTCTTTTTGTGGAATTTGCAAGTGAAGATTTCAGCCGCTTTGAGGTCAATGGTAGAATAGGAAATATCTTCCTATAGAAAATAGACAGAATGATTCTCAGAAACTCCCTTGTGATGTGTGCGTTCAACTCACAGAGTTTAACCTTTCTTTTCATAGAGCAGTTAGGAGACACTCTGTTTGTAAAGTCTGCAAGTGGATATTCGGACCTCTTTGAGGCCTTCATTGGAAACGGGATTTCTTCATATTCTGCTAGACAGAAGAATTCTCAGTAACTTCTTTGTATTGTGTGTATTCAACTCACAGAGTTGAACGATCCTTTACACAGAGCAGACTTGAAACACTCTTTTTGTGGAATTTGCAAGTGGAGATTTCATCCGATTTGAGGTCAATGGTAGAATAGGAAATATCTTCCTATGGAAACTAGACAGAATGATTCTCAGAAACTCCTTTGTGATGCGTGTGTTCAACTCACAGAGTTTAACCTTTCTTTTCATAGAGCAGTTAGTAAACACTCTGTTTATAAAGTCTGCAAGTGGATATTCAGACCCCTTTGAGGCCTTCGTTGGAAACGGGATTTCTTCATATTATGCTAGACAGAAGAATTCTCAGTAACTTCCTTGTGTTGTGTGTATTCAACTGACAGAGTTGAACTTTCATTTAGAGAGAGCAGATTTGAAACACTGTTTTTGTGGAATTTGCAAGTGGAGATTTCAAGCGCTTTGGGGCCAAAGGCAGAAAAGGAAATTTCTTCGTATAAAAACTAGACAGAATCATTCTCAGAAACTGCTGCGTGATGTGTGCGTTCAACTCTCAGAGTTTAACTTTTCTTTTCATTCAGCGGTTTGGAAATACTCTGTTTGTAAAGTCTGCACGTGGACATTTTGACCACTTAGAGGCCTTCTTTGGAAACGGGTTTTTTTCATGCAAGGCTAGACAGAAGAATTCCCAGTAACTTCCTTGTGTTGTGTGCATTCAACTCACAGAGTTGAACGTTCCCTTAGACAGAGCAGATTTGAAACACTCTATTTGTGCAATTTGCAAGTGTAGATTTCAAGCGCATTAAGGTCAATGGCAGAAAAGGAAATATCTTCGTTTCAAAATTAGACAGAATCATTCCCACAAACTGCGTTGTAATGTGTGCGTTCAACTCACAGAGTTTAACCTTTCTTTTCATAGAGCAGTTAGGAAACACTCTGTTTGTAAAGTCTGCAAGTGGATATTCAGACCTCTTTGAGGCCTTCGTTGGAAACGGGATTTCTTAATATTCTGCTAGACAGAAGAATTCTCAGTAACTTCCTTGTGTTGTGTGTATTCAACTCACAGAGTTGAACGATCCTTTACAAAGAGCAGACTTGAAACACTCTTTCTGTGGAATTTGCAATTGGAGATTTCAGCCGCTTTGAGGACAATGGTAGAATAGGAAATATCTTCCTATAGAAACTAGACAGAATGATTCTCATAAACTCCTTTGTGATGTGTGCGTTCAACTCACAGAGTTTAACCTTTCTTTTCATAGTGCAGTTAGGAAACACTCTGTTTCTAAACTCTGCAAGTGGATATTCAGACATCCTTGAGGCCTTCGTTGGAAACGGGATTTCTTCATATTCTGCTAGACAGAAGAATTCTCAGTAACTTCCTTGTGTTGTGTGTATTCAACTCACAGAGTTGAACGATCCTTTACACAGAGCACACTTGAAACACTCCTTTTGTGGAATTTGCAAGTGGAGATTTCAGCCGCTTTGAGGTCAATAGTAGAAAAGGAAATATCTTCGTAGAAAAACTAGACAGAATGATTCTCAGAAACTTCTTTGTGATGTGTGCGTTCAACTCACAGAGTTTATCCTTTCTTTTCATAGAGCAGTTAGGAAACACTCTGTTTGTAAACTCTGCAAGTGGATATTCAGACCTCTTTGAGGCCTTCGTTGGAAACGGGATTTCTCCATACTGTGCTAGACAGAAGAATTCTCAGTAACTTCCCTTGTGTTGTGTGTATTCAAGTGACAGAGTTGAACTTTCATTTAGAGAGAGCAGATTTGAAACACTGTTTTTGTGGAATTTGCACGTGGAGATTTCAAGCGCTTTGGGGCCAAAGGCAGAAAAAGATATATCTTCGTATAAAAACTAGACAGAATCATTCTCAGAAACTGCTCTGCGATGTGTGCGTTCAACTCTCAGGAGTTTAACTTTTCTTTTCATTCAGCAGTTTGGAAACACTCTGTTTGTAAAGTCTGCACGTGGATATTTTGACCACTTAGAGGCCTTCGTTGGAAATGGGTTTTTTTCCTGTAAGGCTAGACAGAAGAATTCCCAGTAACTTCCTTGTGTTGTGTACATTCAACTCACAGAGTTGAACGTTCCCTTAGACAGAGCAGATTTGAAACACTCTTTTTGTGCAATTGGCAAATGGAGATTTCAAGCGCTTTAAGTTCAATGGCAGAAAAGGAAATATCTTCGTTTCAAAACTAGACAGAATCATTCCCACAAACTGCGTTGTGATGTGTTCGTTCAACTCACAGAGTTTAACCTTTCTGTTCATAGAGCAGTTAGGAAACACTCTGTTTGTAAAGTCTGTAAGTGGATATTCGGACATCTTGTGGCCTTCGTTGGAAACGGGATTTCTTCATATTCTGCTACACAGAAGAATTCTCAGAATCTTCCTTGTGTTGTGTGTATTCAACTCACAGAGTTGAACGATACTTTACACAGAGCAGACTTGAAACACTCTTTTTGTGGAATTTGCAAGTGGAGATTTCAGCCGCTTTGAGGTCCATGGTAGAAAAGGAAATATCTTCGTATAAAAACTAGACAGAATGATTCTCAGAAACTCCTTTGTGATGTGTGCGTTCAACTCACAGAGTTTAACCTTTCTTTTCATAGAGCAGTTAGGAAACACTCTGTTTGTAAAGTCTGCAAGTGGATATTCGGACCTCTTTGAGGCCTTCGTTGGAAACGGGTTTTTTTCATATAAGGCTAGATAGAAGAATTCTCAGTAACTTCCCTGTGTTGTGTGTATTCAACTCACAGAGTTGAACGATCCTTTACACAGAGCAGACTTGTAACACTCTTTTTGTGGAATTTGCAAGTGGAGATTTCAGCCGCTTTGAAGTCAAAGGTAGAAAAGGAAATATCTTCCTATAAAAACTAGACAGAATCATTCTCAGAAACTGCTGCGTGATGTGTGCGTTCAACTCTCAGAGTTTAACTTTTCTTTTCATTCAGCGGTTTGGAAACACTCTGTTTGTAAAGTCTGCACGTAGATATTTTGACCACTTAGAGGCCTTCGTTGGAAACGGGTTTTTTTCATGTAAGGCTAGACAGAAGAATTCCCAGGAACTTCCTTGTGTTGTGTACATTCAACTCACAGAGTTGAACGTTCCCTTAGACAGAGCAGATTTGAAACACTGTTTTTGTGCAATTGGCAAGTGGTGATTTCAGCCGCTTTGAGGTCAATGGTAGAAAAGGAAATATCTTCGTATAAAAACTAGACAGAATGATTCTCAGAAACTCCTTTGTGATGTGTGCGTTCAACTCACAGAGTTTAACCTTTCTTTTCATAGAGCAGTTAGGAAACACTCTGTTTGTAAATTCTGCAAGTGGATATTCAGACCTCCTTGAGGCCTTCGTTGGAAACGGGATTTCTTCATATTCTGCTATACAGAAGAATTCTCAGAAACTTCCTTGTGTTTTGTGTATTCAACTCACAGATTTGAACGATCCTTTACACAGAGCAGACTTGAAACACTCTTTTTCTGGAATTTGCAAGTGGAGATTTCAGCCGCTTTGAGGTCAATGGTAGAAAAGGAAATATCTTCGTATAAAAACTAGACAGAATGATTCTCAGAAACTCCTTTGTGATGTGTGTGTCCAACTCACAGAGTTTAACCTTTCTTTTCATAGAGCAGTTAGGAAACACTCTGTTTGTAAAGTCTGCAAGAGGATATTCAGACCTCTTTGAGGCCTTCTTTGGAAACGGGATTTTTTCATATAAGGCTAGACAGAAGAATTCCCAGTAACTTCCTTGTGTTGTGTGTGTTCAACTCTGTGAGTTGAACTTTCATTTACACAGAGCAGATTGGAAACACTCTTTTTGTGGAATTTGCAAGTGGAGATTTCAAGCGCTTTGAGGCCAAAGGCAGAAAAGGAAATATCTTCGTATAAAAACTAGACAGAATTATTCTCAGAAACTGCTGCGTGATGTGTGCGTTCAACTCTCAGAGTTTAACTTTTCTTTTCATTCAGCGGTTTGGAAACACTCTGTTTGTAAAGTCTGCACGTGGATATTTTGACCACTTAGAGGCCTTCGTTGGAAACGGGTTTTTTTTCATGTAAGGCTAGACAGAAGAATTCTCAATAACTTCCTTGTGTTGTGTGTATTCAACTGACAGAGTTGAACCTTCCTTCAGACAGAGCAGATTTGCAACAGTCTTTTTGTGTAATTTGCAAGTGGAGATTTCAAGCGCTTTGAGGCCAAAGGCAGAAAAGGAAATATCTTCGTATAAAAACTAGACAGAATGATTCTCAGAAACTCCTTTGTGATGTGTATGTTCAACTTACAGAGTTTAACTTTTCTATTCATAGAGTAGTTAGGAAACACTCTGTTTGTAAAGTCTGCAAGTGGATATTTTGACCTCTTTGAGGCCTTCGTTGGAAACGGGTTTTTTTCATGTAAGGCTAGACAGAAGAATTCTCAGTAACTTCCGCGTGTTGTGTGTATTCAACTCACAGAGTTGAACGATCCTTTACACAGAGCAGACTTGTAACACTCTTTTTGTGGAATTTGTAAGTGGAGATTTCAGCCGCTTTGAAGTCAAAGGTAGAAAAGGAAATATCTTCCTATAAAAACTAGACAGAATGATTCTCAGAAACTCCTTTGTGATGGGTGCGTTCAACTCACAGAGTTTAACCTTTCTTTTCATAGAGCAGTTAGGAAACACTCTGTTTGTAAAGTCTGCAAGTGGATATTCAGACCTCTTTGAGACCTTCGTTGGAAACGGGTTTTTTTCATATAAGGCTAGACAGAAGAATTCTCAGTAACTTCCTTGTGTTGTGTGTGTTCAACTCACAGAGTTGAACTTTCATTTACACAGAGCAGATTTGAAACACTCTTTTTGTGGAATTTGCAAATGGAGATTTCAAGCGCTTTGAGGCCAAAGGCAGAAAAGGAAATATCTTCGTATAAAAACTAGACAGAATCATTCTCAGAAACTGCTCTGTGATGTGTGCGTTCAACTCTCAGAGTTTAACTTTTGTTTTCATTCAGCAGTTTGGAAACACTCTGTTTGTAAAGTCTGCACGTGGATATTTTGACCACTTAGAGGCATTCGTTGGAAACGGGTTTTTTTCATGTAAGGCTAGACAGAAGAATTCCCAGTAACTTCCTTGTGTTGGGTGCATTCAACTCACAGAGTTGAACGTTCCCTTAGACAGAGCAGATTTGAAACACTCTATTTGTGCAATTTGCAAGTGTAGATTTCAAGCGCTTTAAGGTCAATGGAAGAAAAGGAAATATCTTCGTTTCAAAACTAGACAGAATCATTCCCACAAACTGCGTTGTGATGTGTTCGTTCAACTCACAGAGTTTAACCTTTCTGTTCATAGAGCAGTTAGGAAACACTCTGTTTGTAAAGTCTGTAAGTGGATATTCTGACATCTTGTGGCCATCGTTGGAAACGGGATTTCTTCATATTCTGCTAGACAGAAGAATTCTCAGAAACTTCCTTGTGTTGTGTGTATTCAACTCACAGAGTTGAACGATCGTTTACACAGAGCAGACTTGAGACACTCTTTTTGTGGAATTTGTAAGTGGAGATTTCAGCCGCTTTGAGGTCAATGGTAGAAAAGGAAATATCTTCGTATAAAAACTAGACAGAACGATTCTCAGAAACTCCTTTGTGATGTGTGCGTTCAACTCACAGAGTTTAACCTTTCTTTTCATAGAGCAGTTAGGAAACACTCTGTTTATAAAGTCTGCAAGTGGATATTCAGACCCCTTTGAGGCCTTCGTTGGAAACGGGATTTCTTCATATTATGCTAGACAGAAGATTTCCCAGTAACTTCCTTGTGTTGTGTGTGTTCAACTCACAGAGTTGAACTTTCATTTACACAGAGCAGATTTGGAACACTCTTTTTGTGGAATTTGCAAATGGAGATTTGAAGCGCTTTGAGGCCAAAGGCAGAAAAGGAAATATCTTCGTATAAAAACTAGACAGAATCATTCTCCGAAGCTGCTGACTGATGTGTGCGTTCAACTCTCAGAGTTTAACTTTTCTTTTCATTCAGCGGTTTGGAAACACTCTGTTTGTGAAGTCTGCACGTGGATATTTTGACCACTTAGAGGCCTTCGTTGGAAACGGGTTTTTTGCATGTAAGGCTAGACAGAAGAATTCTCAGTAACTTCCTTGTGTTGTGTGCATTCAACTCACAGAGTTGAACGTTCCCTTAGACACAGCAGATTTGAAACACTCTATTTGTGCAATTTGCAAGTGTAGATTTCAAGCGCTTTAAGGTCAATGGCAGAAAAGGAAATATCTTCGTTTCAAAGCTAGACAGAATCATTCCCACAAACTGCGTTGTGATGTGTTCGTACAACTCACAGAGTTTAACCTTTCTGTTCATAGAGCAGTTAGGAAACACTCTGTTTGTAAAGTCTGTAAGTGGATATTCTGACATCTTGTGGCCTTCGTTGGAAACGGGATTTCTTCATATTCTGCTAGACAGAAGAATTCTCAGTAACTTCCTTGTGTTGTGTTTATTCAACTCACAGAGTTGAATGATCCTTTACACAGAGCAGACTTGAAACACTCTTTTTGTGGAATTTGCAAGTGGAGATTTCAGCCGCTTTGAGGTCAATGGTAGGAAAGGAAATATCTTCGTATAAAGACTAGACAGAATGATTCTCAGAAACTCCTTTGTGATGTGTGCGTTCAACTCACACAGTTTAACCTTTCTTATCATAGAGCAGTTAGGAAACACTCTGTTTGTAAAGTCTGCAAGTGGATATTCCGACCTCCTTGAGGCCTTCGTTGGAAACGGGATTTCTTCATATTATGCTAGACAGAAGAATTCTCAGTAACTTCCTTGTGTTGTGTGTATTCAACTCACAGAGTTGAACGATCCTTTACACAGAGCAGATTTGAAACACTCTTTTTGTGGAATTTGCAAGTGGAGATTTCAGCCGCTTTGAGGTCAATGGTAGAAAAGGAAATATCTTCGTATAAAGACTAGACAGAGTGATTCTCAGAAACTCCTTTGTGATGTCTGCGTTCAACTCACAGAGTTTAACCTTTCTTTTAATAGAGCAGTTAGGAAACACTCTGTTTGTAAAGTCTGCAAGTGGATATTCAGACCTCCTTGAGGCCTTCGTTGGAAACGGGATTTCTACATATTATGCTAGACAGAAGAATTCTCAGTAACTTCCTTGTGTTGTGTGTATTCAACTCACAGAGTTGAACGATCCTTCACACAGAGCAGACTTGAAACACTCTTTTTGTGGAATTTGCAAGTGGAGATTTCAGCCGCTTTGAGGTCAATGGTAGAAAAGGAAATATCTTCGTATAAAGACTAGACAGAATGATTCTCAGAAACTCCTTAGTGATGTGTGCGTTCAACTCACAGAGTTTAACCTTTCTGTTCATAGAGCAGTTAGGAAACACTCTGTTTGTAAAGTATGCAAGTGGATATACAGACCTCCTTGAGGCCTTCGTTGGAAACGGGATTTCTTCATATTCTGCTAGACAGAAGAATTCTCAGTAACTTCCTTGTGTTGTGTGTATTCAACTCACAGAGTTGAACGGTTCTTTACACAGAGCAGATTTGAGACACTCTTTTTGTGGAATTTGTAAGTGGAGATTTCAGCCGCTTTGAGGTCAGTGGTAGAAAAGGAAATATCTTCGTATAAAAACTAGACAGAATGATTCTCAGAAACTCTTTGTGATGTGTGTGTTCAACTCACAGAGTTTAACCTTTCTTTTCATAGAGCAGTTAGGAAACGCTCTGTTTGTAAAGTCTGCAAGTGGATATTCAGACCTCGTTGAGACCTTCGTTGGAAACGGGATTTCTTCATATTCTGCTAGACAGAAGAATTCTCAGTAACTTCTTTGTGTTGTGTGTATTCAACTCACAGAGGTGAACGATCCTTTACACAGAGCAGACTTGAAACACTCTTTTTGTGGAATTTCAAGTGGAGATTTCAGCCGCTTTGAGGTCAATGGTAGAATAGGAAATATCTTCCTATAGAAACTAGACAGAATGATTCTCAGAAACTCCTTTGTGATGTGTGCGTTCAACTCACAGAGTTTAACCTTTCTCTCCATTGAGCAGTTAGGAAACACTCTGTTTGTAAAGTCTGCAAGTGGATATTCAGACCTCCTAGAGGCCTTCTTTGGAAACAGGCTTTCTTCATATTATGCTAGACAGAAGAATTCTCAGAAACTTCTTTGTGTTGTGTGTATTCAACTCACAGAGTTGAACGATCCTTTACACAGAGCAGACTTGAAACACTCTTTTTGTGGAATTTGCAAGTGGAGATTTCAGCCGCTTTGAGGTCAATGGTAGAATAGGAAATATCTTCCTATAGAAACTAGACAGAATGATTCTCAGAAACTCCTTTGTGATGTGTGCGATCAACTCACAGAGTTTAACTTTTCTTTTCATAGAGCAGTTAGGAAACACTCTGTTTGTAAAGTCTGCAAGTGGATATTCAGACCTCTTTGAGGCCTTCGTTGGAAACGGGATTTCTTCATATTATGCTAGACAGAAGAATTCTCAGTAACTTCCTTGTGTTGTGTGTATTCAACTGACAGAGTTGAACTTTCATTTACACAGAGCAGATTTGAAACACTCTTTTTGTGGAATTTGCAAATGGAGATTTCAAGCGCTTTGAGGCCAAAGGCAGAAAAGGAAATATCTTCGTATAAAAACTAGACAGAATCATTCTCAGAAACTGCTGCATGATGTGTGCGTTCAACTCTCAGAGTTTAACTTTTCTTTTCATTCAGCGGTTTGGAAACACTCTGTTTGTAAAGTCTGCACGTGGAAATTTTGACCACTTAGAGGCCTTCGTTGGAAACGGGTTTTTTTCATGTAAGGCTAGACAGAAGAATTCCCAGTAACTTCCTTGTGTTGTGTGCATTCAACTCACAGAGTTGAACGTTCCCTTAGACAGAGCAGATTTGAAACACTCTATTTGTGCAATTTGCAAGTGTAGTTTTCAAGCTCTTTAAGGTCAACGGCAGAAAAGGAAATATCTTGGTTTCAAAACTAGACAGAATCATTCCCACAAACTGCGTTGTGATGTGTTCGTTCAACTCACAGTGTTTAACCTTTCTGTTCATAGAGCAGTTAGGAAACACTCTGTTTGTAAAGTCTGCAAGTGGATATTCAGACCTCCTTGAGGCCTTCGTTGGAAACGGGATTTCTTCATATTCTGCTAGACAGAAGAATTCTAAGTAACTTCCTTGTGTTGTGTGTATTCAACTCACAGAGTTGAACGATCCTTTACACAGAGCAGACTTGAAACACTCTTTTTGTGGAATTTGCAAGTGGAGATTTCAGCCGCTTTGAGGTCAATGGTAGAAAAGGAAACTATCTTCATATAAAGACTAGACAGAATGATTCTCATAAACTCCTTTGTGATGTGTGCGTTCAACTCTCAAAGTTTAACTTTTCTTTTCATAGAGCAGTTAGGAAACACTCTGTTTGTAAAGTCTGCAAGTGGATATTCAGACCTCTTTGAGGCCTTCTTTGGAAACGGGATTTCTTCATATTATGCTAGACAGAAGAATTCTCAGTAACTTCCCTGTGTTGTGTGTATTCAACTGACAGAGTCGAACTTTCATTTAGAGAGAGCAGATTTGAAACACTGTTTTTGTGGAATTTGCAAGTGGAGATTTCAAGCGCTTTGGGGCCAAAGGCAGAAAAGGAAATATCTTCGTATAAAAACTAGACAGAATCATTCTCAGAAACTGCTCTGCGATGTGTGCGTTCAACTCTCAGAGTTTAACTTTTCTTTTCATTCAGAAGTTTGGAAACACTCTGTTTGTAAAGTCTGCACGTGGATAACTTGAACACTTAGAGGCCTTCGTTGGAAACGGGTTTTTTTCATGTAAGGCTAGACAGAAGAATTCTCAGTAACTTCCTTGTATTGTGTGTATTCAACTCACAGAGTTGAACGATCCTTTGCACAGAGCACACTTGTAACACTCTTTTTGTGGAATTTGCAAGTGGAGATTTCAGCCGCTTTGAAGTCAAAGGTAGAAAAGGAAATAACTTCCTATAAAAACTAGACAGAATGATTCTCATAAACTCCTTTGTGATGTGTGCGTTGAACTCACAGAGTTTAACCTTTCTTTTCATAGAGCAGTTAGGAAACACTCTGTTTGTAAAGTCTGTAAGTGGATATTCTGACATCTTGTGGCCTTCTTTGGAAACGGGATTTCTTCATATTGTGCTAGACGGAAGAATTCTCCGTAACTTCCTTGTGTTGTGTGTATTCAACTCACAGAGTTGAACGATCCTTTACACAGAGCAGACTTGTAACACTCTTTTTGTGGAATTTGCAAGTGGAGATTTCAGCCGCTTTGAAGTCAAAGGTAGAAAAGGAAATATCTTCCTATAAAAATTAGACAGAATGATTCTCAGAAACTCCTTTGTGATGTGTGCGTTCAACTCACACAGTTTAACTTTTCTTTTCATACAGCAGTTAGGAAACACTCTGTTTGTAAAGTCTGCAAGTGGATATTCAGACCTCCTTGAGGCCTTCTTTGGAAACGGGATTTCTTCATATTATGCTAGACAGAAGAATCCCCAGTAACTTCCTTGTGTTGTGTGTGTTCAACTCACAGAGTTGAACTTTGATTTACACAGAGCAGATTTGAAACACTCTTTTTGTGGAATTTGCAAGTGGAGATTTCAAGCGCTTTGGGGCCAAAGGCAGAAAAGGAAATATCTTCGTATAAAAACTAGACAGAATCATTCTCAGAAACTGCTCTGCGATGTGTGCGTTCAATTCTGAGTTTAACTTTTCTTTTCATTCAGCAGTTTGGAAACACTCTGTTTGTAAAGTCTGCACGTGGATATTTTGACCACTTAGAGGCCTTCGTTGGAAACGGGTTTTTTTCCTGTAAGGCTATACAGAAGAATTCCCAGTAACTTCCTTGTGTTGTGTACATTCAACTCACAGAGTTGAACGATCCCTTAGACAGAGCAGATTTGAAACACTCTTTTTGTGCAATTGGCAAGTGGAGACTTCAAGCGCTTTAAGGTCAATGGCAGAAAAGGAAATATCTTCGTTTCAAAACTAGACAGAATCATTCCCACAAACTGCGTTGTGATGTGTTCGTTCAACTCACAGAGTTTAACCTTTCTGTTCGTAGAGCAGTTAGGAAACACTCTGTTTGTAAAGTCTGTAAGTGGATATTCTGACATCTTGTGGCCTTCGTTGGAAACGGGATTTCTTCATATTCTGCTAGACAGAAGAATTCTCAGTAACTTCCTTGTGTTGTGTGTATTCAACTCACAGAGTTGAACGATCCTTTACAGAGAGCAGACTTGAAACACTCTTTTTGTGGAATTTGCAAGTGGAGATTTCAGCCGCTTTGAGGTCTATGGTAGAAAAGGAAATGTCTTCGTATAAAGACTAGACAGAACGATTCTCAGAAACTCCTTTGTGATGTGTGTGTTCAACTCACAGAGTTTAACCTTTCTTTTCATAGAGCAGTTAGTAAACACTCTGTTTATAAAGTCTGCAAGTGGATATTCAGACCCCTTTGTGGCCTTCTTTGGAAACGGGATTTCTTCATATTATGCTAGACAGAAGAATTCTCAGTAACTTCCTTGTGTTGTGTGTATTCAACTCACAGTAGTTGAACGACCCTTTACACAGAGTAGACTTGAAACACTCTTTTTGTTGAATTTGCAAGTGGAGATTTCAGCCGCTTTGAGGTCAATGGTAGAATAGGAAATATCTTCCTATAGAAACTAGACAGAATGATTCTCAGAAACTCCTTTGTGATGTGTGAGTTCAACTCACAGAGTTTAACCTTTCTTTTCATAGAGTAGTTAGGAAACACTCTGTTTGTAAAGTCTGCAAGTGGATATTCAGACCTCTTTGAGGCCTTCGTTGGAAACGGGATTTTTTCATATAAGGCTAGAGAGAAGAATTCCCAGTAACTTCCTTGTGTTGTGTGTGTTCAACTCACAGAGTTGAACTTTCATTTAGTCAGAGCAGATTTGAAACACTCTTTTTGTGGAATTTGCAAATGGAGATTTCAAGCGCTTTGAGGCCAAAGGCAGAAAAGGAAATATCTTCGTATAAAAACTAGACAGAATAATTCTCAGAAACTGTTCTGCGATGTGTGCGTTCAACTCTCAGAGTTTAACTTTTCTTTTCATTCAGCAGTTTGGAAACACTCTGTAAACTCTGCATGTGGATATTTTGACCACTTAGAGGCCTTCGTCGGAAACGGGTTTTTTTCCTGTAAGGCTAGACAGAAGAATTCCCAGTAACTTCCTTGTGTTGTGTACATTCAACTCACAGAGTTGAACGTTCCCTTAGACAGAGCAGATTTGAAACAATCTTTTTGTGCAATTGGCAAGTGGTGATTTCAGCCGCTTTGAGGTCAATGGTAGAAAAGGAAATATCTTCGTATAAAAACTAGACAGAATCATTCCCACAAAACTGCGTTGTGATGTGTTCGTTCAATTCACAGAGTTTAACCTTTCTGTTCATAGAGCAGTTAGGAAACACTCTGTTTGTAAAGTCTGTAAGTGGATATTCTGACATCTTGTGGCCTTCGTTGGAAACGGGATTTCTTCGTATTCTGCTAGACAGAAAGAATTCTCAGTAACTTCCTTGTGTTGTGTGTATTCAACTCACAGAGTTGAACGATCCTTTACACAGAGCAGACTTGAATCACTCTTTTTGTGGAATTTGCAAGTGGAGATTTCAGCCGCTTTGAGGTCAATAGTAGAAAAGGAAATATCTTCGTAGAAAAACTAGACAGATGATTCTCAGAAACTCCTTTGTGATGTGTGCGTTCAACTCACAGAGTTTAAACTTTCTTTTCATAGAGCAGTTAGGAAACACTCTGTTTGTAAAGTCTGCAAGTGGATATTCAGACCTCTTTGAGGCCTTCGTTGGAAACGGGATTTCTTCATATTCTGCTAGACAGAAGAATTCCCAGTAACTTCCTTGTGTTGTGTGTGTTCAACTCACAGAGTTGAACTTTCATTTACAAAGAGCAGATTTGAAACACTCTTTTTGTGGAATTTGCAAGTGGAGATTTCAAGCGCTTTGAGGCCAAAGGCAGAAAAGGAAATATCTTCGTATAAAAACTAGACAGAATCATTCTCAGAAACTGCTGCGTGATGTGTGCGTTCAACTCTCAGGAGTTTAGCTTTTCTTTTCATTCAGCGGTTTGGAAACACTCTGTTTGTAACGTCTGCACGTGGATATTTTGACCACTTAGAGGCCTTCGTTGGAAACGGGTTTTTTGCATGTAAGGCTAGACAGAAGAATTCCCAGTAACTTCCTTGTGTTGTGTGCATTCAACTCACAGAGTTGAACGTTCCCTTAGACAGAGCAGATTTGAAACACTCTATTTGTGCAATTTGCAAGTGTAGATTTCAAGCGCTTTAAGGTCAATGGCAGAAAAGGAAATTTCTTCGTTGCAAAACTAGACAGAATCATTCCCACAAACTGCGTTGTGATGTGTTCGTTCATCTCACAGAGTTTAACCTTTCTTTTCGTAGAGCAGTTAGGAAACAGTCTGTTTGTAAATTCTGTAAGTGGATATTCTGACATACTTGTGGCCTTCGTTGGAAACGGGATTTCTTCATATTCTGCTAGACAGAAGAATTCTCAGAATCTTCCTTGTGTTGTGTGTATTCAACTCACAGAGTTGAACGATCCTTTACACAGAGCAGACTTGAAACACTCTTTTTGTGGAATTTGCAAGTGGAGATTTCAGCCGCTTTGAGGTCCATGGTAGAAAAGGAAATCTCTTCGTATAAAAACTAGACAGAATGATTCTCAGAAAATCCTGTGTGATGTGTGCGTTCATCTCACAGAGTTTAACCTTTCTTTTCATAGAGCAGTTAGGAAACACTCTGTTTGTAAAGTCTGCAAGTGGATATTCAGACCTCCTTGAGGCCTTCCTTGGAAACGGGATTTCTTCATATTCTGCTAGACAGAAGAATTCTCAGTAACTTCCTTGTGTTGTGTGTATTCAACTGACAGAGTTGGACTATCATTTTGAGAGAGCAGATTTGAAACACTGTTTTTGTGGAATTTGCAAGTGGAGATTTCAAGCGCTTTGGGGCCAAAGGCAGAAAAGGAAATATCTTCGTATAAAAACTAGACAGAATCATTCTCAGAAACTGCTCTGCGATGTGTGCGTTCAACTCTCAGAGTTTAACTTTTCTTTTCATTCAGCAGTTTGAAAACACTCTGTTTGTAAAGTCTGCACGTGGATAATTTGACCACATAGAGGCCTTCGTTGGAAACGGGTTTTTTTCATGTAAGGCTAGACAGAAGAATTCCCAGTAACTTCCTTGTGTTGTGTGCATTCAACTCACAGAGTTGAACGTTCCCTTAGACAGAGCAGATTTGAAACACTCTATTTGCGCAACTTGCAAGTGTAGATTTCAAGCGCTTTAAGGTCAATGGCAGAAAAGGAAATATCTTCGTTTCAAAACTAGACAGAATCATTCCCTCAAACTGCGTTGTGATGTGTTCGTTCAACTCACAGAGTTTAACCTTTCTTTTCATAGAGCAGTTAGGAAACAGTCTGTTTGTAAATTCTGTAAGTGGATATTCTGACATCTTGTGGCCTTCGTTGGAAACGGGATTTCTTCATATTCTGCTAGACAGAAGAATTCTCAGAATCTTCCTTGTGTTGTGTGTATTCAACTCACAGAGTTGAACGATCCTTTACACAGAGCAGACATGAAACACTCTTTTTGTGGAATTTGCAAGTGGAGATTTCAGCCGCTTTGAGGTCCATGGTAGAAAAGGAAATATCTTCGAATAAAAACTAGACAGAATGATTCTCAGAAACTCCTTTGTGATGTGGGCGTTCAACTCACAGAGTTTAACCTTCCTTTTCATAGAGCAGTTAGGAAACACTCTGTTTGTAAAGTCTGCACGTGGATATTTGGACTTCTTTGAGGCCTTCGTTGGAAACGGGTTTTTTTCATGTAAGGCTAGACGGAAGAATTCTCAGTAACTTCCTTGTGTTGTGTGTATTCAACTGACAGAGTTGAACTTTCATTTGGAGAGAGCAGATTTGAAACACTATTTTTGTGGTATTTGCAAGTGGAGATTTCAAGCGCTTTGGGGCCAAAGGCAGAAAAGGAAATATCCTCGTATAAAAACAAGACAGAATCATTCTCAGAAACTGCTCTGCGATGTGTGCGTTCAACTCTCAGAGTTTAACTTTTCTTTTCATTCAGCAGTTTGGAAACACTCTGTTTGTAAAGTCTGCACGTGGATAATTTGGCCACTTAGAGGCCTTCGTTGGAAACGGGTTTTTTCATGTAAGGCTAGACAGAAGAATTCCCAGTAACTTCCTTGCGTTGTGTACATTCAACTCACAGAGTTGAACGTTCCCTTAGACAGAGCAGATTTGAAACACTCTTTTTGTGCAATTGGCAAGTGGAGATTTCAAGCGCTTTAAGGTCAATGGCAGAAAAGGAAATATCTTCGTTTCAAAACTAGACAGAATCATTCCCACAAACTGCGTTGTGATGTGTTCGTTCAAATCACAGAGTTTAACCTTTCTTTTCATAGAGCAGTTAGGAAACAGTCTGTTTGTAAATTCTGTAAGTGGATATTCTGACATCTTGTGGCCTTCGTTGGAAACGGGATTTCTTCATATTCTGCTAGACAGAAGAATTCTCAGTAACTTCCTTGTGTTGTGTGTATTCAACTCACAGAGTTGAACGATCCTTTACAGAGAGCAGGCTTGAAACACTCTTTTTGTGGAATTTGCAAGTGGAGATTTCAGCCGCTTTGAGGTCAATGGTAGAATGGGAAATATCTTCCTATAGAAACTAGACAGAATGATTCTCAGAAACTCCTTTGTGATGTGTGTGTTCAACTCACAGAGTTTAACCTTTTTTTTCATAGAGCAGTTAGGAAACACTCTGTTTGTAAAGTCTGCAAGAGGATATTCAGACCTCTTTGAGGCCTTCGTTGGAAACGGGTTTTTTTCATATAAGGCTAGACAGAAGAATTCACAGTAACTTCCTTGTGTTGTGTGTATTCAACTGACAGAGTTGAACTTTCATTTAGAGAGAGCAGATTTGAAACACTGTTTTTGTGGAATTTGCAAGTGGAGATTTCAAGCGCTTTGGGGCCAAAGGCAGAAAAGGAAATATCTTCGTATAAAAACTAGACAGAATCATTCTCAGAAACTGCTGCGTGATGTGTGCGTTCAACTCTCAGAGTTTAACTTTTCTTTTCATTCAGCGGTTTGGAAACACTCTGTTTGTAAAGTCTGCACGTGGATATTTTGACCACTTAGAGGCCTTCGTTGGAAACGGGTTTTTTTTCATGTAAGGCTAGACAGAAGAATTCCCAGTAACTTCCCTTGTGTTGTGTACATTCAACTCACAGAGTTGAACGTTCCGTTAGACAGAGCAGATTTGAAACACTCTTTTTGTGCAATTGGCAAATGGAGATTTCAAGCGCTTTAAGGTCAATGGCAGAAAAGGAAATATCTTCGTTTCAAAACTAGACAGAAATCATTCCCACAAACTGCGTTGTGATGTGTTCGTTCAACTCACAGCAGTTTAACCTTTCTTTTCATAGAGCAGTTAGGAAACAGTCTGTTTGTCAATTCTGTAAGTGGATATTCTGACATCTTGTGGCCTTCGTTGGAAACGGGATTTCTTCATATTCTGCTAGACAGAAGAATTCTCAGTAACTTCCTTGTGTTGTGTGTATTCAACTCACAGAGTTGAACGATCCTTTACACAGAGCAGACTTGAAACACTCTTTTTGTGGAATTTGCAAGAGTAGATTTCAAGCGCTTTAAGGTCAATGGCAGAAAAGGAAATATCTTCGTTTCAAAACTAGACAGAATGATTCTCAGAAACTCCTTTGTGATGTGTGCGTTCAACACACAGAGTTTAACTTTTCTTTTCATAGAGCAGTTAGGAAACACTCTGTTTGTAAAGTCTGCAAGTGGATATTCAGACCTCTTTGAGGCCTTCGTTGGAAACGGGATTTCTTCATATTCTGCTAGACAGAAGAATTCTCAGTAACTTCCTTGTGTTGTGTGTATTCAACTCACAGAGTTGAACGATCCTTTACACAGAGCAGACTTGAAACACTCTTTTTGTGGAATTTGCAAGTGGATATTTCAGCCGCTTTGAGGTCAATAGTAGAAAAGGAAATATCTTCGTAGAAAAACTAGACAGAATCATTCTCAGAAACTGCTGCGTGATGTGTGCGTTCAACTCTCAGAGTTTAACTTTTCTTTTCATTCAGCGGTTTGGAAACACTCTGCTTGTAAAGTCTGCACGTGGATATTTTGACCACTTAGAGGCCTTCGTTGGAAACGGGTTTTTTTCATGTAAGGCTAGACAGAAGAATTCCCAGTAACTTCCTTGTGTTGTGTGCATTCAACTCACAGAGTTGAACGTTCCCTTAGACAGAGCAGATTTGAAACACTCTATTTGTCCAATTTGCAAGTGTAGATTTCAAGCGCTTTAAGGTCAACGGCAGAAAAGGAAATATCTTCGTTTCAAAACTAGACAGAATGATTCTCAGAAAATCTTTTGTGATGTGTGCGTTCAACTCACAGAGATTAACTTTTCTTCTCATAGAGCAGTTAGGAAACACTCTGTTTGTAAAGTTTGCAAGTGGATATTCAGACCTCTTTGAGGCCTTCGTTGGAAACGGGATTTCTTCATATTATGCTAGACAGAAGAATTCTCAGTAACTTCCTTGTGTTGTGTGTATTCAACTCACAGAGTTGAACGATCCTTTACAGAGAGCAGACTTGAAACACACTTTTTGTGGAATTTGCAAGTGGAGTTTTCAGCCGCTTTGAGGTCAATTGTAGAAAAGGAAATATCTTCGTATAAAGACTAGACAGAATGATTCTCATAAGCTCCTTTGTGATGTGTGCGTTCAACTCACAGAGTTTAACCTTTCTTTTCATAGAGCAGTTAGGAAACACTCTGTTTGTAAAGTCTGCAAGTGGATATTCAGACCTCCTTGAGGCCTTCGTTGGAAACGGGATTTCTTCATATTCTGCTAGACAGAAGAATTCTCAGAAACTTCCTTGTGTTGTGTGTTTTCAACTCACAGAGTTGAACGATGCTTTACACAGAGTAGACTTGAAACACTCTTTTTGTGAAATTTGCAAGTAGAGATTTCAGCCGCTTTGAGGTCAACGGTAGAAAAGGAAATATCTTCCTATAAAAACTAGACAGAATGATTCTCAGAAACTCCTTTGTGATGTGTGTGTTCAACTCACAGAGTTTAACGTTTCTTTTCATAGAGCAGTTAGTAAACACTCTGTTTATAAAGTCTGCAAGTGGATATTCAGACCCCTTTGAGGCCTTCGTTGGAAACGGGATTTCTTCATATTATGCTAGACAGAAGAATTCTCAGTAACTTCCTTGTGTTGTGTGTATTCAACTCACAGAGTTGAACTTTCATTTACACAGAGCAGATTTGAAACACTCTTTTTGTGGAATTTGCAAATGGAGATTTCAAGCGCTTTGAGGCCAAAGGCAGAAAAGGAAATATCTTCGTTTCAAAACTAGACAGAATCATTCTCAGAAACTGCTGCGTGATGTGTGCGTTCAACTCTGAGAGTTTAACTTTTCTTTTCATTCAGCGGTTTGGAAACACTCTGTTTGTAAAGTCTGCACGTGGATATTCAGACCTCTTTGAGGCCTTCGTTGGAAACGGGTTTTTTTCATGTAAGGCTAGACAGAAGAATTCCCAGTAACTTCCTTGTGTTGTGTACATTCAACTCACAGAGTTGAACGTTCCCTTATACAGAGCAGATTTGAAACACTCTTTTTGTGCAATTGGCAAGTGGAGATTTCAAGCGCTTTAAGGTCAATGGCAGAAAAGGAAATATCTTCGTTTCAAAACTAGACAGAATCATTCCCACAAAGTGCGTTGTGATGTGTTCGTTCAACTCACAGAGTTTAACCTTTCTGTTCATAGAGCAGTTAGGAAACACTCTGTTTGTAAAGTCTGTAAGTGGATATTCTGACATCTTGTGGCCTTCGTTGGAAACGGGATTTCTTCATATTCTGCTAGACAGAAGAATTCTCAGTAACTTCCTTGTGGTGTGTGTATTCAACTCACAGAGTTGAACGATCCTTTACACAGAGCAGACTTGAGACACTCATTTTGTGGAATTTGCAAGTGGAGATTTCAGCCGCTTTGAGGTCAATGGTAGAAAAGGAAACTATCTTCATATAAAGACTAGACAGAATGATTCTCACAAACTCCTTTGTGATGTGGGCGTTGAACTCACAGAGTTTAACCTTTCTTTTCATAGAGCAGTTAGGAAACACTCTGTTGGTAAAGTCTGAACGTGGATATTTGGACTTCTTTGTGGTCTTCGTTGGAAACGGGTTTTTTTCATGTAAGGCTAGACAGAAGAATTCTCAGTAACTTCCTTGTGTTGTGTGTATTAAACTGACAGAGTTGAACTTTCATTTAGAGAGAGCAGATTTGTAACACTGTTTTTGTGGAATTTGCAAGTGGAGATTTCAAGCGCTTTGGGGCCAAAGGCAGAAAAGGAATTATCTTGGTATAAAAACTAGACAGAATCATTCTCAGTAACTGCTCTGTGATGTGTGCGTTCAACTCTCAGAGTTTAACTTTTCTTTTCATTCAGCAGTTTGGAAACACTCTGTTTGTAAAGTCTGCACGTGGATATTTTGACCACTTAGAGGCCTTCTTTGGAAACGGTTTTTTCTCATGTAAGGCTAGACAGAAGAATTCCCAGGAACTTACTTGTGTTGTGTACATTCAACTCACAGAGTTGAACGTTCCCTTAGACAGAGCAGATTTGAAACACTCTTTTTGTGCAATTGGCAAATGGAGATTTCAAGCGCTTTAAGGTCAATGGCAGAAAAGGAAATATCTTCGTTTCAAAACTAGACAGAATCATTCCCACAAACTGCGTTGTGATGTGTGCGTTCAACTCACAGAGTTTAACCTTTCTGTTCATAGAGCAGTTAGGAAACACTCTGTTTGTAAAGTCTGTAAGTGGATATTCTGACATCTTGTGGCCTTCGTTGGAAACGGGATTTCTTCATATTCTGCTAGACAGAATAATTCTCAGTAACTTCCTTGTGTTGTGTGTATTCAACTCAAAGAGTTGAAGGATCCTTTACAGAGAGCAGGCTTGAAACACTCTTTTTGTCGAATTTGCAAGTGGAGATTTCAGCTGCTTTGAGGTCAATGGTAGAATAGGAAATATCTTCTTATAGAAACTAGACAGAATGATTCTCAGAAACTCCTTTGTGATGTGTGCGTTCAACTCACAGAGTTCAACCTTTCTTTTCATAGAGCAGTTAGGAAACACTCTGTTTGTAAAGTCTGCAAGTGGATATTCAGACCTCCTTGAGGCCTTCGTTGGAAACGTGATTTCTTCATATTATGCTAGACAGAAGAATTCTCAGTAACTTCCCTTGTGTTGCGTGTATTCAACTCACAGAGTTGAACGATCCTTTACAAAGAGCAGACTTGAAACACTCTTTTTGGGGAATTTGCAAGTGGAGATTTCAGCCGCTTTGAGGTCAATGGTAGAATAGGGAATATCTTCCTATAGAAACTAGACAGAATGATTCTCAGAAACTCCTTTGTGATGTGTGCGTTCAACTCTCAGAGTTTAACTTTTCTTTTCATTCAGCAGTTTGGAAACACTCTGTTTGTAAAGTCTGCACGTGGATAATTTGACCACTTAGAGGCTTTCGTTGGAAACGGGTTTTTTTCCTGTAAGGCTAGACAAAAGATTTCCCAGTAACTTCCTTGTGTTGTGTGCATTCAACTCACAGAGTTGAACGTTCCGTTAGACAGAGCAGATTTGAAACACTCTATTTGTGCAATTTGCAAGTGTAGATTTCAAGCGCTTTAAGGTCAATGGCAGAAAAGGAAATATCTTCGTTTCAAAACCAGACAGAATCATTCCCACAAACTGCGTTGTGATGTGTTCGTTCAACTCACAGAGTTTAACCTTTCTGTTCATAGAGCAGTTAGGAAACACTCTGTTTGTAAAGTCTGCAAGTGGATATTCAGACCTCCTTGAGGCCTTCGTTGGAAATGGGATTTCTTAATATTCTGCTAGACAGAAGAATTCTCAGAATCTTCCTTGTGTTGTGTGTATTCAACTCACAGAGTTGAACGATCCTTTACACAGAGCAGACTTGAAACACTCTTTTTGTGGAATTTGCAAGTGGAGATTTCAGCCTCTTTGAGGTCCATGGTAGAAAAGGAAATATCTTCGTATAAAAACTAGACAGAATGATTCTCAGAAAATCTTTTGTGATGTGTGCGTTGAACTCACAGAGTTTAACTTTTCTTCTCATAGAGCAGTTAGGAAACACTCTGTTTGTACAGTCTGCAAGTGGATATTCAGACCTCTTTGAGGCCTTCGTTGGAAACGGGATTTCTTCATATTATGCTAGACAGAAGAATTCCCAGTAACTTCCCTTGTGTTGTGTGTGTTCAACTCACAGAGTTGAACTTTCATTTACCCAGAGCAGATTTGAAACACTCTTTTTGTGGAATTTGCAAGTGGAGATTTCAAGCGCTTTGAGGCCAAAGACAGAAAAGGAAATATCTTCGTTTCAAAACTAGACAGAATCATTCTCAGAAACTGCTGCGTGATGTGTGCGTTCAACTCTCAGAGTTTAACTTTTCTTTTCATTCAGCAGTTTGGAAACACTCTGTTTGTAAAGTCTGCACGTGGAAATTTTGACCACTTAGAGGCCTTCTTTGGAAACGGGATTTTTTCATGTAAGGCTAGACAGAAGAATTCCCAGTAACTTCCTTGTGTTGTGTGCATTCAACTCACAGAGTTGAACGTTCCCTTAGACAGAGCAGATTTGAAACACTCTATTTGTGCAATTTGCAAGTGTAGTTTTCAAGCTCTTTAAGGTCAACGGCAGAAAAGGAAATATCTTCGTTTCAAAACTAGACAGAATCATTCCCACAAACTGCGTTGTGATGTGTTCGTCCAACTCACAGAGTTTAACCTTTCTGTTCATAGAGCAGTTAGGAAACACTTTGTTTGTAAAGTCTGTAAGTGGATATTCTGACATCTTGTGGCCTTCGTTGGAAACGGGATTTCTTCATATTCTGCTAGACAGAAGAATTCTCAGTAACTTCCTTTTGCTGTGTGTATTCAACTCACATAGTTGAATGATCCTTTACACAGAGCAGATTAGAAACACACTTTTTGTGGATTTTGCAAGTGGAGATTTCAGCCGCTTTGAGGTCAATGGTAGAAAAGGATATATCTTCGTATAGAAACTAGACAGAATGATTCTCAGAAACTACTTTGTGATGTGTGCGTTCAACTCACAGAGTTTAACCTTTCTTTTCCTAGAGTAGTTAGGAAACACTCTGTTTTTAAAGTCTGCAAGTGGATATTCAGACCTCTTTGAGGCCTTCGTTGGAAACGGGATTTCTTCATATTATGCTAGACAGAAGAATTCCCAGTAACTTCCTTGTGTTGTGTGTGTTCAACTCACAGAGTTGAACTTTCATTTACACAGAGCAGATTTGAAACACTCTTTTTGTGGAATTTGCAAGTGGAGATTTCAAGCGCTTTGAGGCCAAAGGCAGAAAAGGAAATATCTTCGTTCAAAACTAGACAGAATCATTCTCAGAAACTGCTCTGCGATGTGTGCGTTCAACTCTCAGAGTTTAACTTTTCTTTTCATGCAGCAGTTTGGAAACACTCTGTTTGTAAAGTCTGCACGTGGATAACTTGACCACTTAGAGGACTTCGTTGGAAACGGGTTTTTTTCCTGTAAGGCTAGACAGAAGAATTCCCAGTAACTTCCTTGTGTTGTGTACATTCAAATCACAGAGTTGAACGTTCCCTTAGACAGAGCAGACTTGTAACACTCTTTTTGTGGAATTTGCAAGTGGAGATTTCAGCCGCTTTGAAGTCAAAGGTAGAAAAGGAAATATCTTCCTATAAAAACTAGACAGAATGATTCTCAGAAACTCCTTTGTGATGTGTGTGTTCAACTCACAGAGTTTAACATTTCTTTTCATAGAGCAGTTAGGAAACACTCTGTTTGTAAAGTCTGCAAGTGGATATTCAGACCTAGTTGAGGCCTTCGTTGGAAACGGGATTTCTTCATATTCTGCTAGACAGAAGAATTCTGAGTAACTTCCTTGTGTTGTGTTTATTCAACTCACAGAGTTGAATGATCCTTTACACAGAGCAGACTTGAAACACTCTTTTTGTGGAATTTGCATGTGGAGATTTCAGCCGCTTTGTGGTCAATGGTAGAAAAGGAAATATCTTCGTATAAAGACTAGACAGAATGATTCTCAGAAACTCCTTTGTGATATGTGCGTTCAACTCACAGAGTTTAACCTTTCTTTTCATAGAGCAGTTAGGAAACACTCTGCTTGTAAAGTCTGCAAGTGGATATTCAGCCCTCTTTGAGGCCTTCGTTGGAAATGGGTTTTTTTCATATAAGGCTAGACAGAGGAATTCCCAGTAACTTCCTTGTGTTGTGTGTGTTCAACTCACAGAGTTGAACTTTCATTTACACAGAGCAGATTTGAAACACTCTTTTTGTGGAATTTGCAAGTGGAGATTTCAAGCGCTTTGAGGCCAAAGGAAGAAAAGGAAATATCTTCGTTTCAAAACTAGACAGAATCATTCTCAGAAACTGCTGCGTGATGTGTGCGTTCAACTCTCAGAGTTTAACTTTTCTTTTCATTCAGCGGTTTGGAAACACTCTGTTTGTAAAGTCTGCACGTGGATATTTTGACCACTTAGAGGCCTTCGTTGGAAACGGGTTTTTTTTCATGTAAGGCTAGACAGAAGAATTCCCAGTAACTTCCTTGTGTTGTGTGCATTCAGCTCAGAGAGTTGAACCTTCCCTTAGACAGAGCAGATTTGAAACACTCTATTTGTGCAATTTGCAAGTGTAGATTTCAAGCGCTTCAAGGTCAATGGCAGAAAAGGAAATATCTTCGTTTCAAAACTAGACAGAATCATTCCCACAAACTGCGTTATGATGTGTTCGTTCAACTCACAGAGTTTAACCTTTCTTTTCATAGAGCAGTTAGGAAACAGTCTGTTTGTAAATTCTGTAAGTGGATATTCTGACATCTTGTGGCCTTCGTTGGAAACGGGATTTCTTCATATTCTGCTAGACAGAAGAATTCTCAGTAACTACCTTGTGTTGTGTGTATTCAACTCACAGAGTTGAACGATCCTTTACACAGAGCGGACTTGAAACACTCGTTTTGTGGAATTTGCAAGTGGAGATTTCAGCCGCGTTGAGGTCAATGGTAGAAAAGGAAATATCTACGTATAAAAACTAGACAGAATGATTCTCAGAAACTCCTTTGTGATGTGTGCGTTCAACTCACAGAGTATAACCTTTCTTTTCATAGAGCAGTTAGGAAACACTCTGTTTGTAAAGTCTGCAAGTGGATATTCAGACCTCTTTGAGGCCTTCGTTGGAAACGGGTTTTTTTCATATAAGGCTAGACAGAAGAATTCCCAGTAACTTCCCTTGTGTTGTGTGTGTTCAACTCACAGAGTTGAACTTTCATTTACACAGAGCAGATTTGAAACACTCTTTTTGTGGAATTTGCAGGTGGAGATTTCAAGCGCTTTGAGGCCAAAGGCAGAAAAGGAAATATCTTCGTATAAAACCTAGACAGAATCATTCTCAGAAACTGCTGCGTGGTGTGTGCGTTCAACTCTCAGAGTTTAACTTTTCTTTTCATTCAGCGGTTTGGAAACACTCTGTTTGTAAAGTCTACACGTGGATATTTTGACCACTTAGAGGCCTTCGTTGGAAACTGGTTTTCTTCATGTAAGGCTAGACAGAAGAATTCCCAGGAACTTCCTTGTGTTGTGTACATTCAACTCACAGAGTTGAACGTTCCCTTAGACAGAGCAGATTTGAAGCACTCTTTTTGTGCAATTGGCAAGTGGTGATTTCAGCCGCTTTGAGGTCAATGGTAGAAAAGGAAATATCTTCGTATAAAAACTAGACAGAATGATTCTCAGAAACTCCTTTGTGATGTGTGCGTTCAACTCACAGAGTTTAACCTTTCTTTTCATAGAGCAGTTAGGAAACACTGTTTGTAAAGTCTGCAAGTGGATATTCAGACATCCTTGAGGCCTTCATTGGAAACGGGATTTCTTCATATTATGCTAGACAGAAGAATTCTCAGTAACTTCCTTGTGTTGTGTGTATTCAACTCACAGAGTTGAACGATCCTTTACACAGAGCAGACTTGAAACACTCTTTTTGTGGAATTTGCAAGTGGAGATTTCAGCCGCTTTGAGGTCAATGGTAGAATAGGAAATATCTTCCTATAGAAACTGGACAGAACGATTCTCAGAAACTCCTTTGTGATGTGTGCGTACAACTCACAGAGTTTAACCTTTCTTTTCATAGAGCAGTTAGGAAACACTCTGTTTGTAAAGTCTGCAAGTGGATATTCAGACCTCTTTGAGGCCTTCGTTGGAAACGGGATTTCTTCATATTCCTGCTAGACAGAAGAATTCCCAGTAACTTCCTTGTGTTGTGTGTGTTCAACTCACAGTGTTGAACTTTCATTTACACAGAGCAGATTGGAAACACTCTTTTTCTGGAATTTGCAAGTGGAGATTTCAAGCGCTTTGAGGCCAAAGGCAGAAAAGGAAATATCTTCGTATAAAAACTAGACAGAATCATTCTCAGAAACTGCTGCGTGATGTGTGCGTTCAACTCTCAGAGTTTAACTTTTCTTTTCATTCAGCGCTTTGGAAACACTCTGTTTGTAAAGTCTGCACGTGGAAATTTTGACCACTTAGAGGCCTTCGGTTGGAAACGGGTTTTTTTCATGTAAGGCTAGACAGAAGAATTCTCAGTAACTTCCTTGTGTTGTGTGTATTCAACTCACAGAGTTGAACGATCCTTTACACAGAGCAGATTGAAACACTCTTTTTGTGGAATTTGCAAGTGGAGATTTCAGCCGCTTTGAGGTCAATGGTAGAAAAGGAAATATCTTCGTATAAAGACTAGACAGAATGATTCTCAGAAACTCCTTTGTGATGTGTGCGTTCAACTCACAGAGTTTAACCTTTCTGTTCATAGAGCAGTTAGGAAACACTCTGTTTGTAAAGTCTGTAAGTGGATATTCTGACATCTTGTGGTCTTCGTTGGAAACGGGATTTCTGCATATTCTGCTAGACAGAATAATTCTCAGTAACTTCCTTGTGTTGTGTGTATTCAACTCACAGAGTTGAACGATCCTTTACAGAGAGCAGACTTGAAACACTCTTTTTGTGGAATTCGCAAGTGGAGATTTCAGCCGCTTTGAGGTCAATGTTAGAAAAGGATATATCTTCGTATAAAGACTAGACAGAATGATTCTCAGAAACTCCTTTGTGATGTGTGCGTTCAACTCACAGAGTTTAACCTTTCTTTTCATAGAGCAGTTAGGAAACCCTCTGTTTATAAAGTCTGCAAGTGGATATTCAGACCTCTTTGAGGCCTTCGTTGGAAACGGGATTTCTTCATATTATGCTAGACAGATGAATTCTCATTAACTTCCTTGTGTTGTGTGTATTCAACTCACAGAGTTGAACGATCCTTTACACAGAGCGGACTTGAAACACTCTTTTTGTGGAATTTGCAAGTGGAGATTTCAGCCGCGTTGAGGTCAATGGTAGAAAAGGAAATCTCTTCGTATAAAAACTAGACAGAATGATTCTCAGAAACTCCTTTGTGATGTGTGTGTTCAACTCACAGAGTTTAACCTTAGTTTTCATAGAGCAGTTAGGAATCACTCTGTTTGTAAAGTCTGCAAGTGGATATTCAGACCTCTTTGAGGCCTTCGTTGGAAACGGGTTTTTTTCATATAAGGCTAGACAGAAGAATTCTCAGTAACTTCCTTATGTTGTGTGTATTCAACTGACAGAGTTGAACTTTCGTTTAGAGAGAGCAGATTTGAAACACTCTTTTTGTGGAATTTGCAAGTGGAGATTTCAAGCGCTTTGGGGCCAAAGGCAGAAAAGGAAATATCTTCGTATAAAAACTAGACAGAATCATTATCAGAAACTGCTGCGTGATGTGTGTGTTCAACTCTCAGAGTTTAACTTTTCTTTTCATTCAGCGGTTTAGAAACACTCTGTTTGTAAAGTCTGCACGTGGATATTTTGTCCACTTAGAGGCCTTCGTTGGAAACGGGTTTTTTGCATGTAAGGCTAGACAGAAGAATTCCCCAGTAACTTCCTTGTGTTGTGTACATTCAACTCACAGAGTTGAACGTTCCCTTACACAGAGCAGATTTGAAACACTCTTTTTGTGCAATTGGCAAGTGGAGATTTCAAGCGCTTTAAGGTCAATGGCAGAAAAGGAAATATCTTCGTTTCAAAACTAGACAGAATCATTCCCAGAAACTGCGTTGTGATGTGTTCGGTAAACTCACAGAGTTTAACCATTCTTTTCATAGAGCAGTTAGGAAACAGTCTGTTTGTAAATTCTGTAAGTGGATATTCTGACATCTTGTGGCCTTCGTTGGAAACGGGATTTCTTCATATTCTGCTAGACAGAAGAATTCTCAGTAACTTCCTTGTGTTGTGTGTATTCAACTCACAGAGTTGAACCATCTTTCACACAGAGCAGATCTGAAACACTCTTTTTGTGGAATTTGCAAGTGGAGATTTCAGCCACCTTGAGGTCAATGGTAGAAAAGGAAATATCTTCGTATAAAAACTAGACAGAATGATTCTCAGAAACTCCTTTGTGATGTGTGCGTTCAACTCACAGAGTTCAACCTTTCTTTTCATAGAGCAGTTAGGAAACACTCTGTTTGTAAAGTCTGCAAGTGGATATTCAGACCTCCTTGAGGCCTTCGTTGGAAACGGGATTTCTTCATATTATGCAAGACAGAAGAATTCTCAGTAACTTCCTTGTGTTGTGTGTATTCAACTCACAGAGTTGAAAGATCCTTTACAGAGAGCAGACTTCAAACACTCTTTTTGTGGAATTTGCAAGTGGAGATTTCAGGCGCTTTGAGGTCAATGGTAGAAAAGGAAACTATCTTCGTATAAAGACTAGACAGAATGATTCTCAGAAACTCCTTTGTGATGTGTGCGTTCAACTCACAGAGTTTAACTTTTCTTTTCATAGAGCAGTTAGGAAACACTCTGTTTGTAAAGTCTGCAAGTGGATATTCAGACATCTTTGAGGCTTTCGTTGGAAACGGGATTTCTTCATATTCTGCTAGGCAGAAGAATTCTCAGTAACTTCCTTGTGTTGTGTGTATTCAACTCACAGAGTTGAACGATTCTTTACACAGAGCAGACTTGAAACACTCTTTTTGTGGAATTTGCAAGTGGAGATTTCAGCCGCTTTCATGTCACTGGTAGAAAAGGAAATATCTTCGTATAAAGACTAGACAGAATGATTCTCAGAAACTCCTTTGTGATGTGTGCGTTCAACTCACAGAGTTCAACCTTTCTTTTCATAGAGCAGTTGGGAAACACTCTGTTTGTAAAGTCTGCAAGTGGATATTCAGACTTCTTTGAGGCCTTCTTTGGAAGCGGGATTTCTTCATGTTCTGCTAGACAGAAGAATTCTCAGTAACTTCCTTGTGTTGTGTGTATTCAACTCACAGAGTTGAATGATCCTTTACACAGAACAGACTTGAAACACTCTTGTTGTGGAATTTGCAAGTGGAGATTTCAGCCGCTTTGTGGTCAACGGTAGAATAGGTAATATCTTCCTATAGAAACTAGACAGAATCATTCTCAGAAACTGCTCTGCGATGTGTGCGTTCAACTCTCACAGTTTAACTTTTCTTTTCATTCAGCAGTTTGGAAACACTCTGTTTGTAAAGTCTGCACGTGGATAATTTGACCACTTAGAGGCCTTCGTTGGAAACGGGTTATTTTCATGTAAGGCTAGACAGAAGAATTCCCAGTAACTTCCTTGTGTTGTGTGCATTCAACTCACAGAGTTGAACGTTCCCTTAGACAGAGCAGATTTGAAACACTCTATTTGTGCAATTTGCAATTGTAGATTTCAAGCGCTTTAAGGTCAATGGCAGAAAAGGAAATATCTTCGTTTCAAAACTAGACAGAATCATTCCCACAAACTGCGTTGTGATGTGTTCGTTCAACTCACAGAGTTTAACCTTTCTGTTCATAGAGCAGTTAGGAAACACTCTATTTCTAAAGTCTGTAAGTGGATATTCTGACATCTTGTGGCCTTCGTTGGAAACTGGGATTTCTTCATATTCTGCTAGACAGAAGAATTCCCAGTAACTTCCTTGTGTTGTGTGCATTCAACTCACAGAGTTGAACGATCCTTTACACAGAGCAGACTTGAAACACTCTTTTTGTGGAATTTGCAAGTGGACATTTCAGCCGCTTTGAGGTCAATAGTAGAAAAGGAAATATCTTCGAAGAAAAACTAGACAGAATGATTCTCAGAAACTCCTTTGTGATGTGTGCGTTCAACTCACACTGTTTAACCTTTCTTTTCATAGAGCAGTTAGGAAACACTCTGTTTGTAAAGTCTGCAAGTGGATATTCAGACCTCCTTGAGGCATTCGTTGGAAACGGGATTTCTTCATATTATGCTAGACAGAAGAATTCCCAGTAACTTCCTTGTGTTGTGTGTGTTCAACTCACAGAGTTGAACTTTCATTTACACAGAGCACATTTGAAACACTCTTTTTGTGGAATTTGCAAATGGAGATTTCAAGCGCTTTGAGGCCAAAGGCAGAAAAGGAAATATCTTCGTTTCAAAACTAGACAGAATCATTCTCAGAAACTGCTGCGTGATGTGTGCGTTCAACTCTCAGAGTTTAACTTTTCTTTTCATTCAGCCGTTTGGAAACACTCTGTTTATAAAGTCTGCACGTGGAAATTTTGACCACTTAGAGGCCTTCGTTGGAAACGGGTTTTTTTCATGTAAGGCTAGACAGAAGAATTCCCAGTAAATTCCTTGTGTTGTGTACATTCAACTCACAGAGTTGAACGTTCCCTTAGACAGAGCAGATTTGAAACACTCTTTTTGTGCAATTGGCAAGTGGAGATTTCAAGCGCTTTAAGGTCAATGGCAGAAAAGGAAATATCTTCGTTTCAAAACTAGACAGAATCATTCCCACAAACTGCGTTGTGATGTGTTCGTTCATCTCACAGAGTTTAACCTTTCTTTTCATAGTGCAGTTAGGAAACACTCTGTTTGTAAATTCTGTAAGTGGATATTCTGACATCTTGTGGCCTTCGTTGGAAACGGGATTTCTTCATATTCTGCTAGACAGAAGAATTCTCAGAATCTTCCTTGTGTTGTGTGTCTTCAACTCACAGAGTTGAACGATGGTTTACACAGAGCAGATTTGAAACACTCTTTTTGTGGAATTTGCAAGTGGAGATTTCAGCCGCTTTGAGGTCAATGGTAGAAAAGGAAATGTCTTCGTATAAAAACTAGACAGAATGATTCTCAGAAACTCCTTTGTGATGTGTGCGTTCAACTCACAGAGTTTAACCTTTCTTTTCATAGAGCAGTTAGGAAACACTCTGTTTGTAAAGTCTGCAAGTGGATATTCAGACCTCTTTGAGGCCTTCGTTGGAAACGGGTTTTTACATATAAGGCTTGACAGAACAATTCCCAGTAACTTCCTTGTGTTGTGTGTGTTCAACTCACAGAGTTAAACTTTCATTTACACAGAGCAGATTTGAAACACTCTTTTTGTGGAATTTGCAAGTGGAGATTTCAAGCGCTTTGAGGCCAAAGGCAGAAAAGGAAATATCTTCGTATAAAAACTAGACAAAATGATTCTCAGAAACTCCTTTGTGATGTGTGCGTTCAACTCGCATAGTTTAACCTTTCTTTTCATAGAGCAGTTAGGAAACACTCGGTTTGTAATGTCTGCACGTGGATATTTGGACTTCTTTGAGGCCTTCTTTGGAAACGGGTTTTTTCCATGTAAGGCTAGACAGAAGAATTCCCAGTAACTTCATTGTGTTGTGTGCATTCAACTCACAGAGTTGAACGTTCCCTTAGAGCAGATTTGAAACACTCTATTTGTGCAATTTGCAAGTGTAGATTTCAAGCGCTTTAAGGTCAATGGCAGAAAAGGAAATATCTTCGTTTCAAAACTAGACAGAATCATTCCCACAAACTGCGTTGTGATGCGTTCGTTCAACTCACAGAGTTTAACCTTTCTGTTCATAGAGCAGTTAGGAAACACTCTGTTTGTAAATTCTGCAAGTGGATATTCAGACCTCCTTGAGGCCTTCGTTGGAAACGGGATTTCTTCATATTCTGCTAGACAGAAGAATTCTCAGTAACTTCCCTTGTGTTGTGTGTATTCAACTCACAGAGTTGAACGATCCTTTACACAGAGCAGACTTGAAACACTCTTTTTGTGGAATTTGCAGGTGGAGATTTCAGCCGCTTTGTGTTCAATGGTAGAATAGGAAATATCTTCCTATAGAAACTAGACAGAATGATTCTCAGAAACTCCTTTGAGATGTGTGTGTTCAACTCACAGAGTTTAACCTTGCTTTTCATAGAGCAGTTAGGAATCACTCTGTTTGTAAAGTCTGCAAGTGGATATTCAGACCTCTTTGAGGCCTTCGCTGGAAACGGGTTTTTTTCATATAAGGCTAGACAGAAGAATTCTCAGAATCTTCCTTGTGTTGTGTGTATTCAACTCACAGAGTTGAACGATCCTTTACACAGAGCAGATTTGAAACACTCTTTTTGTGGAATTTGCAAATGGAGATTTCAAGCGCTTTGAGGCCAAAGGCAGAAAAGGAAATATCTTCGTATAAAAACTAGACAGAATCATTCTCAGAAACTGCTCTGCGATGTGTGCATGCAACTCTAAGAGTTTAACTTTTCTTTTCATTCAGCAGTTTGGAAACACTCTGTTTGTAAAGTCTGCACGTGGATAATTTGACCACTTAGAGGCCTTCGTTGGAAACGGGTTTTTTTCATGTAAGGCTAGACAGAAGAATTCCCAGTAACTTCCTTGTGTTGTGTACATTCAACTCACAGAGTTGAACGTTCCCTTAGACAGAGCAGACTTGTAACACTCTTTTTGTGGAATTTGCAAGTGGAGATTTCAGCCGCTTTGAAATCAAAGGTAGAAAAGGAAATATCTTCCTATAAAAACTAGACAGAATGATTCTCAGAAACTCCTTTTTGATGTGTGCGTTCAACTCACAGAGTTTAACCTTTCTTTTCATAGAGCAGTTAGGAAACACTCTGTTTGTAAAGTCTGCAAGTGGATATTCAGACCTCTTTGAGGCCTTCGTTGGAAACGGGATTTCTTCATATTCTGCTAGACAGAAGAATTCTCAGTAACTTCCTTGTGTTGTGTGTATTCAACTCACAGAGTTGAAAGATCCTTTACACAGAGCATTCTTGAAACACTCTTTTTGTGGAATTTGCAAGTGGAGATTTCAGACGCTTTGAGGTCAATAGTAGAAAAGGAAATATCTTCGTAGAAAAACTAGACAGAATGATTCTCAGAAACTCCTTTGTGATGTGTGCGTTCAACTCACAGAGTTTAAACCTTTCTTTTCATAGAGCAGTTAGGAAACACTCTGTTTGTAAAGTCTGCAAGTGGATATTCAGACCTCCTTGAGACCTTCGTTGGAAACGGGTTTTTTTCATATAAGGCTAGACAGAAGAATTCTCAGTAACTTCCTTGTGTTGTGTGTATTCAACTGACAGCAGTTGAACTTTCATTTAGAGAGAGGAGATTTGAAACACTGTTTTTGTGGAATTTGCAAGTGGAGATTTCAAACGCTTTGGGGCCAAAGGCAGAAAAGGAAATATATTCGTATAAAAACTAGACAGAATCATTCTCAGAAACTGCTGCGTGATGTGTGCGTTCGACTCTCAGAGTTTAACTTTTCTTTTCATTCAGCGGTTTGGAAACACTCTGTTTGTATAGTCTGCACGTGGATATTTTGACCACTTAGAGGCCTTCTTTGGAAACGGGTTTTTTTCATGTAAGGCTAGACAGAAGAATTCCCAGGAACTTCCTTATGTTGTGTACATTCAACTGAGAGAGTTGAACGTTCCCTTAGACAGAGCAGATTTGAAACACTCTTTTTGTGCAATTGGCAAGTGGTGATTTCAGCCGGTTTGAGGTCAATGGTAGAAAAGGAAATATCTTCGTATAAAAACTAGACAGAATCATTACCACAAACTGCGTTGTGATGTGTTCGTTCAACTCACAGAATTTAACCTTTCTGTTCATAGAGCAGTTAGGAAACACTCTGTTTGTAAAGTCTGTAAGTGGATATTCTGACATCTTGTGGCCTTCGTTGGAAACGGGATTTCTTCATATTCTGCTGGACAGAAGAATTCTCAGAATCTTCCTTGTGTTGTGTGTATTCAACTCACAGAGTTGAACGATGGTTTACACAGTAGCAGATTTGAAACACTCTTTTGGTGGAATTTGCAAGTGGAGATTTCAGCCGCTTTGAGGTCAATGGTAGAAAAGGAAATATCTTCGTATAAAAACTAGACAGAATGATTCTCAGAAACTGCTTTGTGATGTGTGCGTTCAACTCACAGAGTTTAACCTTTCTTTTCATAGAGCAGTTAGGAAACACTCTGTTTGTAAAGTCTGCAAGTGGATATTCAGACCTCTTTGAGGCCTTCGTTGGAAACGGGTTTTTTTCATGTAAGGCTAGACAGAAGAATTCTCAGTAACTTCCTTGTGTTGTGTGTATTCAACTGACAGAGTTGAACTTTCATTTAGAGAGAGCAGATTTGAAACACTGTTTTTGTGGAATTTGCAATTGGAGATTTCAAGCGCTTTGGGGCCAAAGGCAGAAAAGGAAATATCTTCGTATAAAAACTACACAGAATCATTCTCAGAAACTGCTCTGCGATGTGTGCGTTCAACTCTCAGAGTTTAACTTTTCTTTTCATTCAGCAGTTTGGAAACACTCTGTTTGTAAAGTCTGCACGTGGATATTTTGACCATTTAGAGGCCTTCGTTGGAAACGGGTTTTTTTCCTGTAAGGCTAGAGAGAAGAATTCCCAGTAACTTCCTTGTGTTGTGTGCATTCAACTCACAGAGTTGAACGTTCCCTTAGACAGAGCAGATTTGAAACACTCTATTTGTGCAATTTGCAAGTGTAGATTTCAAGCGCTTTAAGGTCAATGGCAGAAAAGGAAATATCTTCGTTTCAAAATTAGACAGAATCATTCCCACAAACTGCGTTGTGATGTGTTCGTTCAACTCACAGACTTTAACCTTTCTGTTCATAGAGCAGTTAGGAAACACTCTGTTTGTAAAGTCTGCAAGTGGATATTCAGACCTCCTTGAGGCCTTCGTTGGAAACGGGATTTCTTCATATTCTGCTAGACAGAAAGAATTCTCAGTAACTTCCTTGTGTTGTGTGTATTCAACTCACAGAGTTGAACGATCCTTTACACAGAGCAGACTTGAAACACTCTTTTTGTGGAATTTGCAAGTGGAGATTTCAGCCGCTTTGAGGTCAAAGGTAGAAAAGGAAACTATCTTCATATAAAGACTAGACAGATGATTCTCAGAAACTCCTTTGTGATGTGTGCGTTCAACCCACAGAGTTCAACCTTTCTTTTCATAGAGCAGTTGGGAAACACTCTGTTTGTAAAGTCTGCAAGTGGATATTCAGACTTCTTTGAGGCCTTCGTTGGAAGCGGGATTTCTTCATATTCTGCTAGACAGAAGAATTCCCAGTAACTTCCTTGTGTTGTGTGTATTCAACTCACAGAGTTGAACTTTCATTTACACAGGAGCAGATTTGAAACACTCTTTTTGTGGAATTTGCAAATGGAGATTTCAAGCCCTTTCAGGCCAAAGGCAGAAAAGGAAATATCTTCGTATAAAAACTAGACAGAATCATTCTCAGAAACTGCTGCGTGATGTGTGCGATCAACTCTCAGAGTTTAACTTTTCTTTTCATTCAGCGGTTTGGAAACACTCTGTTTGTAAAGTCTGCACGTGGATATTTTGACCACTTAGAGGCCTTCGTTGGAAACGGGTTTTCTTCATGTAAGGCTAGACAGAAGAATTCCCAGTAACTTCCTTGTGTTGTGTACATTCAACTCACAGAGTTGAACGTTCCCTTAGACAGAGCAGATTTGAAACACTCTTTTTGTGCAATTGGCAAATGGAGATTTCAAGCGCTTTAAGGTCAATGGCAGAAAAGGAAATATTCTTCGTTTCAAAACTAGACAGAATCATTCCCACAAACTGCGTTGTGATGTGTTCGTTCAACTCACAGAAGTTTAACCTTTCTGTTCATAGAGCAGTTAGGAAACACTCTGTTTGTAAAGTCTGCAAGTGGATATTCAGACCTCCTTGAGGCCTTCGTTGGAAACGGGATTTCTTCATATTCTGCTAGACAGAAGAATTCTCAGAATCTTCCTTCTGTTGTGTGTATTCAACTCACAGAGTTGAACGTTCCTTTACACAGAGCAGACTTGAAACACTCTTTTTGTGGAATTTGCAAGTGGAGATTTCAGCCGCTTTGAGGTCCCATGGTAGAAAAGGAAATATCTTCGTATAAAAACTAGACAGATAGATTCTCAGAAACTCCTTTGTGATGTGTGCGTTCAACTCACAGAGTTTAACCTTTCTTTTCATAGAGCAGTTAGGAAACACTCTGTTTGTAAAGTCTGCAAGTGGATATTCAGACCTCTTTGAGGCCTTCGTTGGAAACGGGTTTTTTTCATATAAGGCTAGACAGAAGAATTCTCAGTAACTTCCTTGTGTTGTGTGTATTCAACTGACAGAGTTGAACTTTCATTTAGAGAGAGCAGATTTGAAACAGTGTTTTTGTGGAATTTGCAAGTGGAGATTTCAAGCGCTTTGGGGCCAAAGGCAGAAAAGGAAATATCTTCGTATAAAAACTAGACAGAATCATTCTCAGAAACTGCTGCGTGATGTGTGCGTTCAACTCACAGAGTTTAAGTTTTCTTTTCATTCAGCGGTTTGGAAACACTCTGTTTGTAAAGTCTGCACGTGGATATTTTGACCACTTAGAGGCCTTCGTTGGAAACGGGATTTTTTCATGTAAGGCTAGACAGAAGAATTCCCAGTAACTTCCTTGTGTTGTGTATATTCAACTCACAGAGTTGAACGTTCCCTTAGACAGAGCAGATTTGAAACACTCTTTTTGTGCAATTGGCAAGTGGAGATTTCAAGCGCTTTAAGGTCAATGGCCGAAAAGGAAATATCTTCGTTTCAAAACTAGACAGAATCATTCCCACAAACTGCGTTGTGATGTGTTCGTTCAACTCACAGAGTTTAACGTTTATTTTCATAGAGCCGTTAGGAAACACTCTGTTTGTAAACTCTGCAAGTGGATATTCAGACCTCTTTGAGGCCTTCGTTGGAAACGGGATTTCTTCATATTCTGCTAGACAGAAGAATTCTCAGTAACTTCCTTGTGTTGTGTGTATTCAACTCACAGAGTTGAACGATCCTTTACACAGAGCAGACTTGAAACACTCTTTTTGTGGAATTTGCAAGTGGAGATTTCAGCCGCTTTGAGGTCAATAGTAGAAAACGAAATATCTTCGTAGAAAAACTAGACAAAATGATTCTCAGAAACTTCTTTGTGATGTGTGCGTTCAACTCACAGAGTTTAACCTTTCTTTTCATAGAGCAGTTAGGAAACACTCTGTTTGTAAAGTCTGCAAGTGGATATTCAGACCTCTTTGAGGCCTTCTTTGGAAACGGGTTTTTTTCATATAAGGCTAGACAGAATAATTCTCAGAATCTTCCTTGTGTTGTGTGTATTCAACTGACAGAGTTGAACTTTCATTTAGAGAGAGCAGATTTGAAACACTGTTTTTGTGGAATTTGCAAGTGGAGATTTCAAGCGCTTTGGGGCCAAAGGCAGAAAAGGAAATATCTTCGTATAAAAACTAGACAGAATGATTCTCAGAAACTCCTTTGTGATGTGTCTGTTCAACTCACAGAGTTTAACTTTTCTTTTCATTCAGCGGTTTGGATACACTCTGTTTGTAAAGTCTGCACGTGGATATTTTGACCACTTAGAGGCCTTCGTTGGAAACGGGTTTTTTGAATGTAAGGCTAGACAGAAGAATTCCCAGTAACTTCCTTGTGTTGTCTACATTCAACTCACAGAGTTGAACGTTCCCTTAGACAGAACAGATTTGAAACACTCTTTTTGTGCAATTGGCAAGTGGTGATTTCAGCCGCTTTGAGGTCAATGGTAGAAAAGGAAATATCTTCGTATAAAAACTAGACAGAATCATTCCCACAAACTGCGTTGTGATGTGTTCGTTCAACTCACAGAGTTTAACCTTTCTTTTCATAGAGCAGTGAGGAAACAGTCTGTTTGTCAATTCTGTAAGTGGATATTCTGACATCTTGTGGCCTTAGTTGGAAACGGGATTTCTTCATATTCTGCTAGACAGAAGAATTCTTAGAAACTTCCTTGTGTTGTGTGTTTTCAACTCACAGAGTTGAACGATCCTTTACACAGAGCAGACTTGAAACACTCCTTTTGTGGAATTTGCAAGTGGAGATTTCAGCCGCTTTGAGGTCAATGGTAGAATAGGAAATATCTTCCTATAGAAAGTAGACAGAATGATTCTCAGAAACTCCTTTGTGATGTGTGCGTTCAACTCACAGAGTTTAACCTTTCTTTTCATAGAGCAGTTAGGAAACACTCTGTTTGTAAAGTCTGCAAGTGGATATTCAGACCTCCCTGAGGCCTTCGTTGGAAACGGGATTTCTTCATATTCTGCTACACAGAAGAATTCCCAGTAACTTCCTTGTGTTGTGTGTGTTCAACTCACAGAGTTGAACTTTCATTTACACAGAGCAGATTTGAAACACTCGTTTTGTGGAATTTGCAAGTGGAGATTTCAAGCGCTTTGAGGCCAAAGGCAGAAAAGGAAATATCTTCGTATAAAAACTAGACAGAATCATTCTCAGAAACTGCTCTGTGATGTGTGCGTTCAACTCTCAGAGTTTAACTTTTCTTTTCATTTAGCAGTTTGGAAACACTCTGTTTGTAAAGTCTGCACGTGGATAATTTGACCACTTAGAGGCCTTCGTTGGAAACGGGTTTTTTTCATGTAAGGCTAGACAGAAGAATTCCAAGTAACTTCCTTGTGTTGTGTACATTCAACTCACAGAGTTGAACGTTCCCTTAGACAGAGCAGATTTGAAACACTCTTTTTGTGCAATTGGCAAATGTAGATTTCAAGCGCTTTAAGGTCAATGGCAGAAAAGGAAATATCTTCGTTTCAAAACTAGACAGAATCATTCCCACAAACTGCGTTGTGATGTGTTCGTTCAGCTCACAGAGTTTAACCTTTCTTTTCATAGAGCAGTTAGGAAACAGTCTGTTTGTCAATTCTGTAAGTGGATATTCTGACATCTTGTGGCCTTCGTTGGAAACGGGATTTCTTCATATTCTGCTAGACAGAATAATTCTCAGTAAATTCCTTGTGCTGTGTGTATTCAACTCACAGAGTTGAACGATCCTTTACAGAGAGCAGACTTGAAACACTCTTTTTGTGGAATTTGCAAGTGGAGATTTCAGCCGCTTGGAGGTCAATGGTAGAATAGGAAATATCTTCCTATAGAAACTAGACAGAATGATTCTCAGAAACTCCTTTGTGATGTGTGCGTTCAACTCACAGAGTTTAACCTTTCTTCTCATAGAGCAGTTAGGAAACACTCTGTTTATAAAGGCTGCAAGTGGATATTCAGAACCCTTTGAGGCGTTCGTTGGAAACGGGATTTCTTCATATTATGCTAGACAGAAGAATTCCCAGTAACTTCCTTGTGTTGTGTGTGTTTAACTCACAGAGTTGAACTTTCATTTACACAGAGCAGATTTGAAACACTCTTTTTGTGGAATTTGCAGGTGGAGATTTCAAGCGCTTTGAGGCCAAAGGCAGAAAAGGAAATATCTTCGTATAAAAACTAGACAGAATCATTCTCAGAAACTGCTCTGCGATGTGTGGGTTCAACTCTCAGAGTTTAACTTTTCTTTTCATTCAGCAGTTTGGAAACACTCTGTTTGTAAAGTCTGCACGTGGATATTTTGACCACTTAGAGGCCTTCGTTGGAAACGGGTTTTTTTCCTGTAAGGCTAGACAGAAGAATTCCCAGTAACTTTCCTTGTGTTGTGTGCATTCAACTCACAGAGATGAACGTTCGCTTAGACAGAGCAGATTTGAAACACTCTATTTGTGCAATTTGCAAGTGTAGATTTCAAGCGCTTTAAGGTCAATGGCAGAAAAGGAAATATCTTCGTTTCAAAACTAGACAGAATCATTCCCACAAACTGCGTTGTGATGTGTTCGTTCAACTCACAGAGTTTAACCTTTCTGTTCATAGAGCAGTTAGGAAACACTCTGTTTGTAAAGTCTGTAAGTGGATATTCTGACATCTTGTGGCCTTCGTTGGAAACGTGATTTCTTCATATTCTGCTAGACAGAAGAATTCTCAGAATCTTCCTTGTGTTGTGTGTATTCAACTCACAGAGTTGAACGATCCTTTACACAGAGCAGACTTGAAACACTCTTTTTGTGGAATTTGCAAGTGGAGATTTCAGCCGCTTTGAGGTCCATGGTAGAAAACGAAATATCTTCGTATAAAAACTAGACAGAATGATTCTCAGAAACTCCTTTGTGATGTGTGCGTCCAAGTCACAGAGTTTAACCTTTCTTTTCATAGAGCAGTTAGGAAACACTCTGTTTGTAAAGTCTGCAAGTGGATATTCAGACCTCTTTGAGGCCTTCGTTGGAAACGGGATTTCTTCATATTCTGCTAGACAGAAGAATTCTCAGAATCTTCCTTGTGTTGTGTGTATTCAACTCACAGAGTTGAACGATGGTTTACACAGAGCAGATTTGAAACACTCTTTTTGTGGAATCTGCAAGTGGAGATTTCAGCCGCTTTGAGGTCAATGGTAGAAAAGGAAATATCTTCGTATAAAAACTAGACAGAATGATTCTCAGAAACTCCTTTGTGATGTGTGCGTTCAACTCACAGAGTTTAACCTTTCTTTTAATAGAGCATTTAGGAAACACTCTGTTTGTAAAGTCTGCAAGTGGATAATCAGACCTCTTTGAGGCCTTCGTTAGAAACGGGATTTCTTCATATTCTGCTAGACAGAAGAATTCCCAATAACTTCCTTGTGTTGTGTGTGTTCAACTCACAGAGTTGAACTTTCATTTACACAGAGCAGATTTGAAACACTCTTTTTGTGGAATTTGCAAATGGAGATTTCAAGCGCTTTGAGGCCAAAGGCAGAAAAGGAAATATCTTCGTATACAAAATACACAGAATCATTCTCAGAAACTGCTGCGTGATGTGTGCGTTCAACTCTCAGAGTTTAACTTTTCTTTTCATTCAGCGGTTTGGAAACACTCTGTTTGTAAAGTCTGCACGTGGATATTTTGACCACTTAGAGACCTTCGTTGGAAACGGGTTTTTTTCATGTAAGGCTAGACAGAAGAATTCCCAGTAACTTCCTTGTGTTGTGCGCATTCAACTCACAGAGTTGAACGTTCCCTTAGACAGAGCAGATTTGAAACAGCCTATTTGTGCAATTTGCAAGTGTACATTTCAAGCACTTTAAGGTCAACGGCAGAAAAGGAAATATCTTCCTTTCAAAACTAGACAGAATCATTCCCACAAACTGCGTTGTGATGTGTTCGTTCAACTCACAGAGTTTAACCTTTCTTTTCATAGAGCAGTTAGGAAACAGTCTGTTTGTAAATTCTGTAAGTGGATATTCTGACATCTTGTGGCCTTCGTTGGAAAAGGGATTTCTTCATATTCTGCTAGACAGAAGAATTCTCAGTAACTTCCTTGTGTTGTGTGTATTCAACTCACAGAGTTGAACGATCCTTTACACAGAGCAGACTTGAAACACTCTTTTTGTGGAATTTGCAAGTGGAGATTTCAGCCGCTGTGAGGTCAATAGTAGAAAAGGAAATATCTTCGTAGAAAAACTAGACAGAATGATTCTCAGAAACTCCTTTGTGATGTGTGTGTTCAACTCACAGAGTTTAACCTTTCTTTTCATAGAGCAGTTAGGAAACACTCTGTTTGTAATGTCTGCAAGTGGATATTCAGACCTCTTTGAGGACTTCGTTGGAAACGGGTTTTTTTCATATAAGGCTAGACAGAAGAATTCCCAATAACTTCCTTGTGTTGTGTGTGTTCAACTCACAGAGTTGAACTTTCATTTACACAGAGCAGATTTGAAACACTCTTTTTGTGGAATTTGCAAATGGAGATTTCAAGCGCTTTGAGGCCAAAGGCAGAAAAGGAAATATCTTCGTATAAAAACTACACAGAATCATTCTCAGAAACTGCTCTGCGATGTGTGCGTTCAACTCTCAGAGTTTAACTTTTCTTTTGATTCAGCAGTTTGGAAACACTCTGTTTGTAAAGTCTGCACGTGGATATTTTGACCACTTAGAGGCCTTCGTTGGAAACGGGTTTCTTTCCTGTAAGGCTAGACAGAAGAATTCCCAGTAACTTCCTTGTGTTGTGTAAATTCAACTCACAGAGTTGAACGTTCCCTTAGACAGAGCAGATTTGAAACACTCTTTTTGTGCAATTGGCAAGTGGAGATTTCAAGCGCTTTAAGGTCAATGGCAGAAAAGGAAATATCTTCGTTTCAAAACTAGACAGAATCATTACCACAAACTGCGTTGTGATGTGTTCGTTCATCTCACAGAGTTTAACCTTTCTTTTCATAGAGCAGTTAGGAAACAGTCTGTTTGTAAATTCTGTAAGTGGATATTCTGACATCTTGTGGCCTTCGTTGGAAACGGGATTTCTTCATATTCTGCTAGACAGAAGAATACTCAGTAACTTCCTTGTGTTGTGTGTATTCAACTCACAGAGTTGAACGATCCTTTACACAGAGCAGACTTGAAACACTCTTTTTGTGGAATTTGCAAGTGGAGATTTCAGCCGCTTTGAGGTCAATAGTAGAAAAGGAAATATCTTCCTAGAAAAACTAGACAGAATGATTCTCAGAAACTCCTTTGTGATGTGTGCGTTCAACTCACAGAGTTTAACATTTCTTTTCATAGAGCAGTTAGGAAACACTCTGTTTGTAAAGTCTGCAAGTGGATATTCAGACCTCTTTGAGGCCTTCTTTGGAAACGGGTTTTTTTCATATAAGGCTAGACAGAAGAATTCCCAGTAACTTCCTTTTGTTGTGTGTGTTCAACTCACAGAGTTGAACTTTCACTTACACAGAGCAGATTTGAAACACTCTTTTTGTGGAATTTGCAAGTGGAGATTTCAAGCGCTTTGAGGCCAAAGGCAGAAAAGGAAATATCTTCGTATAAAAACTAGACAGAATCATTCTCAGAAACCGCTCTGTGATGTGTGTGTTCAACTCTCAGAGTTTAACTTTTCTTTCCATTCAGCAGTTTGGAAACACTCTGTTTGTAAAGTCTGCACGTGGATATTTTGACCACTTAGAGGTCTTCGTTGGAAACGGGTTTTTTTCATGTAAGGCTAGACAGAAGAATTCCCAGTAACTTCCTTGTGTTGTGTGCATTCTACTCAGAGAGTTGAACGTTCCCTTAGACAGAGCAGATTTGAAACACTCTATTTGTGCAAATTGCAAGTGTAGATTTCAAGCGCTTTAAGGTCAATGGCAGAAAAGGGAATATCTTCGTTTCAAAACTAGACAGAATCATTCCCTCAAACTGCGTTGTGATGTGTTCGTTCAACTCACAGAGTTTAACCTTTCTGTTCATAGAGCAGTTAGGAAACTCTCTGTTTGTAAAGTCTGTAAGTGGATATTCTGACATCTTGTGGCCTTCGTTGGAAACGGGATTTCTTCATATTCTGCTAGACAGAAGAATTCTCAGTAACTTCCTTGTGTTGTGTGTATTCAACTCACAGAGTTGAACGATTCTTTACACAGAGCAGACTTGAAACACTCTTTTTGTGGAATTTGCAAGTGGAGATTTCAGCCGCTTTGAGGTCAATGGTAGAAAAGGAAATATCTTCGTATAAAGAGTAGACAGAATGATTCTCATAAACTCCTTTGTGATGTGTGCGTTCAACTCACAGAGTTTAACTTTTCTTTTCATAGAGCAGTTAGGAAACACTCTGTTTGTAAAGTCTGCAAGTGGATATTCAGACCTCTTTGAGGCCTTCGTTGGAAACGGGATTTCTTCATATTTTGCTAGACAGAAGAATTCTCAGTAACTTCCTTGTGTGGTGTGTATTCAACTGACAGAGTTGAACTTTCATTTAGAGAGAGCAGATTTGAAACACTGTTTTTGTGGAATTTGCAAGTGGAGATTTCAAGCGCTTTGGGGCCAAAGGCAGAAAAGGAAATATCTTCGTATAAAAAGTAGACAGAATCATTCTCAGAAAATCCTCTGTGATGTGTGCGTTCAACTCTCAGAGTTTAACTTTTCTTTTCATTCAGCAGTTTGGAAACACTCTGTTTGTAAAGTCTGCACGTGGATATTTTGACCACTTAGAGGCCTTCGTTGGAAACGGGTTTTTTCATGTAAGGGTAGACAGAAGAAATCCCAGTAACTTCCTTGTGTTGTGTGCATTCAACTCACAGAGTTGAACGTTCCCTTAGACAGAGCAGATTTGAAACACTCTATTTGTGCAATTTGCAAGTGTAGATTTCAAGTGCTTTAAGGTCAACGGCAGAAAAGGAAATATCTTCGTTTCAAAACTAGACAGAATCATTCTCAGAAACTGCTCTGCGATGTGTGCGTTCAACTCTCAGAGTTTAACTTTTCTTTTCATTCAGCAGTGTGGAAAAACTCTGTTTGTTAAGTCTGCACGTGGATATTTTGACCACTTAGAGGCCTTCGTTGGAAACGGGTTTTTTTCCTGTAAGGCTAGACAGAAGAATTCTCAGTAACTTCCTTGTGCTGTGTGTATTCAACTCACAGAGTTGAACGATCCTTTACAGAGAGCAGACTTTAAACACTCTTTTTGTGGAATTTGCAAGTGGAGACTTCAGCCGCTTTGAGGTCAATGGTAGAAAAGGAAATATCTTCGTATAAAGACTAGACAGAAAGATTCTCAGAAACTCCTTTGTGATGTGTGCGTTCAACTCACAGAGTTTAACCTTTCTTTTCATAGAGCAGTTAGGAAACACTCTGTTTCTAAAGTCTGCAAGTGGATATTCAGACCTCTTTGAGGCCTTCGTTGGAAACGGGTTTTTTTCATATAAGGCTAGACAGAAGAATTCCCAGTAACTTCCATGTGTTGTGTGTGTTCAACTCAGAGAGTTGAACTTTCATTTACACTGAGCAGATTTGAAACACTCTTTTTGTAGAATTTGCAAATGGAGATTTCAAGCGCTTTGAGGCCAGAGGCAGAAAAGGAAATATCTTCGTATAAAAACTAGACAGAATCATTCTCAGAAACTGCTCTGCGATGTGTGCGTTCAACTCTCAGAGTTTAACTTTTCTTTTCATTCAGCAGTTTGGAAACACTCTGTTTGTAAAGTCTGCACGTGGATAATTTGACCACTTAGAGGTCTTCGTTGGAAACGGGTTTTTTTCATGTAAGGCTAGACAGAAGAATTCCCAGTAACTTCCTTGTGTTGTGTGCATTCAACTCACAGAGTTGAACGTTCCCTTAGACAGAGCAGATTTGAAACACTCTATTTGTGCAATTTGCAAGTGTAGTTTTCAAGCTCTTTAAGGTCAACGGCAGAAAAGGAAATATCTTGGTTTCAAAACTAGACAGAATCATTCCCACAAACTGCGTTGTGATGTTTTCGTTCAACTCACAGAGTTTAACCTTTCTGTTCATAGAGTAGTTAGGAAACACTCTGTTTGTAAAGTCTGTAAGTGGATATTCTGACATCTTGTGGCCTTCGTTGGAAACGGGATTTCTTCATATTCTGCTAGACAGAAGAATTCTCAGTAACTTCCTTGTGTTGTGTGTATTCAACTCACAGAGTTGAACGATCCTTTACACAGAGCGGACTTGAAACACTCTTTTTGTGGAATTTGCAAGTGGAGATTTTAGCCGATTTGAGGTCAATGGTAGAATAGGAAATATCTTCCTATAGAAACAAGACAGATAGATTCTCAGAAACTCCTTTGTGATGTGTGCGTTCAACTCACAGAGTTTAACCTTTCTTTTCATAGAGCAGTTAGGAAACACTCTGTTTGTAAAGTCTGCAAGTGGATATTCAGACCTCTTTGGGGCCTTCGTTGGAAACGGGTTTTTTTCATATAAGGCTAGACAGAAGAATTCTCAGTAACTTCCTTGTGTTGTGTGTATTCAACTGACAGAGTTGAACTTTCATTTAGAGAGAGCAGATGTGAAACACTGTTTTTGTGGAATTTGCAAGTGGAGATTTCAAGCGCTTTGGGGCCAAAGGCAGAAAAGGAAATATCTTCGTATAAAAACTAGACAGAATCATTCTCAGAAACTGCTGCGTGATGTGTGCGTTCAACTCTCAGAGTTTAACTTTTCTTTTCATTCAGCGGTTTGGAAACACTCTGTTTGTAAAGTCTGCACGTGGATATTTTGACCACTTAGAGGCCTTCGTTGGAATCGGGTTTTTTGCATGTAAGGCTAGACAGAAGAATTCTTAGTAACTTCCTTGTGTTGTGTGTATTCAACTCACAGAGTTGAACGATCCTTTACACAGAGCAGACTTGTAACACTCTTTTTGTGGAATTTGCAAGTGGAGATTTCAGCCGCTTTGAAGTCAAAGGTAGAAAAGGAAATATCTTCCTATAAAAACTAGACAGAATCATTCCCACAAACTGCGTTGTGATGTGTTCGTTCAACTCACAGAGTTTAACCTTTCTGTTCATAGAGCAGTTAGGAAACACTCTGTTTGTAAAGTCTGTAAGTGGATATTCAGACATCTTGTGGCCTTCGTTGGAAACGGGATTTGTTCATATTCTGCTAGACAGAATAATTCTCAGTAACTTCCTTGTGTTGTGTGTATTCAACTCACAGTAGTTGAAGGATCCTTTACAGACAGCAGGCTTGAAACACTCTTTTTGTCGAATTTGCAAGTGGAGATTTCAGCCGCTTTGTGGTCAATGGTAGAATACGAAACATCTTCTTATAGAAACTAGACAAAATGATTCTCAGAAACTCCTTTGTGATGTGTGCGATCAACTCACAGAGTTTAACCTTTCTTTTCATAGAGCAGTTAGGAAACACTCTGTTTGTAAAGTCTGCAAGTGGATATTCAGACCTCTTTGAGGCCTTCGTTGGAAACGGGTTGTTTTCATATAAGGCTAGACAGAAGAATTCCCAGTAACTTCCTTGTGTTGTGTGTGTTCAACTCACAGAGTTGAACTTTCATTTACACAGAGCAGATTGGAAACACTCTTTTTGTGGAATTTGCAAGTGGAGATTTCAAGCGCTTTGAGGCCAAAGGCTGAAAAGGAAATATCTTCGTATAAAAACTAGACAGAATCATTCTCAGAAACTACTCTGCGATGTTTGCGTTCAACTCTCAGAGTTTAACTTTTCTTTTCATTCAGCAGTTTGGAAACACTCTGTTTGTAAAGTCTGCACATGGATATTTTGACCACTTAGAGGCCTTCGTTGGAAACGGGTTTCTTTCCTGTAAGGCTAGACAGAAGAATTCCCAGTAACTTCCTTGTGTTGTGTGCATTCAACTCACAGAGTTGAACGTTCCCTTAGACAGAGCAGATTTGAAACACTCTATTTGTACAATTTGCAAGTGTAGATTTCAAGCGCTTTAAGGTCAACGGCAGAAAAGGAAATATCTTCGTTTCAAAACTAGACAGAATCATTCCCACAAACTGCATTGTGATGTGTTCGTTCAACTCACAGAGTTTAACCTTTCTGTTCATAGAGCAGTTAGGAAACACTCTGTTTGTAAAGTCTGCAAGTGCATATTCAGACCTCTTTGAGGCCTTCGTTGGAAACGTTATTTCTTCATATTATGCTAGACAGAAGAATTCTCAGTAACTTCCTTGTGTTGTGTGTATTCAACTCACAGAGTTGAACGATCCTTTAAACAGAGCAGACTTGAAACACTCTTTTTGTGGAATTTGCAAGTGGAGATTTCAGCCGCTTTGAGGTCAATGGTAGAAAAGGAAATATCTTCGTATAGAAACAAGACAGAATGATTCTCAGAAACTCCTTTGTGATGTGTGCGTTCAACTCACAGAGTTTAACCTTTCTTTGCATAGAGCACTTAGGAAACACTCTGTTTGTAAAGTCTGCAAGTGGATATTCAGACCTCTTTGAGGCCTTCGTTGGAAACGGGTTTTTTTCATATAAGGCTAGACAGAAGAATTCTCAGTAACTTCCTTGTGTTGTGTGTATTCAACTGACAGAGTTGAACTTTCATTTAGAGAGAGCAGATTTGAAATACTGTTTTTGTGGAATTTGCAAGTGGAGATTTCAAACGCTTTGGGGCCAAAGGCAGAAAAGGAAATATCTTCGTATGAAAACTAGACAGAATCATTCTCAGAAACTGCTGTGTGATGTGTGCGTTCAACTCTCAGAGTTTAACTTTTCTTTTCATTCAGCGGTTTGGAAACACTCTGTTTGTAAAGTCTGCACGTGGATATTTTGACCACTTAGAGCCCTTCGTTGGAAACGGGATTTTTTCATGTAAGGCTAGACAGAAGAATTCCCAGTAACTTCCTTGTGTTGTGTGCATTCAACTCACAGAGTTGAACGTTCTCTTAGACAGAGCAGATTTGAAACACTCTATTTGTGCAATTTGCAAGTGTAGATTTCAAGCGCTTTAAGGTCAATGGCAGAAAAGGAAATATCTTCGTTTCAAAACTAGACAGAATCATTCCCACAAACTGCGTTGTGATGTGTTCGTTCAACTCACAGAGTTTAACCTTTCTGTTCATAGAGCAGTTAGGAAACACGCTCTTTGTAAAGTCCGTAAGTGGATATTCTGACATCTTCTGGCCTTCGTTGGAAACGGGATTTCTTCATATTCCGCTAGACAGAAGAATTCTCAGTAACTTCCTTGTGTTGTGTGTATTCAACTCACAGATTTGAACGATCCTTTACACAGAGCAGACTTGAAACACTCTTTTTGTGGAATTTGCAAGTGGAGATTTCAGCCGCTTTGAGGTCAATGGTAGAAAAGGAAATATCTTCGTATAAAAACTAGACAGAATGATTCTCAGAAACTTCTTTGTGATGTGTGCGTTCAACTCACAGAGTTTAACCTTTCTATTCATAGAGCAGTTAGGAAACACTCTGTTTGTAAACTCTGCAAGTGGATATTCAGACCTCTTTGAGGCCTTCGTTGGAAACGGGATTTCTTCATACTGTGCTAGACAGAAGAATTCTCAGTAACTTCCTTGTGTTGTGTGTATTCCACTCACAGAGTTGAACTTTCATTTAGAGAGAGCAGATTTGCAACACTGTTTTTGTGGAATTTGCAAATGGAGATTTCAAGCGCTTTGGGGCCAAAGGCAGAAAAGGAAATATCTTCGTATAAAAACTAGACAGAATCATTCTCAGAAACTGCTCTGCGCTGTGTGCGTTCAACTCTCAGAGTTTAACTTTTCTTTTCATTCAGCAGTTTGGAAACACTCTGTTTGTAAAGTCTGCACGTGGATAACTTGACCACTTAGAGGCCTTCGTTGGAAACGGGTTTTTTTCCTGTAAGGCTAGACAGAAGAATTCCCAGTAACTTCCTTGTGTTGTGTGCATTCAACTCACAGAGTTGAACGTTCCCTTAGACAGAGCAGATTTGAAACACTCTATTTGTGCAATTTGCAAGTGTAGTTTTCAAGCTCTTTAAGGTCAACGGCAGAAAAGGAAATATCTTCGTTTCAAAACTAGACAGAATCATTCCCACAAACTGCGTTGTGATGTGTTCGTTCAACTCACAGAGTTTAACCTCTCTGTTCATAGAGCAGTTAGGAAACACTCTGTTTGTAAAGTCTGTAAGTGGATATTCTGACATCTTGTGGCCTTCGTTGGAAACGGGATTTCTTCATATTCTGCTAGACAGAAGAATTCTCAGAAACTTCCTGGTGTTGTGTGTTTTCAACTCACAGAGTTCAACGATCCTTTACACAGAGTAGACTTGAAACACTCTTTTTGTGGAATTGGCAAGTGGAGATTTCAGCCGCTTTGAGGTAAAGGGTAGAAAAGGAAATATCTTCGTACAAAAACTAGACAGAATGATTCTCAGAAACTCCTTTGTGATGTGTGCGTTCAACTCACGGAGTTTACCCTTTCTTTTCATAGAGCAGTTAGGAAACACTCTGTTTGTAAAGTCTGCAAGTGGATATTCAGACATCCTTGAGGCTTTCGTTGGAAACGGGATTTCTTCATATTCTGCTAGAAAGAAGAATTCCCAGTAACTTACCTTGTGTTGTGTGTGTTGAACTCACAGAGTTGAACTTTCATTTACACAGAGCAGATTTGAAACACTCTTTTTGTGGAATTTGCAAGTGGAGATTTCAAGCGCTTTCAGGCCAAAGGCAGAAAAGGAAATATCTTCGTATAAAAACTAGACAGAATCATTCTCAGCAAACTGCTCTGCGATGTGTGCATTCAACTCTCAGAGTTTAACTTTTCTTTTCATTCAGCAGTTTGGAAACACTCTGTTTGTAAAGTCTGCACGTGGATAACTTGACCACTTAGAGGCCTTCGTTGGAAACGGGTTTTTTTCATGTAAGGCTAGACAGAAGAATTCCCAGTAACTTCCTTGTGTTGTGTACATTCAACTCACAGAGTTGAACGTTCCCTTAGACAGAGCAGATTTGAAACACTCTTTTTGTGCAATTGGCAAGTGGAGATTTCAAGCGCTTTAAGGTCAATGGCAGAAAAGGAAATATTTTCGTTTCAAAACTAGACAGAATCATTCCCACAAACTGCGTTGTGATGTGTTGGTACAACTCACAGAGTTTAACCTTTCTGTTCATAGAGCAGTTAGGAAACACTCTGTTTGTAAAGTCTGTAAGTGGATATTCAGACATCCTGTGGCCTTCGTTGGAAACGGGATTTCTTCATATTCTGCTAGACAGAAGAATTCTCAGTAACTTCCTTGTGTTGTGTGTATTCAACTCACAGAGTTCAACGATCCTTTACACAGAGCAGTCTTGAAACACTCTTTTTGTGGAATTTGCAAGTGGAGATTTCTGACGCTTTGAGGTCAATGGTAGAATAGGAAATATCTTCCTATAGAAACTAGACAGAATGATTCTCAGAAACTCCTTTGAGATGTGTGTGTTCAACTCACAGAGTTTAACCTTTCTTTTCATAGAGCAGTTAAGAATCACTCTGTTTGTAAAGTCTGCAAGTGGATATTCAGACCTCTTTGAGGCCTTCGTTGGAAACGGGTTTTTTTCATATAAGGCTAGACAGAAGAATTCTCAGAAACTTCCTTGTGTTGTGTGTTTTCAACTCACAGAGTTGAACGATCCTTTACACAGAGCAGACTTGAAACTCTCTTTTTGTGGAATTTGCAATTGGAGATTTCAGCCGCTTTGAGGTCAATGGTAGAATAGGAAATACCTTCCTATAGAAACTAGACAGAATGATTCTCAGAAACTCCTTTGTGATGTGTGCGTTGAACTCACAGAGTTTAACCTTTCTTTTCATAGAGCAGTTAGGAAACACTCTGTTTGTAAAGTCTGCAAGTGGATATTCAGACATCTTTGAGGCTTTCGTTGGAAACGGGATTTCTTCATATTCTGCTAGACAGAAGAATTCCCAGTAACTTCCTTGTGTTGTGTGTGTTCAACTCACAGAGTTGAACTTTCATTTACACAGAGCAGATTTGAAACACTCTTTTTGTGGAATTTGCAAGTGGAGATTTCAAGCGCTTTGAGGCCAAAGGCAGAAAAGGAAATACCTTCGTATAAAAACTAGACAGAATCATTCTCAGAAACTGCTCTGCGATGTGTGCGTTCAACTCTCAGAGTTTAACTTTTCTTTTCATTCAGCAGTTTGGAAACACTCTGTTTGTAAAGTCTGCACGTGGATATTTTGACCACTTAGAGGCCTTCGTTGGAAACGGGTTTTTTTCCTGTAATGCTAGACAGAAGAATTCCCAGTAACTTCCTTGTGTTGTGTGAATTCAACTCACAGAGTTGAACGTTCCCTTAGACAGAGCAGATTTGAAACACTCTATTTGTGCAATTTGCAAGTGTAGATTTCAAGCGCTTTAAGGTCAACGCCAGAAAAGGAAATATCTTCATTTCAAAACTAGACAGAATCATTCCCACAAACTGCGTTGTGATGTGTTCGTTCAACTCACAGAGTTTAACCTTTCTGTTCATAGAGCAGTTAGGAAACACTCTGTTTGTAAAGTCTGTAAGTGGATATTCAGACATCTTGTGGCCTTCGTTGGAAACAGGATTTCTTCATATTCTGCTAGACAGAAGAATTCTCAGAATCTTCCTTGTGTTGTGTGTATTCAACTCACACGGTTGAACGATCCTTTACACAGAGCAGATTTGAAACACTCATTTGGTGGAATTTGCAAGTGGAGATTTCAGCCGCTTTGAGGTCAATGGTAGAAAAGGAAATATCTTCGTATAACAACTAGACAGAATGATTCTCAGAAACTCCTTTGTGATGTGTGCGTTCAACTCACAGAGTTTAACCTTTCTTTTCATAGAGCAGTTAGGAAACACTCTGTTTGTAAAGTCTGCAAGTGGATATTCAGACCTCCTTGAGGTCTTCGTTGGAAACGGGTTTTTTTCATATAAGGCTAGACAGAAGAATTCCCAGTAACTTCCTTGTGTTGTGTGTGTTCAACTCACAGAGTTGAACTTTCATTTACACAGAGCAGATTTGAAACACTCTTTTTGTGGAATATGTAAGTGGAGATTTCAAGCGCTTTGAGGCCAAAGGCAGAAAAGGAAATATCTTCGTTTCAAAACTAGACAGAATCATTCTCAGAAACTGCTGCGTGATGTGTGCGTTCAACTCTCAGAGTTTAACTTTTCTTTTCATTCAGCGGTTTGGAAACACTCTGTTTGTAACATCTGTACGTGGATATTTTGACCACTTAGAGGCCTTCGTTGGAAACGGGTTTTTTTCATGTAAGGCTAGACAGAAGAATTCCCAGTAACTTCCTTGTGTTGTGTGCATTCAACTCACAGAGTTGAACGTTCCCTTAGACAGAGCAGATTTGAAACACTCTATTTGAGCAATTTGCAAGTGTAGTTTTCAAGCTCTTTTAGGTCAACGGCAGAAAAGGAAATATCTTGGTTTCAAAACTAGACAGAATCATTCCCACAAACTGCGTTGTGATGTGTTCGTTCAACTCACAGCGTTTTACCTTTCTGTTCATAGAGCAGTTAGGAAACACTCTGTTTGTCAAGTCTGTAAGTGGATATTCTGACATCTTGTGGCCTTCGTTGGAAATGGGATTTCTTCATATTCTGCTAGACAGAAGAATTCTCAGTAACTTCCTTGTGTTGTGTGTATTCAACTCACAGAGTTGCACGATCCTTTACACAGAGCAGACTTGAAACAATCTTTTTGTGGAATTTGCAAGTGGAGATTTCAGCCGCTTTGAGTTCAATGGTAGAATAGGAAATATCTTCCTATAGAAACTAGACAGAATCATTCCCACAAACTGCGTTGTGATGTGTTCGTTCAACTCACAGAGTTTAACCTTTCTGTTCATAGAGCAGTTAGGAAACACCCTGTTTGTAAAGTCTGCAAGTGGATATTCAGACCTCTTTGAGGCCTTCGTTGGAAACGGGATTTCTTCATATTATGCTAGACAGAAGAATTCTCAGTAACTTCCTTGTGTTGTGTGTATTCAACTGACAGAGTTGAACTATCATTTAGAGAGAGCAGATTTGAAACACTGTTTTTGTGGAATTTGCAAGTGGAGATTTCAAGCGCTTTGGGGCCAAAGGCAGAAAAGGAAATATCTTCGTATAAAAACTAGACAGAATCATTCTCAGAAACTGCTCTGCGATGTGTGCGTTCAACTCTCAGAGTTTAACTTTTCTTTTCATTCAGCAGTTTGGAAACACTCTGTTTGTAAAGTCTGCACGTGGATATTTTGACCACTTAGAGGCCTTCGTTGGAAACGGGTTTTTTTCCTGTAAGGCTAAACAGAAGAATTCCCAGTAACTTCCTTGTGTTGTGTACATTCAACTCACAGAGTTGAACGTTCACTTAGACAGAGCAGATTTGAAACACTCTTTTTGTGCAATTGGCAAATGGAGATTTCAAGCGCTTTAAGGTCAATGGCAGAAAAGGAAATATCTTCGTTTCAAAACTAGACAGAATCATTCCCACAAACTGCGTTGTGATGTGTTCGTTCAACTCACAGAGTTTAACCTTTCTTTTCATAGAGCAGTTAGGAAACAGTCTGTTTGTCAATTCTGTAAGTGGATATTCTGACATCTTGTGACCTTCGTTGGAAACGGGATTTCTTCATATTCTGCTAGACAAAAGAATTCTCAGTAACTTCCTTGTGTTGTGTTTATTCAACTCACAGAGTTGAATGATCCTTTACACAGAGCAGACTTGAAACACTCTTTTTGTGGAATTTGCAAGTGGAGATTACAGCCGCTTTGAGGTCAATGGTAGAAAAGTAAATATCTTCGTATAAAGACTAGACAGAATGATTCTCAGAAACTCCTTTGTGATGTGTGGGTTCAACTCACAGAGTTTAACCTTTCTTTTTCATAGAGCAGTTAGGAAACACTCTGTTTGTAAAGTCTGCAAGTGGATATTCAGACCTCGTTGAGGCCTTCGTTGGAAACGGGATTTCTTCATATTCTGCTAGACAGAAGAATTCTCAGTAACTTCCTTGTGTTGTGTTTATTCAACTCACAGAGTTGAATGATCCTTTACACAGAGCAGACTTGAAACACTCTTTTTGTGGAATTTGCAAGTGGAGATTTCAGCCGCTTTGCGGTCAATGGTAGAAAAGTAAATATCTTCGTATAAAGACTAGACAGAATCATGCTCAGAAACTGCTCTGCGATGTGTGCGTTCAACTCTCAGAGTTTAACTTTTCTTTTCATTCAGCAGTTTGGAAACACTCTGTTTGTAAAGTCTGCACGTGGATAATTTGACCACTTAGAGGCCTTCGTTGGAAACGGGTTTTTTTCATGTAAGGCTAGACAGAAGAATTCCCAGTAACTTCCTTGTGTTGTGTGCATTCAACTCACAGAGTTGAACGTTCCCTTTGACAGAGCAGATTTGAAACACTGTATTTGTGCAATTTGCAAGTGTAGATTTCAAGCGCTTTAAGGTCAATGGCAGAAAAGGAAATTTCTTCGTTTCAAAACTAGACAGAATCATTCCCACAAACTGCGTTGTGATGTGCTCGTTCATCTCACAGAGTTTAACCTTTCTTTTCATAGAGCAGTTAGGAAACACTCTGTTTGTAAATTCTGTAAGTGGATATTCTGACATCTTGTGGCCTTCGCTGGAAACGGGATTTCTTCATATTCTGCTAGACAGAAGAATTCTCAGTAACTTCCCTTGTGTTGTGTGTATTCAACTCACAGAGTTGAACGATCCTTTACACAGAGCAGACTTGAAACACTCTTTTTGTGGAATTTGCAAGTGGAGATTTCAGCCGCTTTGAGGTCAATGGTAGAATAGGAAATATCTTCCTATAGAAAGTAGACAGAATGATTCTCAGAAACTCCTTTGTGATGTGTGCGTTCAACTCACAGAGTTTAACCTTTCTTTTCATAGAGCAGTTAGGAAACACTCTGTAAAGTCTGCAAGTGGATATTCAGACATCTTTGAGGCCTTCGTTGGAAACGGGATTTCTTCATATTATGCTAGACAGAAGAATTCTCAGTAACTTCCTTGTGTTGTGTGTATTCAACTGACAGAGTTGAACTTTCATTTAGAGAGAGCAGATTTGAAACACTGTTTTTGTGGAATTTGCAAGTGGAGATTTCAATCGCTTTGGGGCCAAAGGCAGAAAAGGAAATATCTTCGTATAAAAACTAGACAGAATCATTCTCAAAAACTGCTGCGTGATGTTTGCGTTCAACTCTCAGAGTTTAACTTTTCTTTTCATTCAGCGGTTTGGAAACACTCTGTTTGTAAAGTCTGCACGTGGATATTTTGACCACTTAGAGGCCTTCGTTGGAAACGGGTTTTTTTCATGTAAGGCTAGACAGAAGAATTCCCAGTAACTTCCTTGTGTTGTGTGCATTCAACTCACAGAGTTGAACGTTCCCTTAGACAGAGCAGATTTGAAACACTCTATTTGTGCAATTTGCAAGTGTAGATTTCAAGCGCTTTAAGGTCAACGGCCGAAAAGGAAATATCTTCGTTTCAAAACTAGACAGAATCATTCCCACAAACTGCGTTGTGATGTGTTCGTTCAACTCACAGAGTTTAACCTTTCTGTTCATAGAGCAGTTAGGAAACACTCTGTAAAGTCTGTAAGTGGATATTCTGACATCTTGTGGCCTTCGTTGGAAACGGGATTTCTTCATATTCTGCTAGACAGAAGAATTCCCAGTAACTTCCTTGTGTTGTGTGTGTTCAACTCACAGAGTTGAACTTTCATTTACACAGAGCAGATTTGAAACACCCTTTTTGTGGAATTTGCAAATGGAGATTTCAGCCGCGTTGAGGTCAATGGTAGAAAAGGAAATATCTTCGTTTCAAAACTAGACAGAATGATTCTCAGAAACTCCTTTGTGATGTGTGCCTTCAACTCACAGAGTTCAACCTTTCTTTTTATAGAGCAGTTGGGAAACACTCTGTTTGTAAAGTCTGCATGTGCATATTCAGAGTTCTTTGAGGCCTTCGTTGGAAGCGGGATTTCTTCATATTCTGCTAGACAGAAGAATTCTCAGTAACTTCCTTGTGTTGTGTGTATTCAACTCACAGAGTTGAACGATCCTTTACACAGAGCAGACTTGAAACACTCTTTTTGTGGAATTTGCAATTGGAGATTTCAGCCGCTTTGAGGTCAATGGTAGAATAGGAAATATCTTCCTATAGAAACTAGACAGAATCATTCTCAGAAACTGCTCTGCGATGTGTGCGTTCAAATCTCAGAGTTTAACTTTTCTTTTCATTCAACAGTTTGAAAACACTCTGTTTGTAAAGACTGCACGTGGATATTTTGACCACTTAGAGGCCTTCGTTGGAAACGGGTTTTTTTCCTGTAAGGCTAGACAGAAGAATTCCCAGGAACTTCCTTGTGTTGTGTACATTCAACTCACAGAGTTGAACGTTCCCTTAGACAGAGCAGATTTGAAACACTCTTTTTGTGCAATTGGCAAGTGGTGATTTCAGCCTCTTTGAGGTCAATGGTAGAAAAGGAAATATCTTCGTATAAAAACTAGACAGAATCATTCCCACAAACTGCGTTGTGATGTGTTCGTTCAACTCACAGAGTTTAACATTTCTGTTCATAGAGCAGTTAGGAAACACTCTGTTTGTAAAGTCTGTAAGTGGATATTCTGACATCTTGTGGCCTTCGTTGGAAACGGGATTTCTTCATATTCTGCTAGACAGAATAATTCTCAGTAACTTCCTTGTGTTGTGTGTACTCAACTCACAGAGTTGAACGATCCTTTACAGAGAGCAGACTTGAAACACTCTTTTTGTGGAATTTGCAAGTGGAGATTTCAGCCGCTTTGAGGTCAATGGTAGAAAAGGAAATATCTTTGTATAAAGACTAGACAGAATGATTCTCAGAAACTCCTTTGTGATGTGTGCGTTCAACTCACAGAGTTTAACCTTTCTTTTCATAGAGCAGTTAGGAAACACTCTGGTTGTAAAGTCTGCAAGTGGATATTCAGACCTCTTTGAGGCCTTCGTTGGAAACGGGATTTCTTCATATTCTGCTAGACAGAAGAATTCCCAGTAACTTCCTTGTGTTGTGTGTATTCAACTCACAGAGTTGAACGATCCTTTACACAGAGCAGTCTTGAAACACTCTTTTTGTGGAATTTGCAAGTGGAGATTTCTGCCGGTTTGAGGTCAATGGTAGAATAGGAAAAAACTTCCTATAGAAACTAGACAGAATGATTCTCAGAAACTGCTGCGTGATGTGTGCGTTCAACTCTCAGAGTTTAACTTTTCTTTTCATTCAGCGGTTTGGAAACACTCTGTTTGTAAAGTCTGCACGTGGATATTTTGACCACTTAGAGGCCTTCGTTGGAAACGGGTTTTTTTCATGTAAGGCTAGACAGAAGAATTCCCAGTAACTTCCTTGTGTTGTGTACATTCAACTCACAGAGTTGAACGTTCCCTTAGACACAGCAGATTTGAAACACTCTTTTTGTGCAATTGGCAAGTGGAGATTTCAAGCGCTTTAAGGTCAATGGCAGAAAAGGAAATATCTTCGTTTCAAAACTAGACAGAATCATTCCCACAAACTGCGTTGTGATGTGTTCGTTCAACTCACAGAGTTTAACCTTTCTTTTCATAGAGCAGTTAGGAGACACTCTGTTTGTAAAGTCTGCAAGTGGATATTCAGACCTCTTTGAGGCCTTCATTGGAAACGGGATTTCTTCATATTATGATACACAGAAGAATTCTCAGTAACTTCCTTGTGTTTTGTGTATTCAACTCACAGAGTTGAACGATCCTTTACACAGAGCAGACTTGAAACACTCTTTTTGCGGAATTTGCAAGTGGAGATTTCAGCCGCTTTGAGGTCAATGGTAGAATAGGAAATATCTTCCTATAGAAACTAGACAGAATGATTCTCAGAAACTCCTTTGTGATGTGTGCGTTCAACTCACAGAGTTCAACCTTTCTTTTCATAGAGCAGTTGGGAAACACTCTGTTTGTAAAGTCTGCAAGTGGATATTCAGACTTCTTTGAGGCCTTCGTTGGAAACGGGATTTCTTCATATTATGCTAGACAGAAGAATTCTCAGTAACTTCTTGTGTTGTGTGTATTCAACTGACAGAGTTGAACTTTCATTTAGACAGATCAGATTTGAAACACTGTTTTCGTGGAATTTGCAAGTGGAGGTTTCAAGCGCTTTGAGGCCAAAGGCAGAAAAGGAAATATCTTCCTATAAAAACCAGACAGAATCATTCTCAGAAACTGCTCTGCGATGTGTGCGTTCAACTCTCAGAGTTTAACTTTGCTTTTCATTCAGCAGTTTGGAAACACTCTGTTTGTAAAGTCTGCACGTGGATAATTAGACCACTTAGAGGCCTTCGTTGGAAACGGGTTTTTTTCATGTAAGGCTAGACAGAAGAATTCCCAGTAACTTCCTTGTGTTGTGTGCATTCAACTCACAGAGTTGAACGTTCCCTTAGACAGAGCAGATTTGAAACACTCTATTTCTGCAATTTGCAAGTGTAGATTTCAAGCGCTTTAAGGTCAATGGCAGAAAAGGAAATATCTTCGTTTCAAAACTAGACAGAATCATTCCCACAAACTGCGTTGTGATGTGTTCGTTCAACTCACAGAGTTTAACCTTTCTTTTCATAGAGCAGTTAGGAAACAGTCTGTTTGTAAATTCTGTAAGTGGATATTCTGACATCTTTTGGCCTTCGTTGGAAACGGGATTTCTTCATATTCTGCTAGACAGAAGAATTCTCAGAATCTTCCTTGTGTTGTGTGTATTCCACTCACAGAGTTGAACGATGGTTTACACAGAGCAGATTTGAAACACTCTTTGTGTGGAATTTGCAAGTGGAGATTTCAGCCGCTTTGAGGTCAATGGTAGAAAAGGAAATATCTTCGTATAAAAACTAGACAGAATGATTCTCAGAAACTCCTTTGTGATGTGTGTGTTCAACTCACAGAGTTTAACCTTTCTTTTCATAGAGCAGTTAGTAAACACTCTGTTTATAAAGTCTGCAAATGGATATTCAGACCCCTTTGAGGCCTTCGTTGGAAACGGGATTTCTTCATATTATGCTAGACAGAAGAATTCCCAGTAACTTCCTTGTGTTGTGTGTGTTCAACTCACAGAGTTGAACTTTGATTTACACAGAGCAGATTTGAAACACTCTTTTTGTGGAATTTGCAAGTGGAGATTTCAAGCGCTTTGTGGCCAAAGGCAGAAAAGGAAATATCTTCGTATAAAAACTAGACAGAATGATTCTCAGAAACTCCTTTGTGATGTGTGCGTTCAACTCACAGAGTTTAACCTTTCTTTTCATTCAGCGGTTTGGAAACACTCTGTTTGTAAAGTCTGCACGTGGATATTCAGACCTCTTTGAGGCCTTCGTTGGAAACGGGTTTTTTTCATGTAAGGCTAGACAGAAGAATTCCCAGTAACTTCCTTGTGTTGTGTGCATTCAACTCACAGAGTTGAACGTTCCCTTAGACAGAGCAGATTTGAAACACTCTATTTGTGCAATTTGCAAGTGTAGTTTTCAAGCTCTTTAAGGTCAACGGCAGAAAAGGAAATATCTTGGTTTCAAAACTAGACAGAATGATTCTCAGAAACTCCTCTGTGATGTGTGCGTTCAACTCACAGAGTTTAACCTTTCTTTTCATAGAGCAGTTAGGAAACACTCTGTTTGTAAAGTCTGCATGTGGATATTCAGACCTCCTTGAGGCCTTCTTTGGAAACGGGATTTCTTCATATTATGCTAGACAGAGGAATTCTCAGTAACTTCCTTGTGTTGTGTGTATTCAACTCACAGAGTTGAACGATGCTTTACACAGAGCAGACTTGAAACACTCTTTTTGTGGAATTTGCAAGTGGAGATTTCAGCCGCTTTGAGGTCAATGGTAGAATAGGAAGTATCTTCCTATAGAAACTAGACAGAATGATTCTCAGAAACTACTTTGTGATGTGTGCGTTCAACTCACAGAGTTTAACCTTTCTTTTCATAGAGCAGTTAGGAAACACTCTGTTTGTAAAGTCTGCAAGTGGATATTCAGACCTCCTTGAGGCCTTCTTTGGAAACGGGATTTCTTCATATTATGCTAGACAGAAGAATCCCCAGTAACTTCCCTTGTGTTGTGTGTGTTCAACTCACAGAGTTGAACTTTGATTTACACAGAGCAGATTTGAAACACTCTTTTTGTGGAATTTGCAAGTGGAGATTTCAAGCGCTTTGGGGCCAAAGGCAGAAAAGGAAATATCTTCGTATAAAAACTAGACAGAATCATTCTCAGAAACTGCTCTGCGATGTGTGCGTTCAATTCTCAGAGTTTAACTTTTCTTTTCATTCAGCAGTTTGGAAACACTCTGTTTGTAAAGTCTGCACGTGGATATTTTGACCACTTAGAGGCCTTCGTTGGAAACGGGTTTTTTTCTTGTAAGGCTAGACAGAAGAATTCCTAGTAACTTCCTTGTGTTGTGTACATTCAACTCACAGAGTTGAACGTTCCCTTAGACAGAGCAGATTTGAAACACTCTTTTTGTGCAATTGGCAAGTGGTGATTTCAGCCGCTTTGAGGTCAATGGTATAAAAGGAAATATCTTCGTATTAAAACTAGACAGAATCATTCCCACAAACTGCGTTGTGATGTGTTCGTTCAACTCACAGAGTTTAACCTTTCTGTTCATAGAGCAGTTAGGAAACACTTTGTTTGTAAAGTCTGTAAGTGGATATTCTGACATCTTGTGGCCTTCGTTGGAAACGGGATTTCTTCATATTCTGCTAGACAGAAGAATTCTCAGTAACTTCCTTGTGTTGTGTGTATTCAACTCACAGAGTTGAACGATCCTTTACACAGAGCAGACTTGAAACACACTTTTTGTGGAATTTGCAAGTGGAGATTTCAGCCGTTTTGAGGTCAATGGTAGAAAAGGAAATATCTTCGTATAAAGACTAGACAGAATGATTCTCAGAAACTCCTTTGTGATGTGTGTGTTCAACTCACAAAGTTTAAGCTTTCTTTTCATAGAGCAGTTAGTAAACACTCTGTTTATAAAGTCTGCAAGTGGATATTCAGACCCCTTTGAGGCCTTCGTTGGAAACCGGATTTCTTCATATTATGCTAGACAGAAGAATTCCCAGTAACTTCCTTGTGTTGTGTGTGTTCAACTCACAGAGTTGAACTTTCATTTACACAGAGCAGATTTGAAACACTCTTTTTGTGGAATTTGCAAGTGGAGATTTCAAGCGCTTTGAGGCTAAAGGCAGAAAAGGAAATATCTTCGTATAAAAACTAGACAGAATCATTCTCAGAAACTGCTCTGCGATGTGTGCGTTCAACTCTCAGAGTTTAACTTTTCTTTTCATTCAGCAGTTTGGAAACACTCTGTTTGTAAAGTCTGCACGTGGATATTTTGACCACTTAGAGGCCTTCGTTGGAAACGGGTTTTTTTCCTGTAAGTCTAGACAGAAGAATTCCCAGTAACTTCCTTGTGTTGTGTGCATTCAACTCACAGAGTTGAACGTTCCCTTAGACAGAGCAGATTTGAAACACTCTATTTGTGCAATTTGCAAGTGTAGTTTTCAAGCTCTTTATGGTCAACGGCAGAAAAGGAAATATCTTCGTTTCAAAACTAGACAGAATCATTCCCACAAACTGCGTTGTGATGTGTTCGTTCAACTCACAGAGTTTAACCTTTCTGTTCATAGAGCAGTTAGGAAACACTCTGTTTGTAAAGTCTGTAAGTGGATATTCTGACATCTTATGGCCTTCGTTGGAAACGGGATTTCTTCATATTCTGCTAGACAGAAGAATTCTCAGGAACTTCCTTGTGTTGTGTGTATTCAACTCACAGAGTTGAACGATCCTTTACACAGAGCAGACTTGAAACACTCTTTTTGTGGAATTTGCAAGTGGAGATTTCAGCCGCTTTGAGTTCAATGGTAGAATAGGAAATATCTTCCTATAGAAACTACACAGAATGATTCTCAGAAACTCCTTTGTGATGTGTGTGTTCAACTCACAGAGTTTAACCTTTCTTTTCATAGAGCAGTTAGGAAACACTCTGTTTGTAAAGTCTGCATGTGGATATTTTGACCTCTTTGAGGCCTTCGTTGGAAACGGGTTTTTTCATGTAAGGATAGACAGAAGAATTCCCAGTAACTTCCTTGGGTTGTGTGTGTTCAACTCACAGAGTTGAACTTTCATTTACACAGAGCAGATTTGAAAAACTCTTTTTGTGGAATTTGCAAATGGAGATTTCAAGCGCTTTGAGGCCAAAGGCAGAAAAGGAAATATCTTCGTATAAAAACTAGACAGAATCATTCTCAGAAACTGCTCTGTGATGTGTGCGTTGAACTCTCAGAGTTTAACTTTTCTTTTCATTCAGCAGTTTGGAAACACTCTGTTTGTAAAGTCTGCACGTGGATAATTTGACCACTTAGAGGCCTTCGTTGGAAACGGGTTTTTTTCATGTAAGGCTAGAGAGAAGAATTCCCAGTAACTTCCTTGTGTTGTGTACATTCAACTCACAGAGTTGAACGTTCCCTTAGACAGAGCAGATTTGAAATACTCTTTTTGTGCAATTGGCAAGTGGAGATTTCAAGCGCTTTAAGGTCAATGGCAGAAAAGGAAATATCTTCGTTTCAAAACTAGACAGAATCATTCCCACAAACTGCGTTGTGATGTGTTCGTTCAACTCACAGAGTTTAACCTTTCTGTTCATAGAGCAGTTAGGAAACACTCTGTTTGTAAAGTCTGTAAGTGGATATTCAGACCTCTTTGAGGCCTTCGTTGGAAACGGGATTTCTTCATATTCTGCTAGACAGAATAATTCTCAGTAACTTCCTTGTGTTGTGTGTATTCAACTCACAGAGTTGAAGGATCCTTTACAGAGAGCAGGCTTGAAACACTCTTTTTGTGGAATTTGCAAGTGGAGGTTTCAGCCGCTTTGAGGTCAATAGTAGAAAAGGAAATATCTTCCTAGAAAAACTAGACAGAATGATTCTCAGAATCTCCTTTGTGATGTGTGCGTTCAACTCACAGAGTTTAACCTTTCTTTTCATAGAGCAGTTAGGAAACACTCTGTTTGTAAAGTCTGCAAGTGGATATTCTGACCTCTTTGAGGCCTTCGTTGGAAACGGGTTTTTTCATATAAGACTAGACAGAAGAATTCTCAGTAACTTCCTTGTGTTGTGTGTATTCAACTCACAGAGTTGAACGATCCTTTACACAGAGCAGACTTGAAACACTCTTTTTGTGGAATTTGCAAGTGGAGATTTCAGCCGCTTTGAGGTCAATGGTAGAAAAGGAAATATCTTCGTATATAGACTAGACAGAATGATTCTCAGAAACTCCTTTGTGATGTGTGTGTTCAACTCACAGCAGTTTAACCTTTCTTTTCATAGAGCAGTTAGTAAACACTCTGTTTATAAAGTCTGCAAGTGGATATTCAGACCCCTTTGAGGCCTTCGTTGGAAACGGGAATTCTTCATATTATGCTAGACAGAAGAATTCCCAGTAACTTTCCTTGTGTTGTGTGTGTTCAACTCACAGAGTTGAACTTTCATTTACACAGAGAAGATTTGAAACACTCTTTTTGTGGAATTTGCAAGTGGAGATTTCAAGCGCTTTGAGGCCAAAGGCAGAAAAGGAAATATCTTCGTTTCAAAACTAGACAGAATCATTCTCAGAAGCTGCTGCGTGATGTGTGCGTTCAACTCTCAGAGTTTAACTTTTCTTTTCATTCAGCGGTTTGGAAACACTCTGTTTGTGAAGTCTGCACGTGGATATTTTGACCACTTAGAGGCCTTCGTTGGAAATGGGTTTTTTGCATGTAAGGCTAGATAGAAGAATTCTCAGTAACTTCCTTGTGTTGTGTGTATTCAACTCACAGAGTTGAACGATCCTTTACACAGAGCAGACTTGTAACACTCTTTTTGTGGAATTTGCAAGTGGAGATTTCAGCCGCTATGAAGTCAAATGTAGAAAAGGAAATATCTTCCTATAAAAACTAGACAGAATCATTCCCACAAACTGCGTTGTGATGTGTTCGTTCAACTCACAGAGTTTAACCTTTCTGTTCATAGAGCAGTTAGGAAACACTCTGTTTGTAAAGTCTGTAAGTGGATATTCTGACATCTTGTGGCCTTCGTTGGAAACGGGATTTCTTCATATTCTGCTGGACAGAAGAATTCTCAGTAACTTCCTTGTGTTGTGTGTATTCAACTCACAGAGTTGAACGATCCTTTACACAGAGCAGACTTGAAACGCTCTTTTTGTGGAATTTGCAAGTGGAGATTTCAGCCACGTTGAGGTCAATGGTAGAAAAGGAAATATCTTCGTATAAAAACTAGACAGAATGATTCTCAGAAACTCCTTTGTGATGTGTGCTTTCAACTCACAGAGCTTAACCTTTCTTTTCATAGAGCAGTTAGGAAACACTCTGTTTGTAAAGTCTGCAAGTGGATATTCAGACCTCTTTGAGGCCTTCGTTGGAAACGGGTTTTTTTCATATAAGGCTAGACAGAAGAATTCTCAGTAACTTCCTTGTGTTGTGTGTATTCAACTCACAGAGTTGAACGATCCTTTACACAGAGCAGACTTGAAACACTCTTTTTGTGGAATTTGCAAGTGGAGATTTCAGCCGCTTTGAGGTCAATGGTAGAATAGGAAATATCTTCCTATAGAAGCTAGACAGAATGATTCTCAGAAACTCCTTTGTGATGTGTGCGTTCAACTCACAGAGTTTATCCTTTCTTTTCATAGAGCAGTTAGGAAACACTCTGTTTGTAAAGTCTGCATATGGATATTCAGACATCTTTGAGGCCTTCGTTGGAAACGGGATTTCTTCATGTTCTGCTAGACAGAAGAATTCCCAGTAACTTCCTTGTGTTGTGTGTGTTCAACTGACAGAGTTGAACTTTCATTTAGACAGAGCAGATTTGAAACACTCTTTTTGTGGAATTTGCAATTGGAGATTTCAAGCGCTTTGAGGCCAAAGGCAGAAAAGGAAATATCTTCGTATAAAAACTAGACAGAATCATTCTCAGAAACTGCTGCGTGATGTGTGCGTTCAACTCTCAGACTTTAACTTTTCTTTTCATTCAGCGGTTTGGAAACACTGTGTTTGTAAAGTCTGCACGTGGATATTTTGACCACTTAGAGGCCTTCGTTGGAAACGGGTTTTTTTCATGTAAGGCTAGACAGAAGAATTCCCAGTAACTTCCTTGTGTTCGTGTACATTCAACTCACAGAGTTGAACGTTCCCTTAGACAGAGCAGATTTGAAACACTCTTTTTGTGCAATTGACAAATGGAGATTTCAAGCGCTTTAAGGTCAATGGCAGAAAAGGAAATATCTTCGTTTCAAAACTAGACAGAATCATTCTCAGAAACTGCTCTGCGATGTGTGCGTTCAACTCTCAGAGTTTAACTTTTCTTTTCATTCAGCAGTTTGGAAACACTCTGTTTGTAAAGTCTGCACGTGGATAACTTGACCACTTAGAGGCCTTCGTTGGAAACGGGTTTTGTTCATGTAAGGCTAGACAGAAGAATTCTCAAGTAACTTCCTTGTGTTGTGTGTATTCAACTCACAGAGTTGAACGATCCTTTACACAGAGCAGACTTGTAACACTCTTTTTGTGTAATTTGCAAGTGGAGATTTCAGCCGCTTTGAAGTCAAAGGTAGAAAAGGAAATATCTTCCTATAAAAACTAGACAGAATGATTCTCAGAAACTCCTTTGTGATGTGTGTGTTCAACTCACAGAGTTTAACCTTTCTTTTCATAGAGCAGTTAGAAAACACTCTGTTTCTAAAGTCTGCAAGTGGATATTCAGACCCCTTTGAGGCCTTCGTTGGAAACGGGATTTCTTCATATTATGCTAGACAGAAGAATTCCCAGTAACTTCCCTTGTGTTGTGTGTGTTCAACTCACAGAGTTGAACTTTCATTTACACAGAGCAGATTTGAAACACTCTTTTTGTGGAATTTGCAAATGGAGATTTCAAGCGCTTTGAGGCCAAAGGCAGAAAAGGAAATATCTTCGTATAAAAACTAGACAGAATCATTCTCAGAAACTGCTCTGCGATGTGTGCGTTCAACTCTCAGAGTTTAACTTTTCTTTTCATTCAGAAGTTTGGAAACACTCTGTTTGTAAAGTCTGCACGTGGATAACTTGACCAGTTAGAGGCCTTCGATGGAAACGGGTTTTTTTCATGTAAGGCTAGACAGAAGAATTCCCAGTAACTTCCTTGTGTTGTGTACATTCAACTCACAGAGTTGAACTTTCCCTTAGACAGAGCAGATTTGAAACACTCTTTTTGTGCAATTGGCAAGTGGAGATTTCAAGCGCTTTGAGGTCAATGGCAGAAAAGGAAATATCTTCGTTTCAAAACTACACAGAATGATTCTCAGAAACTCCTTTGTGATGTGTGCGTTCAACTCACAGAGTTTAACCTTTCTTTTCATAGAACAGTTAGGAAACACTCTGTTTGTAAAGTCTGCAAGTGGATATTCAGACCTCCTTGAGGCTTTCGTTGGAAACGGGATTTCTTCATATTCTGCTAGAAAGAAGAATTCTCAGTAACTTCCTTGTGTTGTGTGTATTCAACTCACAGAGTTGAACGATCCTTTACACAGAGCAGACTTGAAACCCTCTTTTTGTGGAATTTGCAAGTGGAGATTTCAGCCGCTTTGAGGTCAATGGTAGAATAGGAAATATCTTCCTATAGAAACTAGACAGAATGATTCTCATAAACTCCTTTGTGATGTGTGCGTTCAACTCACAGTAGTTTAACCTTTCTTTTCATAGAGCAGTTAGGAAACACTCTGTTTGTAAAGTCTGCAAGTCGATATTCAGACCTCTTTGAGGCCTTCGTTGGAAACGGGATTTCTTCATATTCTGCTAGACAGAAGAATTCTCAGAAACTTCCTGGTGTTGCGTGTTTTCAACTCACAGAGTTCAACGATCCGTTACACAGAGTAGACTTGAAAAACTCTTTTTGTTGAATTGGCCAGTGGAGATTTCAGCCGCTTTGAGGTCAATGGTAGAAAAGGAAATATCTTCGTATAAAAACTAGACAGAATGATTCTCAGAAACTCCTTTGTGATGTGTGCGTTCAACTCACAGAGTTTAACCTTTCTTTTCATAGAGCATTTAAGAAACACTCTGGTTGTAAAGTCTGCAAGTGGATATTCAGACCTCGTTGAGGCCTTTGTTGGAAACGGGATTTCTTCATATTATGCTAGACAGAAGAATTCCCAGTAACTTCCTTGTGTTGTGTGTGTTCAACTCACAGAGTTGAACTTTCATTTACACAGAGCAGATTTGAAACACTCTTTTTGTGGAATTTGCAAGTGGAGATTTCAAGCGCTTTGAGGCCAAAGGCAGAAAAGGAAATGTCTTCGTTTCAAAACTAGACAGAATGATTCTCAGAAACTCCTTTGTGATGTGGGCGTTCAACTCACAGAGTTTAACCTTTCTTTTCATAGAGCCGTTAGGAAACACTCTGTTTGTAAATTCTGCACGTGGATATTTGGACTTCTTTGAGGCCTTCGTTGGAAACGGGTTTTTTTCATGTAAGGCTAGACGGAAGAATTCCCAGTAACTTCCTTGTGTTGTGTACATTCAACTCACAGAGTTGAACGTTCCCTTAGACAGAGCAGATTTGAAACACTCTTTTTGTGCAATTGGCAAATGGAGATTTCAAGCGCTTTAAGTTCAATGGCAGAAAAGGAAATATCTTCGTTTCAGAACTAGACAGAATCATTCCCACAAACTGCGTTGTGATGTGTTCGTTCAACTCACAGAGTTTAACCTTTCTTTTCATAGAGCACTTAGGAAACAGTCTGTTTGTCAATTCTGTAAGTGGATATTCTGACATCTTGTGGCCTTCGTTGGAAACGGGATTTCTTCATATTCTGCTAGACAGAAGAATTCTCAGTAACTTCCTTGTGTTGTGTGTATTCATCTCACAGAGTTGAACGATCCTTTACACAGAGCAGACTTGAAACATTCTTTTTGTGGAATTTGCAAGTGGAGATTTCAGCCGCTTTGAGGTCAATGGTAGAATGGGAAATATCTTCCTATAGAAACTAGACAGAATGATTCTCAGAAACTCCTTTGTGATGTGTGCGTTCAACTCACACAGTTCAACCTTTCTTTTCATAGAGCAGTTGGGAAACACTCTGTTTGTAAAGTCTGCAAGTGGATATTCAGACTTCTTTGAGGCCTTCGTTGGAAGCGGGATTTCTTCATGTTCTGCTAGACAGAAGAATTCTCAGTAACTGCCTGTGTTGTGTGTATTCAACTCACAGAGTTGAACGATCCTTTACACAGAGCAGACTTGAAACACTCTTTTTGTGGAATTTGCAAGTGGAGATTTCAGCCGCTTTGAGGTCAATGGTAGAATAGGAAATATCTTCCTATAGAAACTAGACAGAATCATTCTCAGAAACTGCTGCGTGATGTGTGCGTTCAACTCTCAGAGTTTAACTTTTCTTTTCATTCATCGGTTTGGAATCACTCTGTTTGTAAAGTCTGCACGTGGATATTTTGACCACTTAGAGGCCTTCGTTGGAAACGGGTTTTTTCATGTAAGGCTAGACAGAAGAATTCTCAGTAACTTCCTTTTGTTGTGTGTATTCAACTCACAGAGTTGAACGATCCTTTACACAGAGCAGATTTGAAACACTCTTTTTGTGCCATTGGCAAGTGGAGATTTCAAGCGCTTAAAGGTCAATGGCAGAAAAGGAAATATCTTCGTTTCAAAACTAGACAGAATCATTCCCACAAACTGCGTTGTGATGTGTTCGTTCAACTCACAGAGTTTAACCTTTCTTTTCATAGAGCAGTTAGGAAACAGTCTGTTTGTCAATTCTGTAAGTGGATATTCTGACATCTTGTGGCCTTCGTTGGAAACGGGATTTCTTCATATTCTCCTAGACAGAAGAATTCTCAGTAACTTCCCTTGTGTTGTGTGTATTCAACTCACAGAGTTGAACGATCCTTTACACAGAGCAGACTTGAAACACTCTTTTTGTGGAATTTGCAAGTGGAGATTTCAGCCGCTTTGAGGTCAATGGTAGAGTAGGAAATATCTTCGTATAAAGACTAGACAGAATGATTCTCAGAAACTCCTTTGTGATGTGTGCGTTCAACTCACAGAGTTTAACCTTTCTTTTCATAGAGCAGTTAGGAAACACTCTGTTTGTAATGTCTGCCAGTGGATATTCAGACATCTTTGAGGCTTTCGTTGGAAACGGGTTTTCTTCATATTCTGCTATACAGAAGAATTCTCAGTAACTTCCTTGTGGTGTGTGTATTCAACTGACAGAGTTGAACTTTCATTTAGAGAGAGCAGATTTGAAACACTGTTTTTGTGGAATTTGCAAGTGGAGATTTCAAGCGCTTTGGGGCCAAAGGCAGAAAAGGAAATATCTTCGTATAAAAACTAGACAGAATCATTCTCAGAAACTGCTGGGTGATGTGTGCGTTCAACTCTCAGAGTTTAACTTTTCTTTTTATTCAGCGGTTTGGAAACACTCTGTTTGTAAAGTCTGCACATGGATATTTTGACCACTTAGAGGCCTTCGTTGGAAACGGGTTTTTTTCATGTAAGGCTAGACAGAAGAATTCCCAGTAACTTCCTTGTGTTGTGTACATTCAACTCACAGAGTTGAACGTTCCCTTAGACAGAGCAGATTTGAAACACTCTTTTTGTGCAATTGGCAAGTGGTGATTTCAGCCGCTTTGAGGTCAATGGTAGAAAAGGAAATATCTTCGTATAAAAACTAGACAGAATCATTCCCACAAACTGCGTTGTGATGTGTTCGTTCAACTCACAGAGTTTAACCTTTCTTTTCATAGAGCAGTTAGGAAACAATCTGTTTGTCAATTCTGTAAGTGGATATTCTGACATCTTGTGGCCTTCGTTGGAAACGGGATTTCTTCATATTCTGCTAGACAGAAGAATTCTCAGTAACTTCCTTCTGTTGTGTGTATTCAACTCACAGAGTTGAACGATCCTTTACACAGAGCAGACTTGAAACACTCTTTTTGTGGAATTTGCAAGTGGAGATTTCAGCCGCTTTGAGGTCAATGGTAGAAAAGGAAACTATCCTCTTATAAAGACTAGACAGAATGATTCTCAGAAAATCTTTTGTGATGTGTGCGTTCAACTCACAGAGTTTAACTTTTCTTCTCATAGAGCAGTTAGGAAACACTCTGTTTGTAAAGTGTGCAAGTGGATATTCAGACCTCTTTGAGGCCTTCGTTGGAAACGGGATTTCTTCATATTCTGCTAGACAGAAGAATTCTCAGTAACTTCCTTGTGTTGTGTGTATTCAACTGACAGAGTTGAACTTTCATTTAGAGAGAGCAGATTTGAAACACTGTTTTTGTGGAATTTGCAATTGGAGATTTCAAGTGCTTTGGGGCCAAAGGCAGAAAAGGAAATATCTTCGTATAAAAACTAGACAGAATCATTCTCAGAAACTGCTGCATGATGTGTTCGTTCAACTCTCAGAGTTTAACTTTTCTTTTCATTCAGCGGTTTGGAAACACTCTGTTTGTAAAGTCTGCACGTGGAAATTTTGACCACTTAGAGGCCTTCGTTGGAAACGGGATTTTTTCATGTAAGGCTAGACAGAAGAATTCCCAGTAACTTCCTTGTGTTGTGTGCATTCAACTCACAGAGTTGAACGTTCCCTTAGACAGAGCAGATTTGAAACACTCTATTTGTGCAATTTGCAAGTGTAGGTTTCAAGCGCTTTAAGGTCAATGGCAGAAAAGGAAATATCTTCGTTTCAAAACTAGACAGAATCATTCCCACAAACTGCGTTGTGATGTGTTCGTTCAACTCACAGAGTTTAACCTTTCTGTTCATAGAGCAGTTAGGAAACACTCTGTTTGTAAAGTCTGAAAGTGGATATTCTGACATCTTGTGGCCTTCGTTTGAAACGGGATTTCTTCATATTCTGCTAGACAGAAGAATTCTCAGTAACTTCCTTGTGTTGTGTGTATTCAACTCACAGAGTTGAACGATCCTTTACACAGAGCAGACTTGAAACACTCTTTTTGTGGAATTTGCAAGTGGAGATTTCAGCCTCTTTGAGGTCAATGGTAGAATAGGATATATCTTCCTATAGAAACTAGGCAGAATGATTCTCAGAAACTTCTTTGTGATGTGTGCGTTCAACTCACAGAGTTTAACCTTTCTTTTCATAGAGCAGTTAGGAAACACTCTGTTTGTAAACTCTGCAAGTGGATACTCAGACCTGTTTGAGGCCTTCGTTGGAAACGGGATTTCTTCATACTATGCTAGACAGAAGAATTCGCAGTAACTTCCTTGTGTTGTGTGTGTTCAACTCACAGAGTTGAACTTTCATTTACACAGAGCAGATTTGAAACACTCTTTTTGTGGAATTTGCAAGTGGAGATTTCAAGCGCTTTGAGGCCAAAGGCAGAAAAGGAAATATCTTCGTTTGAAAACTAGACAGAATCATTCTCAGAAACTGCTGCGTGATGTGTGCGTTCAACTCTCAGAGTTTAACTTTTCTTTTCATTCAGCGGTTTGGAAATACTCTGTTTGTAAAGTCTGCACGTGGATATTTTGACCACTTAGAGGCCTTCGTTGGAAACGGGTTTTTTTCATGTAAGGCTAGACAGAAGAATTCCCAGTAACTTCCTTGTGTTGTGTGCATTCAACTCACAGAGTTGAACGTTCCCTTAGACAGAGCAGATTTGAAACACTCTATTTGTGCAATTTGCAAGTGTAGATTTCAAGCGCTTTAAGGTCAATGACAGAAAAGGAAATATCTTCGTTTCAAAACTAGACAGAATGATTCTCAGAAACTCCTTTGTGATGTGTGCGTTCAACTCACAGAGTTTTACCTTTCTGTTCATAGAGCAGTTAGGAAACCCTCTGTTTGTAAAGTCTGCAAGTGGATATTCAGACCTCCTTGAGGCCTTCGTTGGAAACGGGATTTCTTCATATTCTGCTAGACAGAAGAATTCTCAGTAACTTCCTTGTGTTGTGTGTATTCAACTCACAGAGTTGAACGATCCTTTGCACAGAGCAGACTTGAAACACTCTTTTTGTGGAATTTGCAAGTGGAGATTTCAGCCGCTTTGAGGTCAATAGTAGAAAAGGAAATATCTTCGTAGAAAAACTAGACAGAATGATTCTCAGAAACTCCCTTGTGATGTGTGCGTTCAACTCACAGAGTTTAACCTTTCTTTTCATAGAGCAGTTAGGAAACACTCTGTTTGTAAAGTCTGCAAGTGGATATTCAGACTTCCTTGAGGCCTTCGTTGGAAACGGGATTTCTTCATATTATGCTAGACAGAAGAATTCCCAGTAACTTCCTTGTGTTGTGTGTGTTCAACTCACAGAGTTGAACTTTCATTTACACAGAACAGATTTGAAACACTCTTTTTGTGGAATTTGCAAATGGAGATTTCAAGCGCTTTGAGGCCAAAGGCAGAAAAGGAAATATCTTCGTATAAAAACTAGACAGAATCATTCTCAGAAACTGCTCTGCGATGTGTGCGTTCAACTCTCAGAGTTTAACTTTTCTTTTCATTCAGCAGTTTGGAAACACTCTGTTTGTAAAGTCTGCACGTGGATATTTTGACCACTTAGAGGCCTTCGTTGGAAACGGGTTTTTTCCTGTAAGGCTAGACAGAAGAATTCTCAGTAACTTCCTTGTGTTGTGTGTATTCAACTCACAGAGTTGAACGTTCCCTTAGACAGAGCAGATTTGAAACACTCTATTTGTGCAATTTGCAAGTGTAGATTTCAAGCGCTTTAAGGTCAATGGCAGAAAAGGAAATATCTTCGTTTCAAAACTAGACAGAATCATTCCCACAAACTGCGTTGTGATGTGTTCGTTCAACTCACAGAGTTTAACCTTTCTGTTCATAGAGCAGTTAGGAAATACTCTGTTTGTAAAGTCTGTAAGTGGATATTCTGACATCTTGTGGCCTTCGTTGGAAACGGGATTTCTTCATATTCTGCTAGACAGAAGAATTCTCAGTAACTTCCTTGTGTTGTGTGTATTCAACTCACAGAGTTGAACGATCCTTTACACAGAGCAGACTTGAAACACTCTTTTTGTGGAATTTGCAAGTGGAGATTTCAGCCGCTTTGAGTTCAATGGTAGAAAAGGAAATATCTTCCTATAGAAACTAGACAGAACGATTCTCAGAAACTCCTTTGTGATGTGTGCGTTCAACTCACAGAGTTTAACCTTTCTTTTCATAGAGCAGTTAGGAAACACTCTGTTTGTAAAGTCTGCAAGTGGATATTCAGACCTCTTTGAGGCTTTCGTTGGAAACGGGATTTCTTCCTATTCTGCTAGACAGAAGAATTCCCAGTAACTTCCTTGTGTTGTGTGTGTTCAACTCACAGAGTTGAACTTTCATTTACACAGAGCAGATTTGAAACACTCTTTTTGTGGAATTTGCAAGTGGAGATTTCAAGCGCTTTGAGGCCAAAGGCAGAAAAGGAAATATCGTCGTTTCAAAACTAGACAGAATGATTCTCAGAAACTCCTTTGTGATGTGTGCGTTCAAGTCACAGAGTTTAACCTTTCTTTTCATAGAGCAGTTAGGAAACACTCTGTTTGTAAAGTCTGCAAGTGGATATTCAGACCTCTTTGAGGCCTTCGTTGGAAACGGGTTTTTTTCATATAAGGGTAGACAGAAGAATTCCCAGTAACTTCCTTGTGTTGTGTACATTCAACTCACAGAGTTGAACGTTCCCTTAGACAGAGCAGATTTGAAACACTCTTTTTGTGCAATTGGCAAGTGGTGATTTCAGCCGATTTGAGGTCAATTGTAGAAAAGGAAATATCTTCGTAGAAAAACTAGACAGAATCATTCCCACAAACTGCGTTGTGATGTGTTCGTCCAACTCACAGAGTTTAACTTTTCTTTTCATAGAGCAGTTAGGAAACAGTCTGTTTGTAAAGTCTGTAAGTGGATATTCTGACCTCTTGTGGCCTTCGTTGGAAACGGGATTTCTTCATATTCTGCTAGACAGAAGAATTCTCAGAAACTTCCTTGTGTTGTGTGTTTTCAACTCACAGAGTTGAACGATGCTTTACACAGAGTAGACTTGAAACACTCTTGTTGTGGAATTTGCAAGTGGAGATTTCAGCCTCTTTGAGGTCAATGGTAGAATAGGAAATATCTTCCTATAGAAACTAGACAGAACGATTCTCAGAAACTCCTTTGTAATGTGTGCGTTCAACTCACAGAGTTTAACCTTTCTTTTCATAGAGCAGTTAGGAAACACTCTGTTTGTAAAGTCTGCAAGTGGATATTCAGACCTCTTTGAGGCCTTCGTTGGAAACGGGATTTCTTCATATTCTGCTAGACAGAAGAATTTCCAGTAACTTCCTTGTGTTGTGTGTGTTCAACTCACAGAGTTGAACTTTCATTTACACAGAGCAGATTTGAAACACTCTTTTTGTGGAATTTGCAAATGGAGATTTCAAGCGCTTTGAGGCCAAAGGCAGAAAAGGAAATATCTTCGTTTCAAAACTAGACAGAATCATTCTCAGAAACTGCTGCGTGATGTGTGCGTTCAACTCTCAGAGTTTAACTTTTCTTTTCATTCAGCGGTTTGGAAACACTCTGTTTGTAAAGTCTGCACGTGGATATTTTGACCACTTAGAGGCCTTCGTTGGAAATGGGATTTTTTCATGTAAGGCTAGACAGAAGAATTCCCAGTAACTTCCTTGTGTTGTGTGCATTCAACTCACAGAGTTGAACGTTCCCTTAGACAGAGCAGATTTGAAACACTCCATTTGTGCAATTTGCAAGGGTAGATTTCAAGCGCTTTAAGGTCAATGGCAGAAAAGGAAATATCTTCGTTTCAAAACTAGACAGAATCATTCCCACAAACTGCGTTGTGATGTGTTCGTTCAACTCACAGAGTTTAACCTTTCTGTTCATAGAGCAGTTAGGAAACACTCTGTTTGTAAAGTCTGTAAGTGGATATTCTGACATCTTGTGGCCTTCGTTGGAAATGGGATTTCTTCATATTCTCCTAGACAGAACAATTCTCAGTAACTTCCTTGTGTTGTGTGTATTCAACTCACAGAGTTGAACGATCCTTTACACAGAGCAGTCTTGAAACACTCTTTTTGTGGAATTTGCAAGTGGAGATTTCTGCCGCTTTGAGGTCAATGGTAGAATAGGAAATATCTTCCTATAGAAACTAGACAGAATGATTCTCAGAAACTCCTTTGAGATGTGTGTGTTCAACTCACAGAGTTTAACATTTCTTTTCATAGAGCAGTTAGGAATCACTCTGTTTGTAAAGTCTGCAAGTGGATATTCAGACCTCTTTGAGGCCTTCGTTGGAAACGGGTTTTTTTCATATAAGGCTAGACAGAAGAATTCCCAGTAACTTCCTTGTGTTGTGTGTGTTCAACTCACAGAGTTGAACTTTCATTTACACAGAGCAGATTTGAAACACTCTTTTTGTGGAATTTGCAAATGGAGATTTCAAGCGCTTTGAGGCCAAAGCAGAAAAGGAAATATCTTCGTATAAAAACTAGACAGAATCATTTTCAGAAACTGCTCTGCGATGTGTGCGTTCAACTCTCAGAGTTTAACTTTTCTTTTCATTCAGGAGTTTGGAAACACTCTGTTTGTAAAGTCTGCACGTGGATAACTTGACCACTTAGAGGCCTTCGTTGGAAACGGGTTTTTTTCATGTAAGGCTAGACAGAAGAATTCCCGGTAACTTCCTTGTGTTGTGTACATTCAACTCACAGAGTTGAACGTTCCCTTAGACAGAGCAGATTTGAAACACTCTTTTTGTGCAATTGGCAAGTGGAGATTTCAAGCGCTTTAAGGTCAATGGCAGAAAAGGAAATATCTTCGTTTCAAAACTCTTCAGAAAGATTCTCATAAACTCCTTTGTGATGTGTGCGTTCAACTCACAGAGTTTAACCTTTCTTTTCATAGAGCAGTTAGGAAACACTCTGTTTGTAAAGTCTGCAAGTGGATATTCAGACCTCTTTGAGGCCTTCGTTGGAAACGGGATTTCTTCATATTATGCTAGACAGAATAATTCTCAGTAACTTCCTTGTGTTGTGTGTATTCAACTCACATAGTTGAAGGATCCTTTACAGAGAGCAGGCTTGAAACACTCTTTTTGTCGAATTTGCAAGTGGAGATTTCAGCCGCTTTGAGGTCAATGGTAGAATAGGAAATATCGTCTTATAGAAACTAGACAGAATGATTCTCAGAAACTCCTTTGTGATGTGTGCGTTCAACTCACAGAGTTTAACCTTTCTTTTCATAGAGCAGTTAGGAAACACTCTGCTTGTAAAGTCTGCAAGTGGATATTCAGACCTCTTTGAGGCCTTCGTTGGAAACGGGTTTTTTTCATATAAGGCTAGACAGAAGAATTCCCAGTAACTTCCTTGTGTTGTGTGTGTTCAACTCACAGAGTTGAACTTTCATTTACACAGAGCAGATTTGAAACACTCTTTTTGTGGAACTTGCAAATGGAGGTTTCAAGCGCTTTGAGGCCAAAGGCAGAAAAGGAAATATCTTCGTATAAAAAATAGACAGAATCATTCTCAGAAACTGCTCTGCGATGTGTGCGTTCAACTCTCACAGTTTAACTTTTCTTTTCATTCAGCAGTTTGGAAACACTCTGTTTGTAAAGTCTGCAAGTGGATATTTTGACCACTTAGAGGCCTTCGTTGGAAACGGGTTTTTTTCCTGTAAGGCTAGACAGAAGAATTCCCAGTAACCTCCTTGTGTTGTGTACATTCAACTCACAGAGTTGAACGTTCCCTTAGACAGAGCAGATTTGAAACACTCTTTTTGTGCAATTGGCAAATGGAGATTTCAAGCGCTTTAAGGTCAATGGCAGGAAAGGAAATATCTTCGTTTCAAAACTAGACAGAATCATTCCCACAAACTGCGTTGTGATGTGTTCGTTCAACTCACAGAGTTTAACCTTTCTTTTCATAGAGCAGTTAGGAAACAGTCTGTTTGTCAATTCTGTAAGTGGATATTCTGACATCTTGTGGCCTTCGTTGGAAACGGGACTTCTTCATATTCTCCTAGACAGAATAATTCTCAGTAACTTCCTTGTGTTGTGTGTATTCAACTCACAGAGTTGAAGGATCCTTTACAGAGAGCAGACTTGAAACACTCTTTTTGTGGAATTTGCAAGTGGAGATTTCAGCCGTTTGAGGTCAATGGTAGAATAGGAAATATCTTCCAATAGAAACTAGACAGAATGATTCTCAGAAACTCCTTTGTGATGTGTGTGTTCAACTCACAGAGTTTAACCTTTCTTTTCATAGAGCAGTTAGGAAACACTCTGTTTGTAAAGTCTGCAAGTGGATATTCAGACCTCTTTGAGGCCTTCGGTTGGAAACGGGTTTTTTTCATATAAGGCTAGACAGAAGAATTCCCAGTAACTTCCTTGTGTTGTGTGTGTTCAACTCACAGAGTTGAACTTTCATTTACACAGAGCAGATTTGAAACACTCTTTTTGTGGAATTTGCAAGTGGAGATTTCAAGCCCTTAGAGGCCAAAGGCAGAAAAGGAAATATCTTCGTTTGAAAACTAGACAGAATCATTCTCAGAAACTGCTCTGTGATGTGTGCGTTCAACTCTCAGAGTTTAACTTTTCTTTTCATTCAGCAGTTTGGAAACACTCTGTTTGTAAAGTCTGCACGTGGATAATTTGACCACTTAGAGGCCTTCGTTGGAAACGGGTTTTTTTCATGTAAGGCTAGACAGAAGAATTCCCAGTAACTTCCTTGTGTTGTGTACATTCAACTCAGAGAGTTGAACGTTCCCTTAGACAGAGCAGATTTGAAACACTCTTTTTGTGCAATTGGCAAGTGGAGATTTCAAGCGCTTTGAGGTCAACGGCAGAAAAGGAAATATCTTCGTTTCAAAACTAGACAGCATCATTCCCACAAACTGCGTTGTGATGTGTTCGTTCAACTCACAGAGTTTAACCTTTGTTTTCATAGAGGAGTTAGGAAACAGTCTGTTTGTAAATTCTGTAAGTGGATATTCTGACATCTTGTGGCCTTCGTTGGAAACGGGATTTCTTCATATTCTGCTAGACAGAAGAATTCTCAGTAACTTCCTTGTGTTGTGTGTATTCAACTCACAGAGTTGAACGATCCTTTACACAGAGCAGACTGGTAACACTCTTTTTGTGGAATTTGCAAGTGGAGATTTCAGCCGCTTTGAAGTCGAAGGTAGAAAAGGAAATAACTTCCTATAAAAACTAGACAGAATGATTCTCAAAAAATCCTTTGTGATGTGTGCGTTCAACTCACAGAGTTTAACTTTTCTTTTCATAGAGCAGTTAGGAAACACTCTGTTTGTAAAGTCTGCAAGTGGATATTCAGACCTCTTTGAGGCCTTCGTTGGAAACGGGAATTTTTCATATTCTGCTAGACAGAAGAATTCTCAGTAACTTCCTTCTGTTGTGTGTATTCAACTCACAGAGTTGAACGATCCTTTACAGAGAGCAGACTTGAAACACTCTTTTTGTGGAATTTGCAAGTGGAGATTTCAGCCGCTTTGAGGTCAATGGTAGAATAGGAAATATCTTCCTATAGAAACTAGACAGAATGATTCTGAGAAACTCCTTTGTGATGTGTGCGTTCAACTCACAGAGTTTAACCTTTCTTTTCATAGAGCAGTTAGTAGACACTCTGTTTGTAAAGTCTGCAAGTGGATATTCAGATCTCTTTGAGGCCTTCGTTGGAAACGGGATTTCTTCATATTATGCTAGACAGAAGAATTCCCAGTAACTTCCTTGTGTTGTGTGTGTTCGACTCACAGAGTTGAACTTTCATTTACACAGAGCAGATTTGAAACACTCTTTTTGTGGAATTTGCAAGTGGAGATTTCAAGCGCTTTGAGGCCAAAGGCAGAAAAGGAAATATCTTCGTTTCAAAACTAGACAGAATCATTCTCAGAAACTGCTCTGCAATGTGTGCGTTCAACTCTCAGAGTTTAACTTTTCTTTTCATTCAGCAGTTTGGAAACACTCTGTTTGTAAAGTCTGCACGTGGATATTTTGACCACTTAGAGGCCTTCGTTGGAAACGGGTTTTTTTCCTGTAAGGCTAAACAGAAGAATTCCCAGTAACTTCCTTGTGTTGTGTACATTCAACTCACAGTGTTGAACGTTCCCTTAGACAGAGCAGATTTGAAACACTCTTTTTGTGCAATTGGCAAGTGGAGATTTCAAGCGCTTTAAGGTCAATGGCAGAAAAGGAAATATCTTCGTTTCAAAACTAGACAGAATCATTCCCACAAACTGCGTTGTGAAGTGCTCGTTCAACTCACAGATTTTAACCTTTCTGTTCATAGAGCAGTTAGGAAACACTCTGTTTGTAAAGTCTGTAAGTGGATATTCTGACATCTTGCGGCCTTCGTTGGAAACGGAATTTCTTCATATTCTGCTAGACAGAAGAATTCTCAGTAACTTCCTTGTGTTGTGTGTATTCAACTCACAGAGATGAACGATCCTTTACACAGAGCAGACTTGAAACACTCTTTTTGTGGAATTTGCAAGTGGAGATTTCAGCCGCTTTGAGTTCAATGGTAGAATAGGAAATATCTTCCTATAGAAACTAGACAGAATGATTCTCAGAAACTCCTTTGTGATGTGTGCGTTCAACTCACAGAGTTTAACCTTTCTTTTCATAGAGCAGTTAGGAAACACTCTGTTTATAAAGTCTGCAGGTGGATATTCAGACCTCTTTCAGGCCTTCGTTGGAAACGGGTTTTTTTCATGTAAGGCTAGACAGAAGAATTCCCAGTAACTTCCTTGTGTTGTGTGTGTCCAACTCACAGAGTTGAACTTTCATTTACACAGAGCAGACTTGAAACACTCTTTTTGTGGAATTTGCAAGTGGAGATTTCAAGCGCTTTGAGGCCAAAGGCAGAAAAGGAAATATCTTCGTTTCAAAACTAGACAGAATCATTCTCAGAAACTGCTCTGTGATGTGTGCGTTCACCTCTCAGAGTTTAAGTTTTCTTTTCATTCAGCAGTTTGGAAACACTCTGTTTGTAAAGTCTGCACGTGGATATTTTGACCACTTAGAGGCCTTCGTTGGAAACGGGTTTTTTTCATGTAAGACCAGACAGAAGAATTCCCAGTAACTTCCTTTTGTTGTGTGCATTCAACTCACAGAGATGAACATTCCCTTAGACAGAGCAGATTTGAAACACTCTATTTGTGTAATTTGCAAGTGTAGATTTCAAGCGCTTTAAGGTCAATGGCAGAAAAGGAAATATCTTCGTTTCAAAACTAGACAGAATCATTCCCACAAACTGCGTTGTGATGTGTTCGTTCAACTCACAGAGTTTAACCTTTCTGTTCATAGAGCAGTTAGGAAACACTCTGTTTGTAAAGTCTGTAAGTGGATATTCTGACATCTTGTGGCCTTCGTTGGAAACGGTATTTCTTCATATTCTGCTAGACAGAAGAATTCTCAGAATCTTCCTTGTGTTGTGTGTATTCAACTCACAGAGTTGAACGATCCTTTACACAGAGCAGACTTGAAACACTCTTTTTGTGGAATTTGCAAGTGGAGATTTCAGCAGCTTTGAGGTCCATGGTAGAAAAGGAAATATCTTCGTATAAAAACTAGACAGAATGATTCTCAGAAACTCCTTTGTGATGTGTGTGTTCAACTCACAGAGTTTAACCTTTCTTTTCATAGAGCAGTTAGTAAACACTCTGTTTATAAAGTCTGCAAGTGGATATTCAGACCCCTTTGAGGCCTTCGTTGGAAACGGAATTTCTTCATATTATGCTAGACAGAAGAATTCTCAGTAACTTCCTTGTGTTGTGTGTATTCAACTCACAGAGTTGAACGATCCTTTACACAGAGCAGACTTGAAACACTCTTTTTGTGGAATTTGCAATTGGAGATTTCAGCCGCTTTGAGTTCAATGGTAGAATAGGAAATATCTTCCTATAGAAACTAGACAGAATGATTCTCAGAAACTCCTTTGTGATGTGTGCGTTCAACTCACAGAGTTCAACCTTTCTTTTCATAGAGCCGTTGGGAAACACTCTGTTTGTAAAGTCTGCAAGTGGATATTCAGACCTCTTTGAGGCCTTCGTTGGAAGCGGGATTTCTTCATATTCTTCTAGACAGAAGAATTCCCAGTAACTTCCTTGTGTTGTGTGTGTTCAACTGACAGAGTTGAACTTTCATTTACACAGAGCAGATTTGAAACACTCTTTTTGTGGAATTTGCAAGTGGAGATTTCAAGCGCTTTGAGGCCAAAGGCAGAAAAGGAAATATCTTCGTATAAAAACTAGACAGAATCATTCTCAGAAGCTGCTCTGCGATGTGTGTGTTCAACTCTCAGAGTTTAACTTTTCTTTTCATTCAGCAGTTTGGAAACACTCTGTTTGTAAAGTCTGCACGTGGATAATTTGACCACTTAGAGGCCTTCGTTGGAAACGGGTTTTTTTCATGTAAGGTTAGACAGAAGAATTCCCAGTAACTTCCTTGTGTTGTGTGCATTCAACTCACAGAGTTGAACGATCCTTTACACAGAGCAGACTTGAAACACTCTTTTTGTGGAATTTGCAAGTGGAGATTTCAGCCGCTTTGAGGTCAATGGTAGAATAGGAAATATCTTCCTATAGAAACTAGACAGAATCATTCCCACAAACTGCGTTGTGATGTGTTCGTTCATCTCACAGAGTTTAACCTTTCTTTTCATAGAGCAGTTAGGAAACACTCTGTTTGTAAATTCTGTAAGTGGATATTCTGACATCTTGTGGCCTTCGTTGGAAACGGGATTTCTTCATACTGTGCTAGACAGAAGAATTCTCAGTAACTTCCTTGTGTTGTGTTTATTCAACTCACAGAGTTGAATGATCCTTTACACAGAGCAGACTTGAAACACTCTTTTTGTGGAATCTGCAAGTGGAGATTTCAGCCGCTTTGAGGTCAATGGTAGAAAAGGAAATATCTTCGTATAAAGACTAGACAGAACGATTCTCAGAAACTCCTTTGTGATGTGTGCGTACAACTCACAGAGTTTAACCTTTCTTTTCATAGAGCAGTTAGGAAACACTCTGTTTGTAAAGTCTGCAAGTGGATATTCAGACCTCTTTGAGGCCTTCGTTGGAAACGGGATTTCTTCATATTCTGCTAGACAGAAGAATTCTCAGTAACTTCCTTGTGTTGTGTGTATTCAACTCACAGAGTTGTACGATCCTTTACACAGAGCAGACTTGAAACACTCTTTTTGTGGAATTTGCAAGTGGAGATTTCAGCCGCTTTGAGGTCAATAGTAGAAAAGGAAATATCTTCGTAGAAAAACTATACAGAATCATTCCCACAAACTGCGTTGTGATGTGTTCGTTCAACTCACAGAGTTTAACCTTTGTGTTCATAGAGCAGTTAGGAAACACTCTGTTTGTAAAGTCTGTAAGTGGATATTCTGACATCTTGTGGCCTTCGTTGGAAACCGGATTTCTTCATATTCTGCTAGACAGAAGAATTCTCAGTAACTTCCTTGTGTTGTGTGTATTAAACTCACAGGGTTGAACGATCCTTTAAACAGAGCAGACTTGAAACACTCTTTTTGTGGAATTTGCAAGTGGAGATTTCAGCCGCTTTGAGGTCAATGGTAGAATAGGAAATATCTTCCTATAGAAACTAGACAGAATGATTCTCAGAAACTCCTTTGTGATGTGTGCGTTCAACACACAGAGTTTAACCTTTCTTTTCATAGAGGAGTTAGTAAACACTCTGTTTATAAAGTCTGCAAGTGGATATTCAGACCCCTTTGAGGCCTTCGTTGGAAACGGGATTTCTTCATATTCTGCTAGACAGAAGAATTCTCAGTAACTTTCCTTGTGTTGTGTGTATTCAACTGACAAAGTTGAACTTTCATTTAGAGGGAGCAGATTTGAAACACTGTTTTTGTGGAATTTGCAAGTGGAGATTTCAAGCGCTTTGGGGCCAAAGGCAGAAAAGGATATATCTTCGTATAAAAACTAGACAGAATCATTTTCAGAAACTGCTGCGTGATGTGTGCGTTCAACTCTCAGAGTTTAACTTTTCTTTTCATTCAGCGGTTTGGAAACACTCTGTTTGTAAAGTCTGCACGTGGATATTTTGACCACTTAGAGGCCTTCGTTGGAAACGGGTTTTTTTCATGTAAGGCTAGACAGAAGAATTCCCAGTAACTTCCTTGTGTTGAGTGCATTCAACTCACAGAGTTGAACGTTCCCTTAGACAGAGCAGATTTGAAACACTCTATTTGTGTAATTTGCAAGTGTAGATTTCAAGCGCTTTAAGGTCAATGGCAGAAAAGGAAATATCTTCGTTTCAAAACTAGACAGAATGATTCTCAGAAACTCCTTTGTGATGTGTGCGTTCAACTCACAGAGTTTAACCTTTCTGTTCATAGAGCAGTTAGGAAACACTCTGTTTGTAAAGTCTGTAAGTGGATATTCTGACATCTTGTGGCCTTCGTTGGAAACGGGATTTCTGCATATTCTGCTAGACAGAAAAATTCTCAGTAACTTCCTTGTGTTGTGTGTATTCAACTCACAGAGTTGAACGATCCTTTACACAGAGCAGACTTGTAACACTCTTTTTGTGGAATTTGCAAGTGGAGATTTCAGCCGCTTTGAAGTCAAAGGTAGAAAAGGAAATATCTTCCTATAAAAACTAGACAGAATGATTCTCAGAAACTCCTTTGTGATGAGTGTGTTCAACTCACAGAGTTTAACCTTTCTTTTCATAGAGCAGTTAGGAAACACTCTGTTTGTAAAGTCTGCAAGTGGATATTCAGACCTCTTTGAGGCCTTCGTTGGAAACGGGTTTTTTTCATATAAGGCTAGACAGAAGGATTCCCAGTAACTTCCTTGTGTTGTGTGTGTTCAACTCACACAGTTGAACTTTCATTTACAAAGAGCAGATTTGAAACACTCTTTTTGTGGAATTTGCAAGTGGAGATTTCAAGCGCTTTGAGGCCAAAGGCAGAAAAGGAAATATCTTCGTATAAAAACTAGACAGAATCATTCTCAGAAACTGCTCTGCGATGTGTGCGTTCAACTCTCAGAGTTTAACTTTTCTTTTCATTCAGTAGTTTGGAAACACTCTGTTTCTAAAGTCTGCACGTGGATAATTTGACCACTTAGAGGCCTTCGTTGGAAACGGGTTTTTTTCATGTAAGGCTAGACAGAAGAATTCCCAGTAACTTCCTTGTGTTGTGTGCATTCAACTCACAGAGTTGAACGTTCCCTTAGAGCAGATTTGAAACACTCTATTTGTGCAATTTGCAAGTGTAGATTTCAAGCGCTTTAAGGTCAATGGCAGAAAAGGAAATATCTTCGTTTCAAAACTAGACAGAATCATTCCGACAAACTGCGTTGTGATGTGTTCGTTGAACTCACAGAGTTTAACCTTTCTGTTCATAGAGCAGTTAGGAAACACTCTGTTTGTAAAGTCTGTAAGTGGATATTCTGACATCTTGTGGCCTTCGTTGGAAACGGGATTTCTTCATATTCTGCTGGACAGAATAATTCTCAGTAAGTCCCTTGTGTTGTGTGTATTCAACTCACAGAGTTGAACGATCCTTTACACAGAGCAGACTTGAAACATTCTTTTTGTGGAATTTGCAACTGGAGATTTCAGCCGCTTTGAGGTCAATGGTAGAATAGGAAATATCTTCCTATAGAAACTAGACAGAATGATTCTCAGAAACTTCTTTGGGATGTGTGCCTTCAACTCACAGAGTTTAACCTTTCTTTTCATAGAGCAGTTAGGAAACACTCTGTTTGTAAAGTCTGCAAGTGGATATTCAGACCTCTTTGAGGCCTTCGTTGGAAACGGGTTTTTTTCATATAAGGCTAGACAGAAGAATTCCCAGTAACTTCCTTGTGATGTGTGTGTTCAACTCACAGAGTTGAACTTTCATTTACACAGAGCACATTTGAAACACTCTTTTTGTGGAATTTGCAAGTGGAGATTTCAAGCGCTTTGAGGCCAAAGGCAGAAAAGGAAATATCTTCGTATAAAAACTAGACAGAATCATTCTCAGAAACTGCTCTGCGATGTGTGCGTTCAACTCTCAGAGTTTAACTTTTCTTTTCATTCAGAAGTTTGGAAACACTCTGTTTGTAAAGTCTGCACGTGGATAACTTGACCACTTAGAGGCCTTCGTTGGAAACGGGTTTTTTTCATGTAAGGCTAGACAGAAGAATTCCCAGTAACTTCCTTGTGTTGTGTGCATTCAACTCACAGAGTTGAACGTTCCCTTAGACAGAGCAGATTTGAAACACTCTATTTGTGCAATTTGCAAGTGTAGATTTCAAGCGCTTTAAGGTCAATGACAGAAAAGGAAATATCTTCGTTTCAAAACTAGACAGAATGATTCTCAGAAACTCCTTTGTGATGTGTGCGTTCAACTCACAGAGTTCTACCTTTCTTTTCATAGAGCAGTTGGGAAACACTCTGTTTGTAAAGTCTGCAAGTGGATATTCAGACTTCTTTGAGGCCTTCGTTGGAAGCGGGATTTCTTCATATTCTGCTAGACAGAAGAATTCTCAGTAACTTCCTTGTGTTGTGTGTATTCAACTCACAGAGTTGAACGATCCTTTACACAGAACAGTCTTGAAACACTCTTTTTGTGGAATTTGCAAGTGGAGATTTCAGCCGCTTTGAGGTCAATGGTAGAATAGGAAATATCTTCCTATAGAAACTAGACAGAATAATTCTCAGAAACTGCTTTGTGATGTGTGCGTTCAACTCACAGAGTTTAAACTTTCTTTTCATAGAGCAGTTAGGAAACACTCTGTTTATAAAGTCGGCAAGTGGATATTCAGACCTCTTTGAGGCCTTCGTTGGAAACGGGATTTCTTCATATTCTGCTAGACAGAAAAATTCTCAGTAACTTCCTTGTGTTGTGTGTATTCAACTCACAGAGTTGAACGATCGTTTACACAGAGCAGACTTGAAACACTCTTTTTGTGGAATTTGCAAGGGGAGATTTCAGCCGCTTTGAGGTCAATAGTAGAAAAGGAAGTATCTTCATATAGAAATTATACAGAATGATTCTCAGAAACTCCTTTGAGCTGTGTGCGTTCAACTCACAGAGTTTAACCTTTCTTTTCATAGAGCAGTTAGGAAACACTCTGTTTGTAAAGTCTGCAAGTGGATATTCAGACATCTTTGAGGCTTTCGTTGGAAACGGGATTTCTTCATATTCTGCTAGACAGAAGAATTCTCAGTAACTTCCTTGTGTTGTGTGTATTCAACTCACAGAGTTGAACGATCCTTTACACAGAGCGGACTTGAAACACTCTTTTTGTGGAATTTGCAAGTGGAGATTTCAGCCGCGTTGAGGTCAATGGTATAAAAGGAAATATCTTCGTATAAAAACTAGACAGAATAATTCTCAGAAACTCCTTTGTGATGTGTGTGTTCAACTCACAGAGTTTAACCTTTCTTTTCATAGAGCAGTTAGTAAACACTCTGTTTATAAAGTCTGCAAGTGGATATTCAGACCCCTTTGAGGCCTTCGTTGGAAACGGGATTTCTTCATATTATGCTAGACAGAAGAATTCCCAGTAACTTCCTTGTGTTGTGTGTGTTCAACTCACAGAGTTGAACGTTCATTTACACAGAGCAGATTTGAAACACTCTTTTTGTGGAATTTGCAAGTGGAGATTTCAAGCGCTTTGAGGCCAAAGGCAGAAAAGGAAATATCTCCGTTTCAAAACTAGACAGAATCATTCTCAGAAACTGCTCTGTGATGTGTGCGTTCAACTCTCAGAGTTTAACTTTTCTTTTCATTCAGCAGTTTGGAAACACTCTGTTTGTAAAGTCTACACGTGGATATTTTGACCACTTAGAGACCTTCGTTGGAAACGGGTTTTTTTCATGTAAGGCTAGACAGAAGAATTCCCAGTAACTTCCTTGTGTTGTGTGCATTCAACTCACAGAGATGAACGTTCCCTTAGACAGAGCAGATTTGAAACACTCTATTTGTGCAATTTGCAAGTGTAGATTTCAAGCACTTTAAGGTCAATGGCAGAAAAGGAAATATCTTCGTTTCAAAACTAGACAGAATCATTCCCACAAACTGCGTTGGGATGTGCTCGTTCAACTCACAGAGTTTAAACTTTCTGTTCATAGAGCAGTTAGGAAACACTCTGTTTGTAAAGTCTGTAAGTGGATATTCTGACATCTTGTGGCCTTCGTTGGAAACGGGATTTCTTCATATTCTGCTAGACAGAAGAATTCTCAGTAACTTCCTTGTGTTGTGTGTATTCAACTCACAGAGTTGAACGATCCTTTACACAGAGCAGACATGTAACACTCTTTTTGTGGAATTTGTAAGTGGAGATTTCAGCCGCGTTGAGGTCAATGGTAGAAAAGGAAATATCTTCGTATAAAAACTAGACAGAATGATTCTCAGAAACTTCATTGTGATGTGTGCGTTCAACTCACAGAGTTTAACCTTTCTTTTCATAGAGAAGTTAGGAAACACTCTGTTTGTAAACTCTGCAAGTGGATATTCAGACCTCTTTGAGGCCTTCGTTGGAAACGGGATTTCTTCATACTGTGCTAGACAGAATAATTCTCAGTAACTTCCTTGTGTTGTGTGTATTCAACTCACAGAGTTGAAAGATCCTTTACAGAGAGCAGGCTTGAAACACTCTTTTTGTCGAATTTGCAAGTGGAGATTTCTGCCGCTTTGAGGTCAATGGTAGAATAGGAAATATCTTCTTATAGAAACTAGACAGAATGATTCTCAGAAACTCCTTTGTGATGTGTGTGTTCAACTCACAGAGTTTAACCTTTCTTTTCATAGAGCAGTTAGGAAACACTCTGTTTGTAATGTCTGCAAGTGGATATTGAGACCTCTTTGAGGCCTTCGTTGGAAACGGGTTTTTTTCATATAAGGCTAGACAGAAGAATTCCCAGTAACTTCCTTGTGTTGTGTACATTCAACTCACAGAGTTGAACGTTCCCTTAGACAGAGCAGATTTGAAACACTCTTTTTGTGCAATTGGCAAGTGGAGATTTCAAGCGCTTTAAGGTCAACGGCAGAAAAGGAAATATCTTCGTTTCAAAACTAGACAGAATCATTCCCACAAACTGCGTTGTGATGTGTTCGTTCAACTCACAGAGTTTAACCTTTCTGTTCATAGAGCAGTTAGGAAACACTCTCTTTGTAAAGTCTGTAAGTGGATATTCTGACATCTTGTGGCCTTCGTTGGAAACGGGATTTCTTCATATTCTGCTAGACAGAAGAATTCTCAGTAACTTCCTTGTGTTGTGTGTATTCAACTCACAGAGTTGAACGATCCTTTACACAGAGCAGACTTGAAACATTCTTTTTGTGGAATTTGCAAGTGGAGATTTCAGCCGCTTTGAGGTCAATGGTAGAATAGGAAATATCTTCCTATAGAAACTAGACAGGAACGATTCTCAGAAACTCCTTTGTGATGTGTGCGTTCAACTCACAGAGTTTAACCTTTCTTTTCATAGAGCAGTTAGGAAACACTCTGTTTGTAATGTCTGCAAGTGGATTTTCAGACCTCCTTGAGGCCTTCGTTGGAAACGGGATTTCTTCCTATTCTGCTAGACAGAAGAATTCTCAGAAACTTCCTTGTGTAGTGTATATTCAACTCACAGAGTTGAACGATCCTTTACACAGAGCAGACTTGAAACACTCTTTTTGTGGATTTTGCAAGTGGAGATTTCAAGCGCTTTTGGGGCCAAAGGCAGAAAAGGAAATATCTTCATATAAAAACTAGACAGAATCATTCTCAGAAACTGCTCTGTGATGTGTGCGTTCAACTCTCAGAGTTTAACTTTTCTTTTCATTCAGCAGTTTGGAAACACTCTGTTTGTAAAGTCTGCACGTGGATATTTTGACCACTTAGAGGCCTTCGTTGGAAACGGGTTTTCTTCATGTAAGGCTAGACAGAAGAATTCCCAGTAACTTCCTTGTGTTGTGTGCATTCAACTCACAGAGTTGAACGTTCCCTTAGACGGAGCAGATTTGAAACACTCTATTTGTGCAATTTGCAAGTGTAGATTTCAAGCGCTTTAAGGTCAATGGCAGAAAAGGAAATATCTTCGTTTCAAAACTAGAGAGAATCATTCCCACAAACTGCGTTGTGATGTGTTCGTACAACTCACAGAGTTTAACCTTTCTGTTCATAGAGCAGTTAGGAAACACTCTGTTTGTAAAGTCTGTAAGTGGATATTCAGACATCTTGTGGCCTTCGTTGGAAACGGGATTTCTTCATATTCTGCTAGACAGAAGAATTCTCAGTAACTTCCTTGTGTTGTGTTTATTCAACTCACAGAGTTGAATGATCCTTTACGCAGAGCAGACTTGAAACACTCTTTTTGTGGAATTTGCAAGTGGAGATTTCAGCCGCTTTGAGGTCAATGGTAGAAAAGTAAATATCTTCGTATAAAGACTAGACAGAATGATTCTCAGAAACTCCTTTGTGATGTGTGCATTCAACTCACAGAGTTTAACCTTTCTGTTCATAGAGCAGTTAGGAAACACTCTGTTTGTAAAGTCTGCAAGTGGATATTCAGACCTCCTTGAGGCCTTCGTTGGAAACGGGATTTCTTCATATTCTGCTAGACAGAAGAATTCCCAGTAACTTCCTTGTGTTGTGTGTGTTCAACTCACAGAGTTGAACTTTCATTTACACAGAGCAGATTTGAAACACTCTTTTTGTGGAATATGCAAGTGGAGATTTCAAGCGCTTTTAGGCCAAAGGCAGAAAAGGAAATATCTTCGTTTCAAAACTAGACAGAATGATTCTCAGAAACTGCTCTGCGATGTGTGCGTTCAACTCTCAGAGTGTAACTTTTCTTTTCATTCAGCAGTTTGGAAACACTCTGTTTGTAAAGTCTGCACGTGGATATTTTGACCACTTAGAGGCCTTCGTTGGAAACGGGTTTTTTTCCTGTAAGGCTAGACAGAAGAATTCCCAGTAACTTCCTTGTGTTGTGTACATTCAACTCACAGAGTTGAACGTTCCCTTAGACAGAGCAGATTTGAAACACTCTTTTTGTGCAATTGGCAAATGGAGATTTCAAGCGCTTTAAGTTCAATGGCAGAAAAGGAAATATCTTCGTTTCAAAACTGGACAGAATCATTCCCACAAACTGCGTTGTGATGTGTTCGTTCAACTCACAGAGTTTAACCTTTCTTTTCATAGAGCAGTTAGGAAACAGTCTGTTTGTCAATTCTGTAAGTGGATGTTCTGACATCTTGTGGCCTTCGTTGGAAACGGGATTTCTTCATATTCTGCTAGACAGAAGAATTCTCAGTAACTTCCTTGTGTTGTGTGTATTTAACTCACAGAGTTGAACGATCCTTTACACAGAGCAGACTTGAAACACTCTTTTTGTGGAATTTGCAAGTGGAGATTTCAGCCGCTTTGAGGTCAATGGTAGAATAGGAAATATCTTCGTATAAAAACTAGACAGAATGATTCTCAGAAACTCCTTTGTGATGTGTGCGTTCAACTCACAGAGTTTAACCTTTCTTTTCATAGAGCAGTTAGGAAACACTCTGTTTGTAAAGTCTGCAAGTGGATATTCAGACCTCCTTGAGGCCTTCGTTGGAAACGGGATTTCTACATATTATGCTAGACAGAAGAATTCTCAGTAACTTCCTTGTGTTGTGTGTATTCAACTCACAGAGTTGAACGATCCTTTACACAGAGCAGACTTGAAACACTCTTTTTGTGGAATTTGCAAGTGGAGATTTCTGCCTCTTTGAGGTCAATGGTAGAATACGAAATATCTTCCTATAGAAACTAGACAGAATCATTCTCAGAAACTGCTGCATGATGCGTGCGTTCAACTCTCAAAGTTTAACTTTTCTTTTCATTCAGCGGTTTGGAAACACTCTGTTTGTAAAGTCTGCACGTGGATATTTTGACCACTTAGAGGCCTTCGTTGGAAACGGGTTTTTTTCATGTAAGGCTAGACAGAAGAATTCCCAGTAATTTCCTTGTGTTGTGTGCATTCAACTCACAGAGTTGAACGTTCCCTTAGACAGAGCAGATTTGAAACACTCTATTTGTGCAATTTGCAAGTGTAGATTTCAAGCGCTTTAAGGTCAATGGCAGAAAAGGAAATATCTTCGTTTCAAAACTAGACAGAATCATTCCCACAAACTGCGTTGTGATGTGTTCGTTCAACTCACAGAGTTTAACCTTTCTGTTCATAGAGCAGTTAGGAAACACTCTGTTTGTAAAGCCTGTAAGTGGATATTCTGACATCTTGTGGCCTTCGTTGGAAACGGGATTTCTTCATATTCTGCTAGACAGAAGAATTCTCAGTAACTTCCTTGTGTTGTGTGTATTCAACTCACAGAGTTGAACGATCCTTTACACAGAGCAGACTTGAAACACTCTTTTTGTGTAATTTGCAAGTGGAGATTTCAGACGATTTGAGGTCAATGGTAGAAAAGGAAATATCTTCGTATAAAGACTAGACAGAATGATTCTCAGAAACTCCTTTGTGATGTGTGTGTTCAACTCACAAAGTTTAACCTTTCTTTTCATAGAGCAGTTAGGAAACACTCTGTTTGTAAAGTCTGCAAGTGGATATTCAGACCTCTTTGAGGCCTTCGTTGGAAACGGGTTTTTTTCATATAAGGCTAGACAGAAGAATTCCCAGTAACTTCCTTGTGTTGTGTGTGTTCAACTCACAGAGTTGAACTTTCATTTACACAGAGCAGATTTGAAACACTCTTTTTGTGGAATTTGCAAATGGAGATTTCAAGCGCTTTGAGGTCAAAGGCAGAAAAGGAAATATCTTCGTATAAAAACTAGACAGAATGATTCTCAGAAACTGCTCTGCGATGTGTGCGTTCAACTCTCAGAGTGTATCTTTTCTTTTCATTCAGCAGTTTGGAAACACTCTGTTTATAAAGTCTGCACGTGGATATTTTGACCACTTAGAGGCCTTCGTTGGAAACGGGATTTTTTCATGTAAGGCTAGACCGAAGAATTCCCAGTAACTTCCTTGTGTTGTGTGCATTCAACTCACAGAGTTGAACGTTCCCTTAGACAGAGCAGATTTGAAACACTCTATTTGTGCAATTTGCAAGTGTAGATTTCAAGCGCTTTAAGGTCAATGGCAGAAAAGGGAATATCTTCGTTTCAAAACTAGACAGAATCATTCCCACAAACTGCGTTGTGATGTGTTCGTTCAACTCACAGAGTTTAACCTTTCTGTTCATAGAGCAGTTAGGAAACACTCTGTTTGTAAAGTCTGTAAGTGGATATTCTGACCTCTTGTGGCCTTCGTTGGAAACGGGATTTCTTCATATTCTGCTAGACAGAAGAATTCTAAGTAACTTCCTTGTGTTGTGTGTATTCAACTCACAGAGTTGAACGATCCTTTACAGAGAGCAGACTTGAAACACTCTTTTTGTGGAATTTGCAAGTGGAGATTTCAGCCGCTTTGAGGTCAATGGTAGAATAGGAAATATCTTCCTATAGAAACTAGACAGAATGATTCTCAGAAACTTCATTGTGATGTGTGCGTTCAACTCACAGAGTTTAACCTTTCTTTTCATAGAGCAGTTAGGAAACACTCTGTTTGTAAACTCTGCAAGTGGATATTCAGACCTCTTTGAGGCCTTCGTTGGAAACGGGATTTCTTCATACTGTGCTAGACAGAAGAATTCTCAGTAACTTCCTTGTGTTGTGTGTATTCAACTCACAGAGTTGAACGATCCTTTACACAGAGCAGACTTGTAACACTCTTTTTGTGGAATTTGCAAGTGGAGATTTCAGCCGCTTTGAATCAAAGGTAGAAAAGGAAATATCTTCCTATAAAAACTAGACAGAATGATTCTCAGAAACTCCTTCGTGATGTGTGCGTTCAACTCACAGAGTTTAACCTTTCTTTTCATAGAGCAGTTAGGAAACACTCTGTTTGTAAAGTCTGCAAGTGGATATTGAGACATCTTTGAGGCCTTCGTTGGAAACGGGATTTCTTCATGTTCTGCTAGACAGAAGAATTCCCAGTAACTTCCTTGTGTTGTGTGCATTCAACTCACAGAGTTGAACGTTCCCTTAGACAGAGCAGATTTGAAACACTCTATTTGTGCAATTTGCAAGTGTAGATGTCAAGCGCTTTAAGGTCAATGGCAGAAAAGGAAATATCTTCGTTTCAAAACTAGACAGAATCATTCCCACAAACTGCGTTGTGATGTGTTCGTTCAACTCACAGAGTTTAACCTTTCTGTTCATAGAGCAGTTAGGAAACACTCTATTTCTAAAGTCTGTAAGTGGATATTCTGACATCTTGTGGCCTTCGTTGGAAACGGGATTTCTTCATATTCTGCTAGACAGAAGAATTCTCAGTAACTTCCTTGTGTTGTGTGTATTCAACTCACAGAGTTGAACGATCCTTTACACAGAGCAGACTTGAAACATTCTTTTTGTGGAATTTGCAAGTGGAGATTTCAGCCGCTTTCAGGTCAATGGTAGAATAGGAAATATCTTCATATAGAAACTAGACAGAATGATTCTCAGAAACTCCTTTGTGATGTGTGCGTTCAACTCACAGAGTTTAACCTTTCTTTTCATAGAGCAGTTGGGAAACACTCTGTTTGTAAAGTCTGCAAGTGGATATTCAGACCTCCTTGAGGCCTTCGTTGGAAACGGGATTTCTTCATATAATGCTAGACAGAAGAATTCTCAGTAACTTCCTTGTGTTGTGTGTATTCAACTCACAGAGTTGAACGATCCTTTACACAGAGCACACTTGAAACACTCTTTTTGTGGAATTTGCAAGTGGAGATTTCAGCCGCTTTGAGGTCAATAGTAGAAAAGGAAATATCTTCGTAGAAAAACTAGACAGAATCATTCTCAGAAACTGCTGCGTGATGTGTGCGTTCAACTCTCAGAGTTTAACTTTTCTTTTCATTCAGCGGTTTGGAAACACTCTGTTTGTAAAGTCTGCACGTGGATATTTTGACCACTTAGAGGCCTTCTTTGGAAACGGGTTTTCTTCATGTAAGGCTAGACAGAAGAATTCCCAGTAACTTCCTTGTGTTGTGTGCATTCAACTCACAGAGTTGAACGTTCCTTTAGACAGAGCAGATTTGAAACACTCTATTTGTGCAATTTGCAAGTGTAGATTTCAAGCGCTTTAAGGTCAACGGCAGAAAAGGAAATATCTTCGTTTCAAAACTAGACAGAATCATTCCCACAAACTGCGTTGTGATATGTTCGTTCAACTCACAGAGTTTAACCTTTCTGTTCATAGAGCAGTTAGGAAACACTGTGTTTGTAAAGTCTGTAAGTGGATATTCTGACATCTTGTGGCCTTCGTTGGAAACGGGATTTCTTCATATTGTGCTAGACAGAAGAATTCTCAGTAACTTCCTTGTGTTGTGTGTATTCAACACACAGAGTTGAACGATCCTTTACACAGAGCAGACTTGAAACACTCTTTTTGTGGAATTTGCAAGTGGAGATTTCAGCCGCTTTGATGTCAATGGTAGAAAAGGAAATATCTTCGTATAAAGACTAGACAGAATGATTCTCAGAAACTCCTTTGTGATGTGTGCGTTCAACTCACAGAGTTTAACCTTTCTTTTCATAGAGCAGTTAGGAAACACTCTGTTTGTAAAGTCTGCAAGTGGATATTCAGACCTCTTTGAGGCCTTCGTTGGAAACAGGTTTTTTTCCTATAAGGCTAGACAGAAGAATTCCCAGTAACATCCTTGTGTTGTGTGTGTTCAACTCACAGAGTTGAACTTTCATTTACACAGATCAGATTTGAAAGACTCTTTTTGTGGAATTTGCAAATGGAGATTTCAAGCGCTTTGAGGCCAAAGGCAGAAAAGGAAATATCTTCGTTTCAAAACTAGACAGAATCATTCCAAGAAACTGCTCTGCGATGTGTGCGTTCAACTCTCAGAGTTTAAATTTGCTTTTCATTCAGCAGTTTGGAAACACTCTGTTTGTAAAGTCTGCACGTGGATAATTTGACCACTTAGAGGCCTTCGTTGGAAACGGGTTTTTTTCATGTAAGGCTAGACAGAAGAATTCTCAGTAACTTCCTTGTGTTGTGTGTATTCAACTCACACAGTTGAACGATCCTTTACACAGAGCAGACTTGGAACACTCTTTTTGTGGAATTTGCAAGTGGAGATTTCAGCCGCTTTGAAGTCAAAGGTAGAAAAGGAAATATCTTCCTATAAAAACTAGACAGAATCATTCCCACAAACTGCGTTGTGATGGTGTTCGTTCAACTCACAGAGTTTAACCTTTCTTTTCATAGAGCAGTTAGGAAACAGTCTGTTTGGTAAATTCTGTAAGGGGATATTCTGACATCTTGTGGCCTTCGTTGGAAACGGGATTTCTTCATATTCTGCTAGACAGAACAATTCTCAGTAACTTCCTTGTGTTGTGTGTATTCAACTCACAGAGTTGAACGATCCTTTACACAGAGCAGACTTGAAACACTCTTTTTGTGGAATTTGCAAGTGGAGATTTCAGCCGCTTTGAGGTCAATAGTAGAAAAGGAAATGTCTTCGTAGAAAAACTAGACAGAATGATTCTCAGAAACTCCTTTGTGGTGTGTGCGTTCAACTCACAGAGTTTAACCTTTCTTTTCATAGAGCAGTTAGGAAACACTCTGTTTGTAAAGTCTGCAAGTGGATATTCAGACCTCTTTGAGGCCTTCGTTGGAAACGGGATTTTTTCATATAAGGCTAGACAGAATAATTCTCAGTAACTTCCTTGTGTTGTGTGTATTCAACTGAGAGAGTTGAACGTTCATTTAGAGAGAGCAGATTTGAAACACTGTTTTTGTGGAATTTGCAATTGGAGATTTCAAGCGCTTTAGGGCCAAAGGCAGAAAAGGAAATATCTTCGTATAAAAACTAGACAGAATCATTCTCAGAAACTGCTGCGTGATGTCTGCGTTCAACTCTCAGAGTTTAACTTTTCTTTTCATTCAGCGGTTTGGAAACACTCTCTTTGTAAAGTCTGCACGTGGATATTTTGACCTCTTAGAGGCCTTCGTTGGAAACGGGTTTTCTTCATGTAAGGCTAGACAGAAGAATTCCCAGTAACTTCCTTGTGTTGTGTACATTCAACTCACAGAGTTGAACGTTCCCTTAGACAGAGCAGATTTGAAAGACTCTTTTTCTGCAATTGGCAAATGGAGATTTCAAGCGCTTTAAGGTCAATGGCAGAAAAGGAAATATCTTCGTTTCAAAACTAGACAGAATCATTCCCACAAACTGCGTTGTGATGTGTTCGTTCATCTCACAGAGTTTAACCTTTCTTTTCATAGAGCAGTTAGGAAACAGTCTGTTTGTAAATTCTGTAAGTGGATATTCTGACATCTTGTGGCCTTCGTTGGAAACGGGATTTCTTCATATTCTGCTAGACAGAAGAATTCTCAGAAACTTCGTTGTGTTGTGTGTTTTCAACTCACAGAGTTGAACGATCCTTTACACAGAGTAGACTTGAAAAACTCTTTTTGTAGAATTTGCAAGTGGAGATTTCAGCCGCTTTGAGGTCAATGGTAGAAAAGGAAATATCTTCGTATAAAAACTAGACAGAATGATTCTCAGAAACTCCTTTGTGATGTGTGCGTTCAACTCACAGAGTTCAACCTTTCTTTTCATAGAGCAGTTGGGAAACACTCTGTTTGTAAATTCTGCAAATGCATATTCAGACTTCTTTGAGGCCTTCGTTGGAAGCGGGATTTCTTCATATTCTGCTAGACAGAAGAATTCTCAGAAACTTCGATGTGTTGTGTGTTTTCAAATCACAGAGTTCAACGATCCTTTACACAGAGTAGACTTGAAACACTCTTTTTGTGGAATTGGCAGGGTGGAGATTTCAGCCGCTTTGAGGTCAATGGTAGAAAAAGAAATATCTTCGTATAAAAACTAGACAGAATGATTCTCAGAAACTCCTTTGTGATGTGTGCGTTCAACGCACAGAGTTCAACCTTTCTTTTCATAGAGCAGTTGGGAAACACTCTGTTTGTAAAGTCTGCAAGTGGATATTCAGACTTCTTTGAGGCCTTCGTTGGAAGCGGGATTTCTTCATATTCAACTAGACAGAAGAATTCCCAGTAACTTCCTTGTGTTGTGTACATTCAACTCACAGAGTTGAACGTTCCCTTAGACAGAGCAGATTTGAAACACTCTTTTTGTGCAATTGGCAAATGGAGATTTCAAGCGATTTAAGGTCAATGGCAGAAAAGGAAATATCTTCGTTTCAAAACTAGACAGAATGATTCTCAGAAACTTCATTGTGATGTGTGCGTTCAACTCACAGAGTTTAACCTTTCTTTTCATAGAGCAGTTAGGAAACAGTCTGTTTGTAAATTCTGTAAGTGGATATTCTGACATCTTGTGGCCTTCGTTGGAAACGGGATTTCTTCATATTCTGCTAGACAGAAGAATTATCAGTAACTTCCTTGTGTTGTGTGTATTCAACTCACAGAGTTGAACGATCCTTTACACAGAGCAGACTTGAAACACTCTTTTTGTGGAATTTGCAAGTGGAGATTTCAGCCGCTTTGAGGTCAATGGTAGAATAGGAAATATCTTCCTATAGAAAATAGACAGAATGATTCTCAGAAACTCCTTTGTGATGTGTGCGTTCAACTCACAGAGTTTAACCTTTCTGTTCATAGAGCAGTTAGGAAACACTCTGTTTGTAAAGTCTGCAAGTGGATATTCAGACCTCTTTGAGGCCTTCGTTGGAAACGGGATTTCTTCATATTCTGCTAGACAGAATAATTCTCAGTAACTTCCTTGTGTTGTGTGTATTCAACTCACAGAGTTGAACTTTCATTTAGAGAGAGCAGATTTGAAACACTGTTTTTGTGGAATTTGCAAGTGGAGATTTCAGCCGCTTTGAGGTCAATGGTAGAATAGGAAATATCTTCCTATAGAAACTAGACAGAATCATTCTCAGAAACTACTCTGCGATGTGTGCGTTCAACTCTCAGAGTTTAACTTTTCTTTTCATTCAGCAGTTTGGAAACACTCTGTTTGTAAAGTCTGCACGTGGATATTTTGACCACTTAGAGGCCTTCGTTGGAAACGGGTTTCTTTCCTGTAAGGCTAGACAGAAGAATTCCCAGTAACTTCCTTGTGTTGTGTGCATTCAACTCACAGAGTTGAACGTTCCCTTAGACAGAGCAGATTTGAAACACTCTATTTGTGCAATTTGCAAGTGTAGATTCCAAGCGCTTTAAGGTCAATGGCAGAAAAGGAAATATCTTCGTTTCAAAACTAGACAGAATCATTCCCACAAACTGCGTTGTGATGTGTTCGTTCAACTCACAGAGTTTAACCTTTCTGTTCATAGAGCATTTAGGAAACACTCTGTTTGTAAAGTCTGCAAGTGGATATTCAGACCTCCTTGAGGCCTTCGTTGGAAACGGGATTTCTTCATATTCTGCTAGACAGAAGAATTCTCAGTAACTTCCTTGTGTTGTGTGTATTCAACTCACAGAGTTGAACGATCCTTTACACAGAGCAGACTTGAAACACTCTTTTTGTGAAATTTGCAAGTGGAGATTTCAGCCGTTTTGAGGTCAATGGTAGAAAAGGAAATATCTTCGTATAAAGACTAGACAGAATGATTCTCAGAAACTCCTTTGTGATGTGTGCGTTCAACTCACAGAGTTCAACCTTTCTTTTCATAGAGCAGTTGGGAAACACTCTGTTTGTAAAGTCTGCAAGTGGATATTCAGACCTCTTTGAGGCCTTCTTTGGAAGCGGGATTTCTTCATATTCTTCTAGACAGAAGAATTCTCAGTAACTTCCTTGTGTTGTGTGTATTCAACTCACAGAGTTGAACGATCCTTTACACAGAGTAGACTTGAAACACTCTTTTTGTGGAATTTGCAAGTGGAGATTTCAGCCGCTTTGAGGTCAATGGTAGAATAGGAAATATCTTCCTATAGAAACCAGACAGAATGATTCTCAGAAACTTCTTTGCGATGTGTGCGTTCAACTCACAGAGTTTAACCTTTCTTTTCATAGAGCAGTTAGGAAACACTCTGTTTGTAAACTCTGCAAGTGGATATTCAGACCTCTTTGAGGCCTTCGTTGGAAACGGGATTTCTTCATACTATGCTAGACAGAAGAATTCCCAGTAACTTCCTTCTGTTGTGTGTGTTCAACTCACAGAGTTGAACTTTCATTTACACAGAGTAGATTTGAAACACTCTTTTTGTGGAATTTGCAAGTGGAGATTTCAAGCGCTTTGAGGCCAAAGGCAGAAAAGGAAATATCTTCGTTTCAAAACTAGACAGAATCATTCTCAGAAACTGCTCTGCGATGTGTGCCTTCAACTCTCAGAGTTTAACTTTTCTTTTCATTCAGCAGTTTGGAAACACTCTGTTTGTAAAGTCTGCACGTGGATATTTTGACCACTTAGAGGCCTTCGTTGGAAACGGGTTTTTTTCCTGTAAGGCTAGACAGAAGAATTCCCAGTAACTTCCTTGTGTTGTGTACATTCAACTCACAGAGTTGAACGTTCCCTTAGACAGAGCAGATTTGAAACACTCTTTTTGTGCAATTGGCAAATGGAGATTTCAAGCGCTTTAAGATCAATGGCAGAAAAGGAAATATCTTCGTTTCAAAACTAGACAGAATCATTCCAACAAACTGCGTTGTGATGTGTTCGTTCAACTCACAGAGTTTAACCTTTCTGTTCATAGAGCAGTTAGGAAACACTCTGTTTGTAAAGTCTGTAAGTGGATATTCTGACATCTTGTGGCCTTCGTTGGAAACGGGATTTCTTCATATTCTGCTAGACAGAAGAATTCTCAGAAACTTCGTTCTGTTGTGTGTTTTCAACTCACAGAGTTCAACGATCCTTTACAGAGAGTAGACTTGAAACACTCTTTTTGTGGAATTGGCAGGGTGGAGATTTCAGCCGCTTTGAGGTCAATGGTAGAAAAGGAAATATCTTCGTATAAAAACTAGACAGAATGATTCTCAGAAACTCCTTTGTGATGTGTGCGTTCAACTCACAGTGTTTAACCTTTCTTTTCCTAGAGTAGTTAGGAAACACTCTGTTTTTAAAGTCTGCAAGTGGATATTCAGACCTCTTTGAGGCCTTCGTTGGAAACGGGATTTCTTCATATTATGCTAGACAGAAGAATTCTCAGTAACTTCCTTGTGTTGTGTGTATTCAACTGACAGAGTTGAACTTTCATTTAGAGATAGCAGATTTGAAACACTGTTTTTGTGGAATTTGCAAGTGGAGATTTCAAGCGCTTTGGGGCCAAAGGAAGAAAAGGAAATATCTTCGTATAAAAACTAGACAGAATCATTCTCAGAAACTGCTGCGTGATGTGTGCGTTCAACTCTCAGAGTTTAACTTTTCTTTTCATTCAGCGGTTTGGAAACACTCTGTTTGTAAAGTCTGCACTTGGATATTTTGACCACTTAGAGGCCTTCGTTGGAAACGGGTTTTTTTTCATGTAAGGCTAGACAGAAGAATTCCCAGTAACTTCCTTGTGTTGTGTGCATTCAACTCACAGAGTTGAACGTTCCCTTAGACAGAGCAGATTTGAAACACTCTATTTGTGCAATTTGCAAGTGTAGATTTCAAGCGCTTTAAGGTCAATGGCAGAAAAGGAAATTTCTTCGTTTCAAAACTAGACAGAAATCATTCCCACAAACTGCGTTGTGATGTGTTCGTTCAACTCACAGAAGTTTAACCTTTCTTTTCATAGAGCAGTTAGGAAACAGTCTGTTTGTAAATTCTGTAAGTGGATATTCTGACATCTTGTGGCCTTCGTTGGAAACGGGATTTCTTCATATTCTGCTAGACAGAAGAATTCTCAGAATCTTCCCTTGTGTTGTGTGTATTCAACTCACAGAGTTGAACGATCCTTTACACAGAGCAGACTTGAAACACTCTTTTTGTGGAATTTGCAAGTGGAGATTTCAGCCGCTTTGAAGTCAAAGGTAGAAAAGGAAATATCTTCCTATAAAAACTAGACAGAGTGATTCTCAGAAACTCCTTTGTGATGTCTGCGTTCAACTCACAGAGTTTAACCTTTCTTTTCATAGAGCAGTTAGGAAACACTCTGTTTGTAAAGTCTGCAAGTGGATATTCAGACCTCCTTGAGGCCTTCGTTGGAAACGGGATTTCTTCATATTATGCTAGACAGAAGAATTCTCAGTAACTTCCTTGTGTTGTGTTTATTCAACTGACAGAGTTGAACTTTCATTTAGAGAGAGCAGATTTGAAACACTGTTTTTGTGGAATTTGCAAGTGGAGATTTCAAGCGCTTTGGGGCCAAAGGCAGAAAAGGAAATATCTTCGTATAAAAACTAGACAGAAATCATTCTCAGAAACTGCTCTGTGATGTGTGCGTTCAACTCTCAGAGTTTAACTTTTCTTTTCATTCAGCAGTTTGGAAACACTCTGTTTGTAAAGTCTGCACGTGCATAATTTGACCACTTAGAGGTCTTCGATGGAAACGGGTTTTTTTCATGTAAGGCTAGACAGAAGAATTCTCAGTAACTTCCTTGTGTTGTGTGTATTCAACTCACAGAGTTGAACGATCCTTTACACAGAGCAGTCTTGTAACACTCTTTTTGTGGAATTTGCAAGTGGAGATTTCAGCCGCTTTGAAGTCAAAGGTAGAAAAGGAAATATCTTCCTATAAAAACTAGACAGAATCATTCCCACAAACTGCGTTGTGATGTGTTTGTTCAACTCACAGAGTTTAACCTTTCTTTTCATAGAGCAGTTAGGAAACAGTCTGTTTGTAAATTCTGTAAGTGGATATTCTGACATCTTGTGGCCTTCGTTGGAAACGGGATTTCTTCATATTCTGCTAGACAGAAGAATTCTCAGAAACTTCCTTGGGTTGTGTGTATTCAACTCACAGAGTTGAACGATCGTTTACACAGAGCAGACTTGAAACACTCTTTTTGTGGAATTTGCAAGTGGAGATTTCAGCCGCTTTGAGGTCAATGGTAGGAAAGGAAATATCTTCGTATAAAAATTAGACAGAATGATTCTCAGAAACTCCTTTGTGATGTGTGCGTTCAACTCACAGAGTTTAACCTTTCGTTTCATAGAGCAGTTAGGAAACACTCTGTTTGTAAAGTCTGCAAGTGGATATTAAGACCTCTTTGAGGCCTTCGTTGGAAACGGGATTTCTTCATATTCTGCTAGACAGAAGAATTCTCAGTAACTTCCTTGTGTTGTGTGTATTCAACTGACAGAGTTGAACTTTCATTTAGAGAGAGCAGATTTGAAACACTGTTTTTGTGGAATTTGCAAGTGGAGATTTCCAGCGCTTTGGGGCCAAAGGCAGAAAAGGAAATATCTTCGTATAAAAACTAGACAGAATCATTCTCAGAAACTGCTCTGCGATGTGTGCGTTCAACTCTCAGAGTTTAACTTTTCTTTTCATTCAGCAGTTTGGAAACACTCTGTTTGTAAAGTCTGCACGTGGATAACTTGACCACTTAGAGGCCTTCGTTGGAAACGGGTTTTTTTAATGTAAGGCTAGACAGAAGAATTCCCAGTAACTTCCTTGTGTTGTGTACATTCAACTCACAGAGTTGAACGTTCCCTTAGACAGAGCAGATTTGAAACTCTCTTTTTGTGCAATTGGCAAGTGGAGATTTCAAGCGCTTTAAGGTCAATGGCAGAAAAGGAAATATCTTCGTTTCAAAACTAGACAGAATCATTCCCACAAACTGCGTTGTGATGTGTTCGTTCGACTCACAGAGTTTAACCTTTCTGTTCATAGAGCAGTTAGGAAACACTCTGTTTGTAAAGTCTGCAAGTGGATATTCAGACCTCCTTGAGGCCTTCGTTGGAAACGGGATTTCTTCATTTTCTGGTAGACAGAAGAGTTCTCAGTAACTTCCTTGTGTTGTGTGTATTCAACTCACAGAGTTGAACGATCCTTTACACAGAGCAGACTTGAAACACTCTTTTTGTGGAATTTGCAAGTGGAGATTTCAGCCGCTTTTAGGTCAATAGTAGAAAAGGAAATATCTTCGTAGAAAAACTAGACAGAATGATTCTCAGAAACTCCTTTGTGATGTGTGCGTTCAACTCACAGAGTTTAACTTTTCTTTTCATAGAGCAGTTAGGAAACACTCTATTTGTAAAGTCTGCAAGTGGATATTCAGACCTCTTTGAGGCCTTCGTTGGAAACGGGATTTCTTCATATTATGCTAGACAGAAGAATTTTCAGTAACTTCCTTGTGTTGTGTGTAGTCAACTGACAGAGTTGAACTCTCATTTAGACAGAGCAGATTTGAAACACTCTTTTTGTGGAATTTGCAAGCGGAGATTACAAGCGCTTTGAGGCCAAAGGCAGAAAAGGAAATATCTTCGTATAAAAACTAGACAGAATCATTCTCAGAAACTGCTCTGCGATGTGTGCGTTCAACTCTCAGAGTTTAACTTTTCTTTTCATTCAGCAGTTTGGAAACACTCTGTTTGTAATGTCTGCACGTGGATATTTTGACCACTTAGAGGCCTTCGTTGCAAACGGGTTTTTTTCCTGTAAGGCTAGACAGAAGAATTCCCAGTAACTATCCTTGTGTTGTGTACATTCAACTCACAAGCAGTTGAACGTTCCCTTAGACAGAGCAGATTTGAAACACTCTTTTTGTGCAATTGGCAAGTGGAGATTTCAAGCGCTTTAAGGTCAATGGCAGAAAAGGAAACATCTTCGTTTCAAAACTAGACAGAATGATTCTCAGAAACTCCTTTGTGATGTGTGCGTTCAACTCACAGAGTTTAACCTTTCTTTTCATAGAGCAGTTAGGAAACACTCTGCTTGTAAAGTCTGCAAGTGGATATTCAGACCTCTTTGAGGCCTTCGTTGGAAACGGGATTTCTTCATACTGTGCTAGACAGAAGAATTCTCAGTAACTTCCTTGTGTTGTGTGTATTCAACTCACAGAGTTGAACGATCCTTTACACAGAGCGGACTTGAAACACACTTTTTGTGGAATTTGCAAGTGGAGATTTCAGCCGCGTTGAGGTCAATGGTAGAAAAGGAAATATCTTCGTATAAAAACCAGACAGAATGATTCTCAGAAAATCTTTTGTGATGTGTGCGTTCAACTCACAGAGTTTAACTTTTCTTCTCATAGAGCAGTTAGGAAACACTCTGTTTGTAAAGTCTGCATGTGGATATTCAGACCTCTATGAGGCCTTCGTTGGAAACGGGATTTCTACATATTATGCTAGACAGAAGAATTCTCAGAAACTTCCTTGTGTTGTGTGTTTTCAACTCACAGAGTTGAACGATCCTTTACACAGAGCAGACTTGAAACACTCTTTTTGTGGAATTTGCAAGTGGAGATTTCAGCCGCTTTGAGGTCAATGGTAGAATAGGAAATATCTTCATATAGAAACTAGACAGAATGATTCTCAGAAACTTCTTTGTGATGTGTGCGTTCAACTCACAGAGTTTAACCTTTCTTTTCATAGAGCAGTTAGGAAACACTCTGTTTGTAAACTCTGCAAGTGGATATTCAGACCTCTTTGAGGCCTTCGTTGGTAACGGGATTTCTTCATACTATGCTAGACAGAAGAATTCCCAGTAACTTCCTTGTGTTGTGTGTGTTCAACTCACAGAGTTGAACTTTCATTTACACAGAGCAGATTTGAAACACTCTTTTTGTGGAATTTGCAAGTGGAGATTTCAAGCGCTTTGAGGCCAAAGGCAGAAAAGGAAATATCTTTGTTTCAAAACTAGACAGAATCATTCTCAGAAACTGCTCTGCGATGTGTGCGTTCAAGTCTCAGAGTTTAACTTTTCTTTTCATTCAGCAGTTTGGAAACACTCTGTTTGTAAAGTCTGCACGTGGATAATTTGACCACTTAGAGGCCTTCGTTGGAAACGGGTTTTGTTCATGTAAGGCTAGACAGAAGAATTCCCAGTAACTTCCTTGTGTTGTGTACATTCAACTCACAGAGTTGAACGTTCCCTTTGACAGAGCAGATTTGAAACACTCTTTTTGTGCAATTGGCAAGTGGAGATTTCAAGCGCTTTAAGGTCAATGGCAGAAAAGGAAATATCTTCGTTTCAAAACTAGACAGAATGATTCTCAGAAACTCCTTTGTGATGTGTGCGTTCAACTCACAGAGTTCAACCTTTCTTTTCATAGAGCAGTTGGGAAACACTCTGTTTGTAAAGTCTGCAAGTGGATATTCAGACTTCTTTGAGGCCTTCGTTGGAAGCGGGATTTCTTCATATTCTGCTTGACAGAAGAATTCTCAGTAACTTCCTTGTGTTGTGTGTATTCAACTCACAGAGTTGAACGATCCTTTACACAGAGCATACTTGAAACACTCTTGTTGTGGAATTTGCAAGGGGAGATTTCAGCCGCTTTGAGGTCAATGGTAGAATAGGAAACATCTTCCTATAGAAACTAGACAGAATAATTCTCAGAAACTCCTTTGTGATGTGTGCGTTCAACTGACAGAGTTTAACCTTTCTTTTCATAGAGCAGTTAGGAAACACTCTGTTTGTAAAGTCTGCAAGTGGATATTCAGACCTCTTTGAGGCCTTCGTTGGAAACGGGTTTTTTTCATATAAGGCTAGACAGAAGAATTCTCAGTAACTTCCTTGTGTTGTGTGTATTTAACTCACAGAGTTGAATGATCCTTTACACAGAACAGTCTTGAAACACTCTTTTTGTGGAATTTGCAAGTGGAGATTTCAGCCGCTTTGAGGTCAATGGTAGAATAGGAAATATCTTCCTATAGAAACTAGACAGAATGATTCTCAGAAACTCGTTTGTGATGTGTGTGTTCAACTCACAGAGTTTAACCTTTCTTTTCATAGAGCAGTTAGTAAACACTCTGTTTATAAAGTCTGCAAGTGGATATTCAGACCCCTTTGAGGCCTTCGTTGGAAACGGGATTTCTTCATATTATGCTAGACAGAAGAATTCTCAGTAACTTCCTTGTGTTGTGTGTATTCAACTGACAGAGTTGAACTTTCATTTGGAGAGAGCAGATTTGAAACACTGTTTTTGTGGAATTTGCAAGTGGAGATTTCAAGCGCTTTGGGGCCAAAGGCAGAAAAGGAAATATCTTCGTATAAAAACTAGACAGAATCATTCTCAGAAACTGCTGCGTGATGTGTGCGTTCAACTCTCAGAGTTTAACTTTTCTTTTCATTCAGCCGTTTGGAAACACTCCGTTTGTAAAGTCTGCACGTGGAAATTTTGACCACTTAGAGGCCTTCGTTGGAAACGGGTTTTTTTCATGTAAGGCTAGACAGAAGAATTCCCAGTAACTTCCTTGTGTTGTGTACATTCAACTCACAGAATTGAACGTTCCCTTAGACAGAGCAGATTTGAAACACTCTTTTTGTGCAATTGGCAAGTGGAGATTTCAAGCGCTTTAAGGTCAATGGCAGAAAAGGAAATATCTTCGTTTCAAAACTAGACAGAACGATTCTCAGAAACTCCTTTGTGATGTGTGCGTTCAACTCACAGAGTTTAACCTTTCTTCTCATAGAGCAGTTAGGAAACACTCTGTTTGTAAAGTCTGCAAGTGGATATTCAGACATCTTCGAGGCTTTCGTTGGAAACGGGATTTCTTCATATTCTGCTATACAGAAGAATTCTCAGTAACTTCCTTGTGTTGTGTGTATTCAAATCACAGAGTTGAATGATCCTTTACACAGAACAGACTTGAAACACTCTTTTTGTGGAATTTGCAAGTGGAGATTTCAGCCGCTTTGAGGTCAATGGTAGAATAGGAAATATCTTCCTATAGAAACTAGACAGAATGATTCTCAGAAACTCCTTTGTGATGTGTGCGTTCAACTCACAGAGTTTAACCTTTCTTTTCATAGAGCAGTTAGGAAACACTCTGTTTGTAAAGTCTGCAAGTGGATATTCAGACCTCCTTGAGGCCTTCGTTGGAAACGGGATTTCTTCCTATTCTGCTAGACAGAAGAATTCCCAGTAACTTCCTTGTGTTGTGTGTGTTCAACTCACAGAGTTGAACTTTCATTTACACAGAGCAGATTTGAAACACTCTTTTTGTGGAATTTGCAAATGGAGATTTTAAGCGCTTTGAGGCCAAAGGCAGAAAAGGAAATATCTTCGTATAAAAACTAGACAGAATCATTCTCAGAAACTGCTCTGCGATGTGTGCGTTCAACTCTCAGAGTTTAACTTTTCTTTTCATTCAGAAGTTTGGAAACACTCTGTTTGTAAAGTCTGCACGTGGATATTTTGACCATTTAGAGGCCTTCGTTGGAAACGGGTTTTTTTCTTGTAAGGCTAGACAGAAGAATTCCCAGTAACTTCCTTGTGTTGTGTAGATTCAACTCACAGAGTTGAACGTTCCCTTAGACAGAGCAGATTTGAAACACTCTTTTTGTGCAATCGGCAAGTGGAGATTTCAAGCGCTTTAAGGTCAATGGCAGAAAAGGAAATATCTTCGTTTCAAAACTAGACAGAATCATTCCCACAAACGGCGTTGTGATGTGTTCGTTCAACTCACAGAGTTTAACCTTTCTGTTCATAGAGCAGTTAGGAAACACTCTGTTTGTAAAGTCTGCAAGTGGATATTCAGACCTCCTTGAGGCCTTCGTTGGAAACGGGATTTCTTCATATTCTGCTAGACAGAAGAATTCTCAGTAACTTCCTTGTGTTGTGTGTATTCAACTCACACAGTTGAACGATCCTTTACACAGAGCAGACTTGAAACACTCTTTTTGTGGAATTTGCAAGTGGAGATTTCAGCCGCTTTGAGGTCAATGGTTGAAAAGGAAACTATCTTCATATAAAGACTAGACAGAATGATTCTCAGAAACTCCTTTGTGATGTGTGTGTTCAACTCACAGAGTTTAACCTTTCTTTTCATAGAGCAGTTAGGAAACACTCTGTTTATAAAGTCTGCAAGTGGATATTCAGACCCCTTTGAGGTCTTCGTTGGAAACGGGATTTCTTCATATTATGCTAGACAGAAGAATTCTCAGTAACTTCCTTGTGTTGTGTGTATTCAACTCACAGAGTTGAAGGATCCTTTACAGAGAGCAGGCTTGAAACACTCTTTTTGTCGAATTTGCAAGTGGAGATTTCAGCCGCTTTGAGGTCAATGGTAGAATAGGAAATATCTTCTTATACAAACTAGACAGAATGATTCTCAGAAACTCCTTTGTGATGTGTGCGTTCAACTCACAGAGTTTAACCTTTCTTTTCATAGAGCAGTTAGGAAACACTCTGTTTGTAAAGTCTGCAAGTGGATATTGAGACCTCCTTTAGGACTTCGTTGGAAACGGGATTTCTTCATATTATGCTAGACAGAAGAATTCCCAGTAACTTCTTTGTGTTGTGTACATTCTACTCACAGAGTTGAACGTTCCCTTAGACAGAGCAGATTTGAAACACTCTTTTTGTGCAATTGGCAAGTGTTGATTTCAACCGCTTTGAGGTCAATGGTAGAAAAGGAAATATCTTCGTATAAAAACTAGACAGAATCATTCCCGCAAACTGCGTTGTGATGTGTTCGTTCAACTCACAGAGTTTAACCTTTCTTTTCATAGAGCAGTTAGGAAACAGTCTGTTTGAAAATTCTGTAAGTGGATATTCTGACATCTTGTGGCCTTCGTTGGAAACGGGATTTCTTCATATTCTGCTAGACAGAAGAATTCTCAGTAACTTCCTTGTGTTGTGTGTATTCAACTCACAGAGTTGAACGATCCTTTACACAGAGCAGACTTGAAACACCCTTTTTGTGGAATTTGCAAGTGGAGATTTCAGCCGCGTTGAGGTCAATGGTAGAAAAGGAAATATCTTCGTATAAAAACTGGACAGAAGGATTCTCAGAAACTCCTTTGTGATGTGTGCATTCAACTCACAGAGTTTAACCTTTCTTTTCATAGAGCAGTTAGGAAACACTCTGTTTGTAAAGTCTGCAAGTGGATATTCAGACCTCTTTGAGGCCTTCGTTGGAAACGGGATTTCTTCATATTCTGCTAGACAGAAGAATTCTCAGTAACTTCCTTGTGTTGTGTGTATTCAACTCACAGAGTTGAACGATCCTTTTCACAGAGCAGACTTGAAACACTCTTTTTGTGGAATTTGCAAGTGGAGATTTCAGCCGCTTTGAGGTCAATGGTAGAATAGGAAATATCTTCGTAGAAAAACTAGACAGAATGATTCTGAGAAACTCCTTTGTGATGTGTGCGTTCAACTCACACAGTTTAACCTTTCTTTTCATATAGCAGTTAGGAAACACTCTGTTTGTAAAGTCTGCAAGTGGATATTCAGACCTCCTTGAGGCCTTCGTTGGAAACGGGATTTCTTCAAATTCTGCTAGACAGAAGAATTCCCAGTAACTTCCTTGTGTTGTGTACATTCAACTCACAGAGTTGAACGTTTCCTTAGACAGAGCAGATTTGAAACACTCTTTTTGTGCAATTGGCAAGTGGTGATTTCAGCCGCTTTGTGGTCAATGGTAGAAAAGGAAATATCTTCATATAAAAACTAGACAGAATCATTCCCACAAACTGCGTTGTGATGTTTTCGTTCAACTCACAGGGTTTAACCTTTCTTTTCATAGAGCAGTTAGGAAACACTCTGTTTGTAAAGTCTCTAAGTGGATATACTGACATCTTGTTGCCTTCTTTGGAAACGGGATTTCTTCATATTCTGCTATACAGAAGAATTCTCAGTAACTTCCTTGTGTTGTGTGTATTCAACTCACAGAGTTAAATGATCCTTTACACAGAGCAGACTTGAAAAACTCTTTTTGTGGAATTTGCAAGTGGAGATTTCAGCCGCTTTGTGGTCAATGGTAGAATAGGAAATATCTTCCTATAGAAACTAGACAGAATGATTCTCAGGAACTCCTATGTGATGTGTGCGTTCAACTCACAGAGTTTAACTTTTCTTTTCATAGAGCAGTTAGGAAACACTCTGTTTGTAAAGTCTGCAAGTGGATATTCAGACCTCTTGAGGCCTTCGTTGGAAACGGGATTTCTTCATATTATGCTAGACAGAAGAATTCTCAGTAACTTACCTTGTGTTGTGTGTATTCAACTGACAGAGTTGAACTTTCATTTAGAGAGAGCAGATTTGAAACACTGTTTTTGTGGAATTTGCAAGTGGAGATTTCAAGCGCTTTGCGGCCAAAGGCAGAAAAGGAAATATCTTCGTATAAAAACTAGACAGAATCATTCTCAGAAACTGCTGCGTGATGTATGCGTTCAACTCTCAGAGTTTAACTTTTCTTTTCATTCAGCGGTTTGGAAACACTCTGTTGTAAAGTCTGCACGTGGATATTTTGACCACTTAGAGGCCTTCGTTGGAAAGGGGTTTTTTTCATGTAAGGCTAGACAGAAGAATTCCCAGTAACTTCCTTGTGTTGTGTGCATTCAACTCACAGAGTTGAACGTTCCCTTAGACAGAGCAGATTTGAAACACTCTATTTGTGCAATTTGCAAGTGTAGATTTCAAGCGCTTTAAGGTCAATGGCACAAAAGGAAATATCTTCGTTTCAAAACTAGACAGAATCATTCCCACAAACTGCGTTGTGATGTGTTCGTTCAACTCACAGAGTTTAACCTTTCTGTTCATAGAGCAGTTAGGAAACACTCTGTTTGTAAAGTCTGCAAGTGGATATTCAGACCTCCTTGAGGCTTTCTTTGGAAACGGGATTTCTTCATATTCTGGTAGACAGAAGAATTCTCAGAAACTTCCTTGTGTTCTGTGTATTCAACTCACAGAGATGAACGATCCTTTACACAGAGCAGATTTGACACACTCTTTTTGTGGAATTTGCAAGTGGAGATTTCAGCCGCTTTGAGGTCCATGGTAGAAAAGGAAATATCTTCGTATAAAAACTAGACAGAATGATTCTCAGAAACTCCTTTGTGATGTGTGCGTTCAACTCACAGAGTTTAACTTTTCTGTTCATAGAGCAGTTAGGAAACACTCTGTTTGTAAAGTCTGCAAGTGGATATTCAGACCTCTTTGAGGCCTTCGTTGGAAACGGGATTTCTTCATATTATTCTAGACAGAAGAATTCCCAGTAACTTCCTTGTGTTGTGTGTGTTCAACTCACAGAGTTAAACTTCCATTTACACAGAGCAGATTTGAAACACTCTTTTTGTGGAATTTGCAAGTGGAGATTTCAAGCGCTTTGAGGCCAAAGGCAGAAAAGGAAATATCTTCGTTTCAAAACTAGACAGAAATCATTCTCAGAAACTGCTCTGCGATGTGTGCGTTCAACTCTCAGCAGTTTAACTTTTCTTTTCATTCAGCAGTTTGGAAACACTCTGTTTTTAAAGTCTGCACGTGGATAATTTGACCACTTAGAGGCCTTCGTTGGAAACGGGTTTTTTTCATGTAAGGCTAGACAGAAGAATTCTCAGTAACTTCCTTGTGTTGTGTGTATTCACCTCACAGAGTTGAACGATCCTTTACACAGAGCAGACTTGTAACACTCTTTTTGTGGAATTTGCAAGTGGAGATTTCAGCCGCTTTGAAGTCAAAGGCAGAAAAGGAAATATCTTCCTATAAAAACTAGACAGAATCATTCCCACAAACTGCGTTGTGATGTGTTCGTTCAACTCACAGAGTTTAACCTTTCTATTCATAGAGCAGTTAGGAAACACTCTGTTTGTAAAGTCTGCAAGTGGATATTCAGACCACCTTGAGGCCTTCGTTGGAAACGGGATTTCTTGATATTCTGCTAGACAGAAGATTTCTCAGTAACTTCCTTGTGTTGTGTGTATTCAACTCACAGAGTTGAACGATCCTTTACACAGAGCAGACTTGAAACACTCTTTTTGTGGAATTTGCAAGTGGAGATTTCAGCCGCTTTGAGGTCAATGGTAGAATAGGAAATATCTTCGTATAGAAACTAGACAGAATGATTCTCAGAAACTCCTTTGTGATGTGTGCGTTCAACTCACAGAGTTCAACCTTTCTTTTCATAGAGCAGTTGGGAAACACTCTGTTTGTAAAGTCTGCAAGTGGATATTCAGACTTCTTTGAGGCCTTCGTTGGAAGCGGGATTTCTTCATATTCTGCTAGAAAGAAGAATTCCCAGTAACTTCCCTTGTGTTGTGTGTGTTCAACTCACAGAGTTGAACTTTCATTTACACAGAGCAGATTTGAAACACTCTTTTTGTGGAATTTGCAGGTGGAGATTTCAAGCGCTTTGAGGCCAAAGGCAGAAAAGGAAATATCTTCGTATAAAAACTAGACAGAATCATTCTCAGAAACTGCTCTGCGATGTGTGCGTTCAACTCTCAGAGTTTAACTTTTCTTTTCATTCAGCAGTTTGGAAACACTCTGTTTGTAAAGTCTGCACGTGGATAACTTGACCACTTAGAGGCCTTCGTTGGAAACGGGTTTTTTTCCTGTAAGGCTAGACAGAAGAATTCCCAGTAACTTCCTTGTGTTGTGTGCATTCAACTCACAGAGTTGAACGTTCCCTTAGACAGAGCAGATTTGAAACACTCTATTTGTGCAATTTGCAAGTGTAGATTTCAAGCGCTTTAAGGTCAATGGCAGAAAAGGAAATATCTCCGTTTCAAAACTAGACAGAATCATTCCCACAAACTGCGTTGTGATGTGCTCGTTCAACTCACAGAGTTTAACCTTTCTGTTCATAGAGCAGTTAGGAAACACTCTGTTTGTAAAGTCTGTAAGTGGATATTCTGACATCTTGTGGCCTTCGTTGGAAACGGGATTTCTTCATATTCTGCTAGACAGAAGAATTCTCAATAACTTCCTTGTGTTGTGTGTATTCAACTCACAGAGTTGAACGATCCTTTACACAGAGCAGACTTGAAACACTCTTTTTGTGGAATTTGCAAGTGGAGATTTCAGCCGCTTTGAGGTCAATGGTAGAAAAGGGAATATCTTCGTATCGAAACTAGACAGAATGATTCTCAGAAACTCCTTTGTGATGTGTGCGTTCAACTCACAGAGTTTAACCTTTCTGTTCATAGAGCAGTTAGGAAACACTCTGTTTGTAAAGTCTGCAAGTGGATATTCAGACCTCCTTGGGGCCTTCGTTGGAAACGGGATTTCTTCATATTCTGCTAGACAGAAGAATTCCCAGTAACTTCCTTGTGTTGTGTGTGTTCAAATCACAGAGTTGAACTTTCATTTACACAGAGCAGATTTGAAACACTCTTTTTGTGGAATTTGCAAGTGGAGATTTCAAGCGCTTTGAGGCCAAAGGCAGAAAAGGAAATATCTTCGTTTCAAAACTAGACAGAATCATTCTCAGAAACTGCTCTGCGATGTGTGCGTTCAACTCTCAGAGTTTAACTTTTCTTTTCATTCAGCAGTTTGGAAACACTCTGTTTGTAAAGTCTGCACGTGGATAACTTGACCACTTAGAGGCCTTCGTTGGAACCGGGTTTTTTTCATGTAAGGCTAGACAGAAGAATTCCCAGTAACTTCCTTGTGTTGTGTGCATTCAACTCACAGAGTTGAACGTTCCCTTAGACAGAGCAGATTTGAAACACTCTATTTGTGCAATTTGCAAGTGTAGATTTCAAGCGCTTTAAGGTCAGTGGCAGAAAAGGAAATATCTTCGTTTCAAAACTAGACAGAATCATTCCCACAAACTGCGTTGTGATGTGTTCGTTCAACTCACAGAGTTTAACCTTTCTTTTCATAGAGCAGTTAGGAAACAGTCTGTTTGTCAATTCTGTAAGTGGATATTCTGACATCTTGTGGCCTTCGTTGGAAACGGGATTTCTTCATATTCTCCTAGACAGAAGAATTCTCAGTAACTTCCTTGTGTTGTGTGTATTCAACTCACAGAGTTGAACGATCCTTTACACAGAGCAGACTTGAAACACTCTTTTTGTGGAATTTGCAAGTGGAGATTTCAGCCACTTTGAGGTCAATGGTAGAAAAGGAAATATCTTCGTAGAAAAACTAGACAGAACGATTCTCAGAAACTCCTTTGTGATGTGAGCGTTCAACTCACACAGTTTAACCTTTCTTTTCTTAGAGCAGTTAGGAAACACTCTGTTTGTAAAGTCTGCAAGTGGATATTCAGACCTCTTTGAGGCCTTCGTTGGAAACGGGATTTCTTCGTATTCTGCTAGACAGAAGAATTCTCAGTAACTTCTTGGTGTTGTGTGTATTCAACTCACAGAGTTGAACGATGCTTTACACAGAGCAGACTTGAAACACTCTTTTTGTGGAATTTGCAAGTGGAGATTTCAGCCGCTTTGAGGTCCATGGTAGAAAAGGAAATATCTTCGTATAAAAACTAGACAGAATGATTCTCAGAAACTCCTTTGTGATGTGTGCGTTCAACTCACAGAGTTTAAACTTTCTTTTCATAGAGCAGTTAGGAAACACTCTGTTTGTAAAGTCTGCAGGTGGATATTCAGACATCATTGAGGCTTTCGTTGGAAAAGGGATTTCTTCATATTCTGCTAGACAGAGAATTCCCAGTAACTTCCTTGTGTTGTGTGTGTTCAACTCACAGAGTTGAACTTTCATTTACACAGAGCAGATTTGAAACACTCTTTTTGTGGAATTTGCAAGTGGAGATTTCAAGCGCTTTGAGGCCAAAGGCAGAAAAGGAAATATCTTCGTTTCAAAACTAGACAGAATCATTCTCAGAAACTGCTCTGCGATGTGTGCGTTCAACTCTCAGAGTTTAACTTTTCTTTTCATTCAGCAGTTTGGAAACACTCTGTTTGTAAAGTCTGCACGTGGATATTTTGACCACTTAGAGGCTTTCGTTGGAAACGGATTTTTTTCCTGTAAGGCTAGACAGAAGAATTCCCAGTAACTTCCTTGTGTTGTGTACATTCAACTCACAGAGTTGAACGTTCCCTTAGACAGAGCAGATTTGAAACACTCTTTTTGTGCAATTGGCAAGTGGAGATTTCAAGCGCTTTAAGGTCAATGGAAGAAAAGGAAATATCTTCGTTTCAAAACTAGACAGAATCATTCCCACAAACTGCGTTGTGATGTGTTCTTTCAACTCACTGAGTTTAACCTTTCTTTTCATAGAGCAGTTAGGAAACAATCTGTTTGTAAATTCTGTAAGTGGATATTCTGACATCTTGTGGCCTTCGTTGGTAACGGGATTTCTTCATATTCTGTTAGACAGAAGAATTCTCAGTAACTTCCTTGTGTTGTGTGTATTCAACTCACAGAGTTGAACGATTCTTTACACACAGCAGACTTGAAACACTCTTTTTGTGGAATTTGCAAGTGGAGATTTCAGCCGCTTTCAGGTCAATGGTAGAATAGGAAATATCTTCCTATAGAAACTAGACAGAATGATTCTCAGAAACTCCTTTGTGATGTGTGCGTTCAACTCACAGAGTTTTACCATTCTTTTCATAGAGCAGTTAGGAAACACTCTGTTTGTAAAGTCTGCAAGTGGATATTCAGACCTCTTTGAGGCCTTCGTTGGAAACGGGATTTCTTCATATTCTGCTAGAGAGAAGAATTCTCAGTAACTTCCTTGTGTTGTGTGTATTCAACTCACAGAGTTCAACGATCCTTTACACAGAGCAGACTTGAAACACTCTTTTTGTGGAATTTGCAAGTGGAGATTTCAGCCGCTTTGAAGTCAATGGTAGAAAAGGAAATATCTTCGTATAAAAAGTAGACAGAATGATTCTCAGAAACTCCTTTGTGATGTGTGCATTCAACTCACAGAGTTTAACCTTTCTTTTCATAGAGCAGTTAGGAAACACTCTGTTTGTAAAGTCTGCAACTGGATATTCAGACCTCCTTAAGGCCTTCGTTGGAAACGGGATTTCTTCATATTATGCTAGACAGAAGAATTCCCAGTAACTTCCCTTGTGTTGTGTGTGTTCAACTCACAGAGTTGAACTTTCATTTACACAGAGCAGATTTGAAACACTCTTTTTGTGGAATTTGCAAGTGGAGATTTCAAGCGCTTTGAGGTCAAAGGCAGAAAAGGAAATATCTTCGTATAAAAACTAGACAGAGTCTTTCTCAGAAACTGCTCTGTGATGTGTGCGTTCAACTCTCAGAGTTTAACTTTTCTTTTCATTCAGCAGTTTGGAAACACTCTGTTTGTAAAGTTTGCACGTGGACATTGTGACCACTTAGAGGCCTTCGTTGGAAACGGGTTTTTTTCATGTAAGGCTAGACAGAAGAATTCCCAATAACTTCCTTGTGTTGTGTGCACTCAAGTCACAGAGATGAATGTTCCCTTAGACAGAGCAGATTTGAAACACTCTATTTGTGCAATTTGCAAGTGTAGATTTCAAGCGCTTTAAGGTCAATGGCAGAAAAGGAAATATTTTCGTTTCAAAACTAGACAGAATGATTCTCAGAAACTCCTTTGTGATATGTGCGTTCAACTCACAGAGTTTAACCTTTCTTTTCATAGAGCAGTTAGGAAACACTCTGTTTGTAATGTCTGCAAGTGGATATTCAGACATCTTTGAGGCTTTCGTTGGAAACGGGATTTCTTCATATTCTGCTAGACAGAAGAATTCTCAGAAACTTCCTTGTGTTGTGTGTTTTCAACTCACAGAGTTGAACGATCCTTTACCACAGAGCAGACTTGAAACACTCTTTTTGTGGAATTTGCAAGTGGAGATTTCAGCCGCTTTGAGGTCAATGGTAGAAAAGGAAATATCTTCGTATAAAAACTAGACAGAATGATTCTCAGAAACTCCTTTGTGATGTGTGCGTTCAACACACAGAGTTAAACTTTTCTTTTCATAGAGCAGTTAGGAAACACTCTGTTTGTAAAGTCTGCAAGTGGATATTCAGACCTCTTTGAGGCCTTCGGTGGAAACGAGATTTCTTCATATTATGCTAGACAGAACAATTCTCAGTAACTTCCTTGTGTTGTGTGTATTCAACTCACAGAGTTGAACGATCCTTTACAGAGAGCACACTTGAAACACTCTTTTTGTGGAATTTGCAAGTGGAGATTTCAGCCGCTTTGAGGTCAATGGTAGAATAGGAAATATCTTCCAATAGAAACTAGACAGAATCATTCTCAGAAACTGCTCTGCGATGTGTGCGTTCAACTCTCAGAGTTTAACTTTTCTTTTCATTCAGCAGTTTGGAAACACTCTGTTTGTAAAGTCTGCACGTGGATAATTTGACCACTTAGAGGCCTTCGTTGGAAACGGGTTTTTTTCATGGAAGGCTAGACAGAAGAATTCCCAGTAACTTCCTTGTGTTGTGTACATTCAACTCACAGAGTTGAACGTTCCCTTAGACAGAGCAGATTTGAAACACTCTTTTTGTGCAATTGGCAAATGGAGATTTCAAGCGCTTTAAGGTCAATGGTAGAATAGGAAATATCTTCGTTTGAAAACTAGACAGAATCATTCCCACAAACTGCGTTGTGATTGTGTTCGTTCAACTCACAGAGTTTAACCTTTCTGTTCATAGAGCAGTTAGGAAACACTCTGTTTGTAAAGTCTATAAGTGGATATTCTGACATCTTGTGGCCTTCGTTGGAAACGGGATTTCTTCATATTCTGCTAGACAGAAGAATTCTCAGTAACTTCCTTGTGTTGTGTGTATTCAACTCACAGAGTTGAACGATACTTTACACAGAGCAGACTTGTAACACTCTTTTTGTGGAATTTGCAAGTGGAGATTTCAGCCGCTTTGAAGTCAAAGGTAGAAAAGGAAATATCTTCCTATAAAAACTAGACAGAATGATTCTCAGAAACTCCTTTGTGATGCGTGCGTTCAACTCACAGAGTTTAACCTTTCTTTTCATAGTGCAGTTAGGAAACACTCTGTTTGTAAAGTCTGCAAGTGGATATTCAGACCTCCTTGAGGCCTTCGTTGGAAACGGGATTTCTACATATTATGCTAGACAGAAGAATTCTCAGTAACTTCCTTGTGTTGTGAGTATTCAACTCACAGATTTGAACGATCCTTTACACAGAGCAGACTTGAAACAGTCTTTTTGTGGAATTTGCAAGTGGAGATTTCAGCCTCTTTGAGGTCAATGGTAGAATAGGAAATATCTTCCTATAGAAACTAGACAGAATCATTCTCAGAAACTGCTCTGCGATGTGTGCGTTCAACTCTCAGAGTTTAACTTTTCTTTTCATTCAGCAGTTTGGAAACACTCTGTTTGTAACGTCTGCACGTGAATAATTTGACCACTTAGAGGCCTTCGTTGGAAGCGGGTTTTTTTCATGTAAGGCTAGACAGAAGAATTCCCAGTAACTTCCTTGTGTTGTGTGCATTCAACTCACACAGTTGAACGTTCCCTTAGACAGAGCAGATTTGAAACACTCTATTTGTGCAATTTGCAAGTGTAGATTTCAAGCGCTTTAAGGTCAATGGCAGAAAAGGAAATTTCTTCGTTTCAAAACTAGACAGAATCATTCCCACAAACTGCGTTGTGATGTGTTCGTTCAACTCACAGAGTTTAACCTTTCTGTTCATAGAGCAGTTAGGAAACACTCTGTTTGTACAGTCTGCAAGTGGATATTCAGACCTCCTTGAGGCCTTCGTTGGAAACGGGATTTCTTCATATTCTGCTAGACAGAAGAATTCTCAGAATCTTCCTTGTGTTGGGTGTATTCAACTCACAGAGTTGAACGATCCTTTACACAGAGCAGACTTGAAACACTCTTTTTGTGGAATTTGCAAGTGGAGATTTCAGCCGCTTTGAGGTCCATGGTAGAAAAGGTAATATCTTCGTATAAAAACTAGACAGAATGATTCTCAGAAACTCCTTTGTGATGTGTGCGCTCAACTCACAGAGTTTAACCTTTCTTTTCATAGAGTAGTTAGGAAACACTCTGTTTGTAAAGTCTGCAAGTGGATATTCAGACCTCTTTGAGGCCTTCGTAGGAAACGGGATTTCTTCATATTATGCTAGACAGAAGAATTCCCAGTAACTTCCTTGTGTTGTGTGTGTTCAACTCACAGAGTTGAACTTTCATTTACACAGAGCAGATTTGAAACTCTCTTTTTGTGGAATTTGCAAATGGAGATTTCAAGCGCTTTGAGGTCAAAGGCAGAAAAGGAAATATCTTCGTATAAAAACTAGACAGAATCATTCTCAGAAACTGCTCTGCGATGTGTGCGTTCAACTCTCAGAGTTTAACTTTTCTTTTCATTCAGCAGTTTGGAAACACTCTGTTTGTAAAGTCTGCACGTGGATAATTTGACCACTTAGAGGCCTTCGTTGGAAACGGGTTTTTTTCATGTAAGGCTAGACGGAAGAATTCCCAGTAACTTCCTTGTGTTGTGTACATTCAACTCACAGAGTTGAACGTTCCCTTAGACAGAGCAGATTTGAAATACTCTTTTTGTGCAATTGGCAAGTGGAGATTTCAAGCGCTATAAGGTCAATGGCAGAAAAGGAAATATCTTCGTTTCAAAACTAGACAGAATCATTCCCACAAACTACGTTGTGATGTGTTCGTTCAACTCACAGAGTTTAACCTTTCTTTTCATAGAGCAGTTAGGAAACAGTCTGTTTGTAAATTCTGTAAGTGGATATTCTGACATCTTGTGGCCTTCGTTGGAAACGGGATTTCTTCATATTCTGCTAGACAGAAGAATTCTCAGAATCTTCCTTGTGTTGTGTGTATTCAACTCACAGAGTTGAACGACGGTTTACACAGAGCAGATTTGAAACACTCATTTGGTGGAATTTGCAAGTGGAGATTTCAGCCGCTTTGAGGTCAATGGTAGAAAAGGAAATATCTTCGTATAACAACTAGACAGAATGATTCTCAGAAACTCCTTTGTGATGTGTGTGTTCAACTCACAGAGTTTAACTTTTCTTTTCATAGAGCAGTTAGTAAACACTCTGTTTATAAAGTCTGCAAGTGGATATTCAGACCCCTTTGTGGCCTTCGTTGGAAACGGGATTTCTTCATATTATGCTAGACAGAAGAATTCTCAGTAACTTCCCTTGTGTTGTGTGTATTCAACTGACAGAGTTGAACTTTCATTTAGAGAGAGCAGTTTTGAAACACTGTTTTTGTGGAATTTGCAAGTGGAGATTTCAAGCGCTTTGGGGCCAAAGGCAGAAAAGGAAATATCTTCGTATAAAAACTAGACAGAATCATTCTCAGAAACTGCTCTGCGATGTGTGCGTTCAACTCTCAGAGTTTAACTTTTCTTTTCATTCAGCAGTTTGGAAACACTCTCTTTGTAAAGTCTGCACGTGGATATTTTGACCACTTAGAGGCATTCGTTGGAAACGGGTTTTTTTCCTGTAAGGCTAGACAGAAGAATTCCCAGTAACTTCCTTGTGTTGTGTGCATTCAACTCACAGAGTTGAACGTTCCCTTAGACAGAGCAGATTTGAAACACTCTATTTGTGCAATTTGCAAGTGTAGATTTCAAGCGCTTTAAGGTCAATGGCAGAAAAGGAAATATCTTCGTTCAAAACTAGACAGAATCATTCCCACAAACTGCGTTGTGATGTGTTCGTTCAACTCACAGAGATTAACCTTTCTGTTCATAGAGCAGTGAGGAAACACTCTGTTTGTAAAGTCTGTAAGTGGATATTCTGACATCTTGTGGCCTTCGTTGGAAACGGGATTTCTTCATATTCTGCTAGACAGAAGAATTCTCAGTAACTTCCTTGTGTTGTGTGTATTCAACTCACAGAGTTGAACGATCCTTTACACAGAGCATAGTTGAAACACTCTTGTTGTGGAATTTGCAAGTGGAGATTTCAGCCGCTTTGAGGTCAATGGTAGAATAGGAAATATCTTCCTATAGAAACTAGACAGAATGATTCTCAGAAACTCCTTTGTGATGTCTGCGTTCAACTCACAGAGTTAAACTTTCTTTTCATAGAGCAGTTAGGAAACACTCTGTTTGTAAAGTCTGCAAGTGGATATTCAGACCTCCTTGAGGCCTTCGTTGGAAAAGGGATTTCTTCATATTATGCTAGACAGAAGTATTCCCAGTAACTTCCTTGTGTTGTGTGTGTTCAACTCACAGAGTTGAACTTTCATTTACAATGAGCAGATTTGAAACACTCTTTTTGTGGAATTTGCAAGTGGAGATTTCAAGCGCTTTGAGGCCAAAGGCAGAAAAGGAAATATCTTCGTATAAAAACTAGACAGAATCATTCTCAGAAACTGCTCTGCGATGTGTGCGTTCAACTCTCAGAGTTTAACTTTTCTTTTCATTCAGCAGTTTGGAAACACTCTGTTTGTAAAGTCTGCACGTGGATATTTTGACCACTTAGAGGCCTTCGTTGGAAACGGGTTTTTTTCCTGTAAGGCTAGACAGAGAATTCCCAGTAACTTCCTTGTGTTGTGTGCATTCAACTCACAGAGTTGAACGTTCCCTTAGACAGAGCAGATTTGAAACACTCTGTGCAATTTGCAAGTGTAGATTTCAAGCGCTTTAAGGTCAATGGCAGAAAAGGAAATATCTTCGTTTCAAAACTAGACAGAATCATTCCCACAAACTGCGTTGTGATGTGTTCGTTCAACTCACAGAGTTTAACCTTTCTTTTCATAGAGCAGTTAGGAAACACTCTGTTGGTAAATTCTGTAAGTGGATATTCTGACATCTTGTGGCCTTCGTTGGAAACGGGATTTCTACATATTCTGCTAGACAGAAGAATTCTCAGTAACTTCCTTGTGTTGTGTGTATTCAACTCACAGAGTTGAAAGATCCTTTACACAGAGCAGACTTGAAACACTCTTTTTGTGGAATTTGCAAGTGGAGATTTCAGCCGCTTTGAGGTCAATGGTAGAAAAGGAAATATCTTCGTATAAAGACTAGACAGAATGATTCTCAGAAACTCCTTTGTGATGTGTGCGTTCAACTCACAGAGTTTAACCTTTCTTTTCATAGAGCAGTTAGGAAACACTCTGTTTGTAAAGTCTGCAAGTGGACATTCAGACCTCTTTGAGGCCTTCGTTGGAAACGGGTTTTTTTCATATAAGGCTAGACAGAAGAATTCTTAGTAACTTCCTTGTGTTGTGTGTATTCAACTCACAGAGTTGAATGATCCTTTACACAGAACAGTCTTGAAACACTCTTTTTGTGGAATTTGCAATTGGAGATTTCAGCCGCTTTGAGGTCAATGGTAGAATAGGAAATATCTTCCTATAGAAACTAGACAGAATGATTCTCAGAAACTCCTTTGTGATGTGTGTGTTCAACTCTCAGAATTTAACCTTTCTTTTCATAGAGCAGTTAGTAAACACTCTGTTTATAAAGTCTGCAAGTGGATATTCAGATCCCTTTGTGGCCTTCTTTGGAAACGGGATTTCTTCATATTATGCTAGACAGAAGAATTCTCAGTAACTTCCTTCTGTTGTGTGTATTCAACTGACAGAGTTGAACTTTCATTTAGAGAGAGCAGATTTGAAACACTGTTTTTGTGGAATTTGCAAGTGGAGATTTCAAGCGCTTTGGGGCCAAAGGAAGAAAAGGAAATATCTTCGTATAAAAACTAGACAGAATCATTCTCAGAAACTGCTCTGCGATGTGTGCGTTCAACTCTCAGAGTTTAACTTCGCTTTTCATTCAGCAGTTTGGAAACACTCTGTTTGTAAAGTCTGCACGTGGATAATTTGACCACTTAGAGGCCTTCGTTGGAAACGGGTTTTTTTCATGTAAGGCTAGACAGAAGAATTCTCAGTAACTTCCTTGTGTTGTGTGTATTCAACTCACACAGTTGAAGGATCCTTTACACAGAGCAGACTTGTAACACTCTTTTTGTGGAATTTGCAAGTGGAGATTTCAGCCGCTTTGAAGTCAAAGGTAGAAAAGGAAATATCTTCCTATAAAAACTAGACAGAATCATTCCCACAAACTGCGTTGTGATGTGTTCGTTCATCTCACAGAGTTTAACCTTTCTTTTCATAGAGCAGTTAGGAAACAGTCTGTTTGAAAATTCTGTAAGTGGATATTCTGACATCTTGTGGCCTTCGTTGGAAACGGGATTTCTTCATATTCTGCTAGACAGAAGAATTCTCAGTAACTTCCCTTGTGTTGTGTGTATTCAACTCACAGAGTTGAACGATCCTTTACACAGAGCAGACTTGTAACACTCTTTTTGTGGAATTTGCAAGTGGAGATTTCAGCCGCTTTGAAGTCAAAGGCAGAAAAGGAAATGTCTTCGTTTCAAAACTAGACAGAATGATTCTCAGAAACTCCTTTGTGATGTGTGCGTTCAACTCAAAGAGTTTAACCTTTCTTTTCACAGAGCAGTTAGGAAACACTCTGTTTGTAAAGTCTGCAAGTGGATATTCAGACCTCCTTGAAGCCTTCGTTGGAAAAGGGATTTCTTCATATTATGCTAGACAGAAGAATTCCCAGTAACTTCCTTGTGTTGTGTGTGTTCAACTCACAGAGTTGAACTTTCATTTACACAGAGCAGATTTGAAACACTCTTTTTGTGGAATTTGCAAGTGGAGATTTCAAGCGCTTTGAGGCCAAGAGGCGAGAAAAGGAAATATCTTCGTTTCAAAACTAGACAGAATCATTCTCAGAAACTGCTCTGCGATGTGTGCGTTCAACTCTCAGAGTTTAACTTTGCTTTTCATTTAGCAGTTTGGAAACACTCTGTTTGTAAAGTCTGCACGTGGATATTTTGACCACTTAGAGGCCTTCGTTGTAAACGGGTTTCTTTCCTGTAAGGCTAGACAGAAGAATTCCCAGTAACTTCCTTGTGTTGTGTGCATTCAACTCACAGAGTTGAACGTTCCCTAGACGGAGCAGATTTGAAACACTCTATTTGTGCAATTTGCAAGTGTAGATTTCAAGGGCTTTAAGGTCAATGGCAGAAAAGGGAATATCTTCGTTTCAAAACTAGACAGAATGATTCTCAGAAACTACTTTGTGATGTGTGCGTTCAACTCACAGAGTTTAACCTTTCTTTTCATAGAGCAGTTAGGAAACACTCTGTTTGTAAAGTCTGCAAGTGGATATTCAGACCTCTTTGAGGCCTTCGTTGGAAACGGAATTTCTTCATACTGTGCTAGACAGAAGAATTCTCAGTAACTTCCTTGTGTTGTGTGTATTCAACTCACAGAGTTGAACGATCCTTTACACAGAGCGGACTTGAAACACACTTTTTGTGGAATTTGCAAGTGGAGATTTCAAGCGCTTTGAGGCCAAAGGCAGAAAAGGAAATATCTTCGTATAAAAACTAGACAGAATGATTCTCAGAAACTCCTTTGTGATGTGTGCGTTTAACTCACAGAGTTTAACCTTTCTCTTCATAGAGCAGTTTGGAAACACTCTGTTTGTAAAGTCTGCAAGTGGATATTCAGACCTCCTTGAGGTCTTCGTTGGAAACGGGATTTCTTCATATTATGCTAGACAGAAGAATTCTCAGTAACTTCCTTGTGTTGTGTGTATTCAACTGACAGAGTTGAACTTTCATTTAGAGAGAGCAGATTTGATACACTGTTTTTGTGGAATTTGCAAGTGGAGATTTCAAGCGCTTTGCGGCCAAAGGCAGAAAAGGAAATATCTTCGTATAAAAACTAGACAGAATCATTCTGAGAAACTGCTCTGCGATGTGTGCGTTCAACTCTCAGAGTTTAACTTTTCTTTTCATTCAGCAGTTTGGAAACACTCTGTTTGTAAAGTCTGCACGTGGATATTTTGACCACTTAGAGGCCTTCGTTGGAAACGGGTTTTTTTCCTGTAAGGCTAGACAGAAGAATTCCCAGTAACTTCCTTGTGTTGTGTACATTCAACTCACATAGTTGAACGTTCCCTTAGACAGAGCAGATTTGAAACACTCTTTTTGTGCAATTGGCAAATGGAGATTTCAAGCGCTTTAAGGTCAATGGCAGAAAAGGAAATATCTTCGTTTCAAAACTAGACAGAATGATTCTCAGAAACTCCTTTGTGATGTGTGCATTCAACTCACAGAGTTTAACCTTTCTTTTCATAGAGCAGTTAGGAAACACTCTGTTTGTAAAGTCTGCAAGTGGATATTCAGACCTCTTTGAGGCCTTCGTTGGAAACGGGATTTCTTCATATTCTGCTAGACAGAAGAATTCTCAGTAACTTCCTTGTGTTGTGTGTATTGAACTCGCAGAGTTGAACGATCCTTTACACAGAGCAGACTTGAAACACTCTTTTTGTGGAATTTGCAAGTGGAGATTTCAGCCGCTTTGAGGTCAATAGTAGAAAAGGAAATATCTTCGTAGAAAAACTAGACAGAATGATTCTCAGAATCTCCTTTGTAATGTGTGCGTTCAACTCACAGAGTTTAACCTTTCTTTTCATAAAGCAGTTAGGAAACACTCTGTTTGTAATGTCTGCAAGTGGATATTCAGACCTCTTTGAGGCCTTCGTTGGAAACGGGATTTCTTCATATTCTGCTAGACAGAAGAATTCCCAGTAACTTCTTTGTGTTGTGTGTGTTCAACTCACAGAGTTGAACTTTCATTTACACAGAGCAGATTTGAAACACTCTTTTTGTGGAATTTGCAAGTGGAGATTTCAAGCGCTTTGAGGCCAAAGGCAGAAAAGGAAATATCTTCGTATAAAAACTGGACAGAATCATTCTCAGAAACTGCTCTGCGATGTGTGCGTTCAACTCTCAGAGTTTAACTTTTCTTTTCATTCAGCAGTTTGGAAACACTCTGTTTGTAAAGTCTGCACGTGGATAATTTGACCACTTGGAGGCCTTCTTTGGAAACGGGTTTTTTTCCTGTAAGGCTAGACAGAAGAATTCCCAGTAACTTCCTTGTGTTGTGTGCATTCAACTCACAGAGTTGAAAGTTCCCTTAGACAGAGCAGATTTGAAACACTCTATTTGTGCAATTTGCAAGTGTAGATTTCAAGCGCTTTAAGGTCAACGGCAGAAAAGGAAATATCTTGGTTTCAAAACTAGACAGAATGATTCTCAGAATCTTCTTTGTGATGTGTGCGTTCAACTCACAGAGTTTAACCTTTCTTTTCATAGAGCAGTTAGGAAACACTCTGTTTGTAAACTCTGCAAGTGGATATTCAGACCTCTTTGAGGCCTTCGTTGGAAACGGGATTTCTTCATACTGTGCTATACAGAAGAATTCTCAGTAACTTCCTTGTGTTGTGTGTATTCAACTCACAGAGTTGAACGACCCTTTACACAGAGCGGACTTGAAACACTCTTTTTGTGGAATTTGCAAGTGGAGATTTCAGCCGCGTTGAGGTCAATGGTAGAAAAGGAAATATCTTCGTATAAAAACTAGACAGAATGATTCTCAGAAACTTCATTGTGATGTGTGCGTTCAACTCACAGAGTTTAACCTTTCTTTTCATAGAGCAGTTAGGAAACACTCTGTTTGTAAACTCTGCAAGTGGATATTCAGACCACTTTGAGGCCTTCGTTGGAAACGGGATTTCTCCATACTGTGCTAGACAGAAGAATTCTCAGTAACTTCCTTGTGTTGTGTGTATTCAACTCACAGAGTTGAACGATGCTTTACACAGAGCGGACTTGAAACACTCGTTTTGTGGAATTTGCAAGTGGAGATTTCAGCCGATTTGAGGTCAATGGTAGAAAAGGAAATATCTTCGTATAAAAACTAGACAGAATGATTCTCATAAACTCCTTTGTGATGTGTATGTTCAACTCACAGAGTTTAACTTTTCTATTCATAGAGTAGTTAGGAAACACTCTGTTTGTAAAGTCTGCAAGTGGATATTTTGACCTCTTTGAGGCCTCCGTTGGAAACGGGTTTTCTTCATGTAAGGCTAGACAGAAGAATTCTCAGTAACTTCCTTCTGTTGTGTACATTCAACTCACAGAGTTGAACGTTCCCTTAGACAGAGCAGATTTGAAACACTCTTTTTGTGCAATTGGCAAGTGGAGATTTCAAGCGCTTTAAGGTCAATGGCAGAAAAGGAAATATCTTCGTTTCAAAACGAGACAGAATCATTCTCAGAAACTGCTCTGCGATGTGTGCGTTCAACTCTCAGAGTTTAACTTTTCTTTTCATTCAGCAGTTTGGAAACACTCTGTTTGTAAAGTCTGCACGTGGATAATTTGACCACTTAGAGGCCTTCTTTGGAAACGGGTTTTTTTCATGTAAGGCTAGACAGAAGAATTCTCAGTAACTTTCCTTGTGTTGTGTGTATTCAACTCACAGAGTTGAACGATCCTTTACACAGAGCAGACTTGTAACACTCTTTTTGTGGAATTTGCAAGTGGAGATTTCTGCCGCTTTGAAGTCAAAGGTAGAAAAGGAAATATCTTCCTATAAAAACTAGACAGAATGATTCTGAGAAACTCCTTTGTGATGTGTGCATTCAACTCACAGAGTTTAACCTTTCTTTTCATAGAGCAGTTAGGAAACACTCTGTTTGTAAAGTCTGCAAGTGGATATTCAGACCTCCTTGAGGCCTTCGTTGGAAACGGGATTTAATCATATTCTGCTAGACAGAAGAATTCTCAGTAACTTCCTTTTGTTGTGTGTATTCAACTCACAGAGTTGAATGATCCTTTACACAGAGCAGACTTGAAACACTCTTTTTGTGGAATTTGCAAGTGGAGATTTCAGCCGCTTTGAGTTCAATGGTAGAATAGGAAATATCTTCCTATAGAAACTAGACAGAATCATTCTCAGAAGCTGCTCTGCGATGTGTGCGTTCAACTCTCAGAGTTTAACTTTTCTTTTCATTCAGCAGTTTGGAAACACTCTGTTTGTAAAGTCTGCACGTGGATAATTTGACCACTTAGAGGCCTTCGTTGGAAACGGGTTTTTTTCATGTAAGGCTAGACAGAAGAGTTCTCAGTAACTTCCCTTGTGTTGTGTGTATTCAACTCACACAGTTGAACGATCCTTTACAGAGAGCAGACTTGTAACACTCTTTTTGTGGAATTTGCAAGTGGAGATTTCAGCCGCTTTGAAGTCAAAGTAGAAAAGGAAATATCTTCCTATAAAAACTAGACAGAATCATTCCCACAAACTGCGTTGTGATGTGTTCGTTCAACTCACAGAGTTTAACCTTTCTTTTCATAGAGCATTTAGGAAACACTCTGTTTGTAAAGTCTGCAAGTGGATATTCAGACCTCTTTGAGGCCTTCGTTGGAAACGGGTTTTTTTCATATAAGGCTAGACAGAAGAATTCTCAGAAACTTCCTTGTGTTGTGTGTCTTCAACTCACAGAGTTGAACGATCCTTTACACATAGCAGACTTGAAACACACTTTTTTTGGTATTTTCAAGTGGAGATTTCAGCCGCTTTGAGGTCAATGGTAGAAAAGGAAATATCTTCGTATAAAGACTAGACAGAATGATTCTCAGAAACTCCTTTGTGATGTGTGCGTTGAACTCACAGAGTTTAACGTTTCTTTTCATAGAGCAGTTAGGAAACACTCTGTTTGTAAAGTCTGCAAGGGGATATTCAGACCTCTCTGAGGCCTTCGTTGGAAACGGGATTTCTTCATATTCTGCTTCACAGAAGAATTCTCAGTAACTTCCTTGTGTTGTGTGTATTCAACTGACAGAGTTGAACTTTCATTTAGACAGAGCAGATTTGAAAAGCTCTTTATGTGGAATTTGCAATTGGAGATTTCAAGCGCTTTGAGGCCAAAGACAGAAAAGGAAATATCTTCGTATAAAAACTAGACAGAATCATTCTCAGAAACTGCTCTGCGATGTGTGCGTTCAACTCTCAGAGTTTAACTTTTCTTTTCATTCAGCAGTTTGGAAACACTCTGTTTGTAAAGTCTGCACGTGGATAACTTGACCACTTAGAGGCCTTCGTTGGAAACGGGTTTTTTTCATGTAAGGCTAGACAGAAGAATTCCCAGTAACTTCCTTGTGTTGTGTGCATTCAACTCACAGAGTTGAACGTTCCCTTAGACAGAGCAGATTTGCAACACTCTATTTGTGCAATTTGCAAGTGTAGATTTCAAGCGCTTTAAGGTCAATGGCAGAAAAGGAAATATCTTCGTTTCAAAACTAGACAGAATCATTCCCACAAACTGCGTTGTGATGTGTTCGTTCAACTCACAGAGTTTAACCTTTCCGTTCATAGAGCAGTTAGGAAACACACTGTTTGTAAAGTCTGTAAGTGGATACTCTGACATCTTGTGGCCTTCGTTGGAAACGGGATTTCTTCATATTCTGCTAGACAGAAGAATTCTCAGTAACTTCCTTGTTTTGTGTGTATTCAACTCACAGAGTTGAACGATCCTTTACACAGAGCATACTTGAAACACTCTTCTTGTGGAATTTGCAAGTGGAGATTTCAACCGCTTTGAGGTCAATGGTAGAATAGGAAATATCTTCCTATAGAAACTAGACAGAATGATTCTCAGAAACTTCTTTGTGATGTGTGCGTTCAACTCACAGAGTTTAACCTTTCTTTTCATAGAGCAGTTAGGAAACACTTTGTTTGTAAAGTCTGCAAGTGGATATTCAGACCTCTTTGAGGCCTTCGTTGGAAACGGGATTTCTTCATACTATGCTAGACAGAAGAATTCCCAGTAACTTCCTTGTGTTGTGTGTGTTCAACTCACAGAGTTGAACTTTCATTTACACAGAGCAGATTTGAAACACTCTTTTTGTGGAATTTGCAAATGGAGATTTCAAGCGCTTTGAGGTCAAAGGCAGAAAAGAAAATATCTTCGTATAAAAACTAGACAGAATCATTCTCAGAAACTGCTGCGTGATGTGTGCGTTCAACTCTCAGAGTTTAACTTTTCTTTTCATTCAGCGGTTTGGAAACACTCTGTCTGTAAAGTCTGCACGTGGATATTTTGACCACTTAGAGGCCTTCGTTGGAAACGGGTTTTTTTCATGTAAGGCTAGACAGAAGAATTCCCAGTAACTTCCTTGTGTTGTGTGCATTCAACTCACAGAGCTGAACATTCCCTTGACAGAGCAGATTTGAAACACTCTATTTGTGCAATTTGCAAGTGTAGATTTCAAGCGCTTTAAGGTCAATGGCAGAAAAGGAAATATCTTCGTTTCAAAACTAGACAGAATGATTCTCAGAAACTCCTTTGTGATGTGTGCGTTCAGCTAACAGAGTTTAACCTTTCTTTTCATAGAGCAGTTCGGAAACACTCTGTTTGTAAAGTCTGCAAGTGGATATTCAGACCTCTTTGAGGCCTTCGTTGGAAACGGGATTTCTTCATATTCTGCTAGACAGAAGAATTCTCAGTAACTTCCTTGTGTTGTGTGTATTCAACTCACAGAGTTGAACGATTCTTTACACAGAGCAGACCTGAAACACTCTTTTTGTGGAATTTGCAAGTGGAGATTTCAGCCGCTTTGAGGTCAATGGTACAAAAGGAAATATCTTCGTATAAAGACTAGACAGAATGATTCTCAGAAACTCCTTTGTGATGTGTGTGTTCAACTCACAGAGCTTAACCTTTCTTTTCATAGAGCAGTTAGTAAACACTCTGTTTATAAAGTCTGCAAGTGGATATTCAGACCCCTTTGAGGCCTTCGTTGGAAGCGGGATTTCTTCATATTATGCTAGACAGAAGAATTCTCAGTAACTTCCTTGTGTTGTGTGTATTCAACTGACAGAGTTGAACTTTTATTTAGAGAGAGCAGATTTGAAACACTGTTTTTGTGGAATTTGCAAGTGGAGATTTCAAGCGCTATGGGGCCAAAGGCAGAAAAGGAAATATCTTTGTATAAAAACTAGACAGAATGATTCTCAGAAACTGCTGCGTGATGTGTGCGTTCAACTCTCAGAGTTTAACTTTTCTTTTCATTCAGCGGTTTGGAAACACTCTGTTTGTAAAGTCTGCACGTGGATATTTTGACCACTTAGAGGCCTTCGTTGGAAACGGGTATTTTTCATGTAAGGCTAGACAGAAGAATTCCCAGTAACTTTCCTTGTGTTGTGTACATTCAACTCACAGAGTTGAACGTTCCCTTAGACAGAGCAGATTTGAAACACTCTTTTTGTGCAATTGGCAAGTGGTGATTTCAGCCGCTTTGAGGTCAATGGTAGAAAAGGAAATATCTTCGTATAAAAACTAGACAGAATCATTCCCACAAACTGCGTTGTGATGTGTTCGTTCAACTCACAGAGTTTAACCTTTCTTTTCATAGAGCAGTTAGGAAACAGTCTGTTTGTCAATTCTTTAAGTGGATATTCTGACATCTTGTGGCCTTCGTTGGAAACGGGATTTCTTCATATTCTGCTAGACAGAAGAATTCTCAGAATCTTCCTTGTGTTGTGTGTATTCAACTCACAGAGTTGAACGATCCTTTACACAGAGCAGACTTGAAACACTCTTTTTGTGCAATTTGCAAGTGGAGATTTCAACCGCTTTGAGGTCCATGGTAGAAAAGGAAATATCTTCGTATAAAAACTAGACAGAATGATTCTCAGAAACTCCTTTGTGATGTGTGCGTTCAACTCACAGAGTTTAACCTTTCTTTTCATAGAGCAGTTAGGAAACACTCTGTTTGTAAAGTCTGCAAGTGGATATTCAGACCTCCTTGACGCCTTCGTTGGAAACGGGATTTCTTCATATTATGCTAGACAGAAGAATTCTCAGTAACTTCCTTGTGTTGGGTGTATTCAACTGACAGAGTTGAACTTTCCTTTAGACAGATCAGATTTGAAACACTCTTTTTGTGGAATTTGCAAGGTGAGATTTCAACCGCTTTGAGGCCAAAGGCAGAAAAGGAAATATCTTCCTTTAAAAACTAGACAGAATCATTCTCAGAAACTGCTCTGTGATGTGTGCGTTCAACTCTCAGAGTTTAACTTTTCTGTTCATTCAGCAGTTTGTAAACACTCTGTTTGTAAAGTCTCCACGTGGATATTTTGACCACTTAGAGGCCTTCGTTGGAAACGGGTTTTTTTCATGTAAGGCTAGACAGAAGAATTCCCAGTAACTTCCTTGTGTTGTGTGCATTCAACTCACAGAGTTGAACGTTCCCTTAGACAGAGCAGATTTGAAACACTCTATTTGTGCAATTTGCAAGTGTAGATTTCAAGCGCTTTAAGGTCAACGGCAGAAAAGGAAATATCTTGGTTTCAAAACTAGACAGAATGATTCTCAGAAACTTCTTTGTGATGTCTGCGTTCAACTCACAGAGTTTAACATTTCTTTTCATAGAGCAGTTAGGAAACACTCTGTTTGTAAAGTCTGCAATTGGATATTCAGACCTCTTTGAGGCCTTCGTTGGAAACGGGATTTCTTCATACTATGCTAGACAGAAGAATTCTCAGTAACTTCCTTGTGTTGTGTGTATTCAACTCACAGAGTTGAACGATCCTTTACACAGAGCAGACTTGTAACACTCTTTTTGTGGAATTTGTAAGTGGAGATTTCAGCCGCTTTGAAGTCAAAGGTAGAAAAGGAAATATCTTCCTATAAAAACTAGACAGAATGATTCTCACAAACTCCTTTGTGATGTGTGCGTTCAACTCACAGAGTTTAACCTTTCTTTTCATAGAGCAGTTAGGAAACACTCTGTTTGTAAAGTCTGCAAGTGGATATTCAGACATCTTTGAGGCCTTCGTTGGAAACGGGATTTCTTCATGTTCTGCTAGACAGAAGAATTCTCAGTAACTTCCTTGTGTTGTGTGTATTCAACTCACAGAGTTGAACGATCCTTTACACAGAGCAGACTTGTAACACTCTTTTTGTGGAATTTGCAAGTGGAGATTTCTGCCGCTTTGAGGTCAATGGTAGAAAAGGAAATATCTTCCTATAAAAACTACACAGAATGATTCTCAGAAACTCCTTTGTGATGTGTGCGTTCAACTCACAGAGTTTAACTTTTCTTTTCATAGAGCAGTTAGCAAACACTCTGTTTGTAAATTCTGCAAGTGGATATTCAGACCTCTTTGAGGCCTTCGTTGGAATCGGGATTTCTTCAAATTCTGCTAGGCAGAAGAATTCCCAGTAACTTCCTTGTGTTGTGTGTGTTCAACTCACAGAGTTGAACTTTGATTTACACAGAGCAGATTTGAAACACTCTTTTTGTGGAATTTGCAAGTGGAGATTTCAAGCGCTTTGAGGCCAGAGGCAGAAAAGGAAATATCTTCGTATAAAAACTAGACAGAATCATTCTCAGAAACTGCTCTGCGATGTGTGCGTTCAACTCTCAGAGTTTAACTTTTCTTTTCATTCAGCAGTTTGGAAACACTCCGTTTGTAAAGTCTGCACGTGGATATTTTGACCACTTAGAGGCCTTCGTTGGAAACGGGTTTTTTTCCTGTAAGGCTAGACAGAAGAATTCCCAGTAACTTCCTTGTGTTGTGTACATTCAACTCACAGAGTTGAACGTTCCCTTAGACAGAGCAGATTTGAAACACTCTTTTTGTGCAATTGGCAAATGGAGATTTCAAGCGCTTTAAGTTCAATGGCAGAAAAGGAAATATCTTCGTTTCAAAACTAGACAGAATCATTCCCACAAACTGCGTTGTGATGTGTTCGTTCAACTCACAGAGTTTAACCTTTCTGTTCATAGAGCAGTTAGGAAACACTCTGTTTGTAAAGTCTGACAGTGGATATTCTGACATCTTGTGGCCTTCGTTGGAAACAGGATTTCTTCATATTCTGCTAGACAGAAGAATTCTCAGTAACTTCCTTGTGTTGTGTGTATTCAACTCACAGAGTTTAATGATCCTTTACGCAGAGCAGACTTGAAACAATCTTTTTGTGGAATTTGCAAGTGGAGATTTCAGCCGCTTTGATGTCAATGGTAGAATAGGAAATATCTTCCTATAGAAACTAGACAGAATGATTCTCAGAAACTCCTTTGTGATGTGTGCGTTCAACTCACAGAGTTTAACCTTTCTTTTCATAGAGCAGTTAGGAAACACTCTGTTTGTAATGTCTGCAAGTGGATATTCAGACCTCTTTGAGGCCTTTGTTGGAAACGGGATTTCTTCATATTGTGCTAGACAGAAGAATTCCCAGTAACTTCCTTGTGTTGTGTGTGTTCAACTCACAGAGTTGAACTTTCATTTACACAGAGCAGATTTGAAACACTCTTTTTGTGGAATTTGCAAATGGAGGTTTCAAGCGCTTTGAGGCCAAAGGCAGAAAAGGAAATATCTTCGTATAAAAACTAGACAGAACCATGCTGAGAAACTGCTCTGCGATGTGTGCGTTCAACTCTCAGAGTTTAACTTTTCTTTTCATTCAGCAGTTTGGAAACACTCTGTTTGTAAAGTCTGCACGTGGATAACTTGACCACTTAGAGGCCTTCGTTGGAAACGGGTTTTTTTCATGTAAGGCTAGACAGAAGAATTCCCAGTAACTTCCTTGTGTTGTGTACATTCAACTCACAGAGTTGAACGTTCCCTTAGACAGAGCAGATTTGAAACACTCTTTTTGTGCAATTGGCAAATGGAGATTTCAAGCGCTTTAAGTTCAATGGCAGAAAAGGAAATATCTTCGTTTCAAAACTAGACAGAATCATTCCCACAAACTGCGTTGCGATGTGTTCGTTCAACTCACAGAGTTTAACATTTCTTTTCATAGAGCACTTAGGAAACAGTCTGTTTGTAAATTCTGTAAGTGGATATTCTGACATCTTGTGGCCTTCGTTGGAAACAGGATTTCTTCATATTCTGCTAGACAGAAGAATTCCCATTAACTTCCTTGTGTTGTGTGTGTTCAACTCACAGAGTTGAACTTTCATTTACACAGAGCAGATTTGAAACACTCTTTTTGTGGAATTTGCAAATGGAGATTTCAGCCGCGTTGAGGTCAATGGTAGAAAAGGAAATATCTTCGTTTCAAAACTAGACAGAATGATTCTCAGAAACTCCTTTGTGATGTGTGCGTTCAACTCACAGAGTTTAACCTTTCTTTTCATAGAGCAGTTAGGAAACACTCTGTTTGTAAAGTCTGCAAGTGGATATTCAGACCTCTTTGAGGCCTTCGATGGAAACGGGTTTTTTTCATATAAGGCTAGACAGAAGAATTCCCAGTAACTTCCTTGTGTTGTGTGTGTTCAACTCACAGAGTTGAACTTTCATTTACACAGAGCAGATTTGAAACACTCTTTTTGTGGAATTTGCAAATGGAGATTTCAAGCGCTTTGAGGCCAAAGGCAGAAAAGGAAATGTCTACGTTTCAAAACTAGACAGAATCATTCTCAGAAACTGCTGCTTGATGTGTGCGTTCAACTCTCAGAGTTTAACTTTTCTTTTCATTCAGCGGTTTGGAAACACTCTGTTTGTAAAGTCTGCACGTGGATATTTTGACCACTTAGAGGCCTTCGTTGGAAACGGGTTTTTTTCATGTAAGGCTAGACAGAAGAATTCCCAGTAACTTCCTTGTGTTGTGTACATTCAACTCACAGAGTTGAACGTTCCCTTAGACAGAGCAGATTTGAAACACTCTTTTTGTGCAATTGGCAAGTGGAGATTTCAAGCGCTTTAAGGTCAATGGCAGAAAAGGAAATATCTTCGTTTCAAAACTACACAGAATGATTCTCAGAAACTTCATTGTGATGTGTGCGTTCAACTCACAGAGTTTAACCTTTCTTTTCATAGAGCAGTTGGGAAACAGTCTGTTTGTAAATTCTATAAGTGGATATTCTGACATCTTGTGGCCTTCGTTGGAAACGGGATTTCTTCATATTCTGCTAGACAGAAGAATTCTCAGTAACTTCGTTGTGTTGTGTGTATTCAACTCACAGAGTTGAACGATCCTTTACACAGAGCAGACTTGAAACACGCTTTTTGTGGAATTTGCAAGTGGAGATTTCAGCCGCTTTGAGGTCAATGGTAGAAAAGGAAATATCTTCGTATAAAGACTAGACAGAATGATTCTCAGAAAATCTTTTGTGATGTGTGCGTTCAACTCACAGAGTTTAACTTTTCTTCTCATAGAGCAGTTAGGAAATACTCTGTTTGTAAAGTCTGCAAGTGGATATTCAGACCTCTTTGAGGCCTTCGTTGGAAACGGGATTTCTTCATATTATGCTAGACAGAAGAATTCTCAGTAACTTCCTTGTGTTGTGTGTATTCAACTGACAGCGTTGAACTTTCATTTAGAGAGAGCAGATTTGAAACACTGTTTTTGTGGAATTTGCAAGTGGAGATTTCAAGCGCTTTGGGGCCAAAGGCTGAAAAGGAAATATCTTCGTATAAAAACTAGACAGAAATCATTCTCAGAAACTGCTGCGTGATGTGTGCGTTCAACCCTCAGAGTTTAACTTTTCTTTTCATTCAGCGGTTTGGAAACACTCTGTTTGTAAAGTCTGCACGTGGATATTTTGACCACTTAGAGGCCTTCGTTGGAAACGGGATTTTTTCATGTAAGGCTAGACAGAAGAATTCCCAGTAACTTCCTTGTGTTGTGTGCATTCAACTCACAGAGTTGAACGTTCCCTTAGACAGAGCAGATTTGAAACACTCTATTTGTGCAATTTGCAAGTGTAGTTTTCAAGCTCTTTAAGGTCAACGGCAGAAAAGGAAATATCTTGGTTTCAAAACTAGACAGAATCATTCCCACAAACTGCGTTGTGATGTGTTCGTTCAACTCACAGAGTTTAACCTTTCTGTTCATAGAGCAGTTAGGAAACACTCTGTTTGTAAAGTCTGCAAGTGGATATTCTGACATCTTGTGGCCTTCGTTGGAAACGGGATTTCTTCATATTCTGCTAGACAGAAGAATTCTCAGTAACTTCCTTGTGTTGTGTGTATTCAACTCACAGAGTTGAACGATCCTTTACACAGAGCAGACTTGAAACACTCCTTTTGTGGAATTTGCAAGTGGAGATTTCAGCCGCTTTGAGGTCAAAGGTAGAATAGGAAATATCTTCCTATAGAAACTAGACAGAATGATTCTCAGAAACTCCTTTGTGATGTGTGTGTTCAACTCACAGAGTTTAACCTTTCTTTTCATAGAGCAGTTAGGAAACACTCTGTTTGTAAAGTCTGCAAGTGGATATTCAGACCCCTTTGAGGCCTTCGTTGGAAACGGGATTTCTTCATATTATGCTAGACAGAAGAATTCTCAGTAACTTCCTTCTGTTGTGTGTATTCAACTGACAGAGTTGAACTTTCATTTAGAGAGAGCAGATTTGAAACACTGTTTTTGTGGAATTTGCAAATGGAGATTTCAAGCGCTTTGGTGCCAAAGGCAGAAAAGGAAATATCTTCGTATAAAAACTAGACAGAATCATTCTCAGAAACTGCTGCGTGATGCGTGCGTTCAACTCTCAGAGTTTAACTTTTCTTTTCATTCAGCGGTTTGGAAACACTCTGTTTGTAAAGTCTGCAAGTGGATATTCAGACCTCTTTGAGGCCTTCGTTGGAAACGGGATTTCTTCCTATTATGCTCAACAGAAGAATTCCCAGTAACTTCCTTGTGTTGTGTGCATTCAACTCACAGAGTTGAACGTTCCCTTAGACAGAGCAGATTTGAAACACTCTCTTTGTGCAATTTGCAAGTGTAGATTTCAAGCGCTTTATGGTCAACGGCAGAAAAGGAAATATCTTCGTTTCAAAACTAGACAGAATCATTCCCACAAACTGCGTAGTGATGTGTTCGTTCAACTCACAGAGTTTAACCTTTCTTTTCATAGAGCAGTTAGGAAACAGTCTGTTTGTCAATTCTGTAAGTGGATATTCTGACATCTTGTGGCCTTAGTTGGAAACGGGATTTCTTCATATTCTGCTAGACAGAAGAATTCCCAGTAACTTCCTTGTGTTGTGTGTATTCAACTCACAGAGTTGAAAGATCCTTTACACAGAGCAGACTTGTAACACTCTTTTTGTGGAATTTGCAAGTGGAGATTTCAGCCGCTTTGAAGTCAAAGGTAGAAAAGGAAATATCTTCCTATAAAAACTAGACAGAATGATTCTCAGAAACTCCTTTGTGATGTGTGCGTTCAACCCACAGAGTTTAACCTTTCTTTTCATAGAGCAGTTAGGAAACACTCTGTTTGTAAAGTCTGCAAGTGGATATTCAGACCTCTTTGAGGCCTTCGTTGGAAAAGGGATTTCTTCATATTCTGCTGGACAGAAGAATTCCCCGTAACTTCCTTGTGTTGTGTGTGTTCAACTCACAGAGTTGAACTTTCATTTACACAGAGCAGATTTGAAACACTCTTTTTGTGGAATTTGCAAGTGGAGATTTCAAGCGCTTTGAGGCCAAAGGCAGAAAAGGAAATATCTTCGTATAAAAACTAGACAGAATCATTCTCAGAAACTGCTCTGTGATATGTGCGTTCAACTCTCAGAGTTTAACTTTTCTTTTCATTCAGCAGTTTGGAAACACTCTGTTTGTAAAGTCTGCACGTGGATATTTTGACCACTTAGAGGCCTTCGTTGGAAACGGGTTTTTTTTCATGTAAGGCTAGACAGAAGCATTCCCAGTAACTTCCTTGTGTTGTGTGCATTCAACTCACAGAGATGAACGTTCCCTTAGACAGAGCAGATTTGAAACACTCTATTTGTGCTATTTGCAAGTGTAGATTTCCAGCGCTTTAAGGTCAATGGCAGAAAAGGAAATATCTTCGTTTCAAAACTAGACAGAATGATTCTCAGAAACTCCTTTGTGATGTGTGCGTTCAACTCACAGAGTTTAACTTTTCTTTTCATAGAGCAGTTAGGAAACACTCTGTTTGTAAAGTGTGCAAGTGGATATTCAGACCTCCTTGAGGCCTTCTTTGGAAAAGGGATTTCTTCATATTATGCTAGACAGAATAATTCTCAGTAACTTCCTTGTGTTGTGTGTATTCAACTCACAGAGTTGAAGGATCCTTTACAGAGAGCAGACTTGAAACACTCTTTTTGTCGAATTTGCAAGTGGAGATTTCAGCCGCTTTGAGGTCAATGGTAGAATAGGAAATATCTTCTTATAGAACCTAGACAAAATGATTCTCAGAAACCCCTTTGTGATGTGTGCGTTCCACTCACAGAGTTTAACCTTTCTTTTCATAGAGCAGTTAGGAAACACTCTGTTTGTAAAGTCTGCAAGGGGATATTTAGACCTCTTTGAGGCCATCGTTGGAAGCGGGATTTCTTAATATTCTGCTAGACAGAATAATTCTCAGTAACTTCCTTGTGTTGTGTGTATTCAACTGACAGAGTTGAACTTTCATTTAGAGAGAGCAGATTTGAAACACTGTTTTTGTGGAATTTGCAAGTAGAGATTTCAAGCGCTTTGGGGCCAAAGGCAGAAAAGGAAATATCTTCGTATAAAAACTAGACAGAATCATTCCCACAAACTGCGTTGTGACGTGTTCGTTCAACTCACAGAGTTTAACCTTTCTTTTCATAGAGCAGTTAGGAAACACTCTGTTGGTAAATTCTGTAAGTGGATATTCTGACATCTTGTGGCCTTCAGTGGAAACGGGATTTCTTCATATTCTGCTAGACAGAAGAATTCCCAGTAACTTCCTTGTGTTGTGTACATTCAACTCACAGAGTTGAACGTTCCCTTAGACAGAGCAGATTTGAAACACTCTTTTTGTGCAATTGGCAAGTGGAGATTTCAAGCGCTTTGAGGTCAATGGCAGAAAAGGAAATATCTTCGTTTCAAAACTAGACAGAATCATTCCCACAAACTGCGTTGTGATGTGTTCGTTCAACTCACAGAGTTTAACCTTTCTGTTCATAGAGCAGTTAGGAAACACTCTGTTTGTAAAGTCTGTAAGTGGATATTCTGACATCTTGTGGCCTTCGTTGGAAACGGGATTTCTTCATTTTCTGCTAGACAGAAGAATTCTCAGTAACTTCCTTGTGTTGTGTGTATTCAACTCGCAGAGTTGAACGATCCTTTACACAGAGCAGACTTGAAACACTCTTTTTGTGGAATTTGCAAGTGGAGATTTCAGCCGCTTTGAGGTCAGTGGTAGAAAAGGAAATATCTTCGTATAAAGACTAGACAGAATGATTCTCAGAAACTCCTTTGTGATGTGTGTGTTCAACTCACAGAGTTTAACCTTTCTTTTCATAGAGCAGTTAGTAAACACTCTGTTTATAAAGTCTGCAAGTGGATATTCAGACCTCCTTGAGGCCTTCGTTGGAAACGGGATTTCTTCATATTATGCTAGACAGAAGAATTCTCAGTAACTTCCTCGTGTTGTGTTTATTCAACTGACAGAGTTGAACTTTCATTTAGAGAGAGCAGATTTGAAACACTGTTTTTGTGGAATTTGCAAGTGGAGATTTCAAGCGCTTTGGGGCCAAAGGCAGAAAAGGAAATATCTTCGTATAAAAACTAGACAGAATCATTCTCAGAAACTGCTGCGTGATGGGTGCGTTCAACTCTCAGAGTTTAACTTTTCTTTTCATTCAGCGGTTTGGAAACACTCTGTTTGTAAAGTCTGCACGTGGATATTTTGACCACTTAGAGGCCTTCGTTGGAAACGGGTTTTTTTCATGTAAGGCTAGACAGAAGAATTCCCAGTAACTTCCTTGTGTTGTGTACATTCAACTCACAGAGTTGAACGTTCTCTTAGACAGAGCAGATTTGAAACACTCTTTTTGTGCAATTGGCAAATGGAGATTTCAAGCGCTTTAAGGTCAATGGCAGAAAAGGAAATATCTTCGTTTCAAAACTAGACAGAATCATTCCCACAAACTGCGTTGTGATGTGTTCGTTCAACTCACAGAGTTTAACCTTTCTGTTCATAGAGCAGTTAGGAAACACTCTGTTTTGTAAAGTATGCAAGTGGATATTCAGACCTCCTTGAGGCCTTCGTTGGAAACGGGATTTCTTCATATTCTGCTAGACACGAAGAATTCTCAGTAACTTCCTTGTGTTGTGTGTATTCAACTCACAGAGTTGAACGATCCTTTACACAGAGCAGACTTGAAACACTCTTTTTGTGGAATTTGCATGTGGAGATTTCAGCCGCTTTGAGGTCAATGGTAGAAAAGGAAATATCTTCGTATAAAAACTAGACAGAATGATTCTCATAAACTCCTTTGTGATGTGTGCGTTCAACTCACAGAGTTTAACCTTTCTTTTCATAGAGCAGTTAGGAAACACTCTGTTTGTAAAATCTGCAAGTGGATATTCAGACCCCTTTGAGGCCTTCGTTGGAAACGGGATTTCTTCATATTCTGCTAGACAGAAGAATTCCCAGTAACTTCCTTGTGTTGTGTGTGTTCAACTCACAGAGTTGAACTTTCATTTACACAGAGCAGATTTGAAACACTCTTTTTGTGGAATTTGCAAGTGGAGATTTCAAGCGCTTTGAGGCCAAAGGCAGAAAAGGAAAATATCTTCGTTTCAAAACTAGACAGAATCATTCTCAGAAACTGCTCTGCGATGTGTACATTCAACTCTCAGAGTTTAATTTTTCTTTTCATTCAGCAGTTTGGAAACACTCTCTTTGTAAAGTCTGCACGTGGATATTTTGACCACTTAGAGGCCTTCGTTCGAAACGGGTTTTATTCTTGTAAGGCTAGACAGAAGAATTCCCAGTAACTTCCTTGTGTTGTGTGCATTCAACTCACAGAGTTGAACGTTCCCTTAGACAGAGCAGATTTGAAACACTCTATTTGTGCAATTTGCAAGTGTAGATTTCAAGCGCTTTAAGGTCAACGGCAGAAAAGGAAATATCTTCGTTTTAAAACTAGACAGAATCATTCCCACAAACTGCGTTGTGATGTGTTCGTTCAACTCACAGAGTTTAACCTTTCTGTTCATAGAGCAGTTAGGAAACACTCTGTTTGTAAAGTCTGTAAGTGGATATTCTGACATATTGTGGCCTTCGTTGGAAACGGGATCTCTTCATATTCTGCTAGACAGAAGAATTCTCAGTAACTGCCTTGTGTTGTGTGTATTCAACTCACAGAGTTGAACGATCCTTTACACAGAGCAGACTTGAAACACTCCTTTTGTGGAATTTGCAAGTGGAGATTTCAGCCGCTTTGAGGTCAATGGTAGAATAGGAAATATCTTCCTGTAGAAACTAGACAGATTGATTCTCAGAAACTCCTTTGTGATGTGTGCGTTCAACTCACAGAGTTTAACCTTTCTTTTCATAGAGCAGTTAGGAAACACTCTGTTTGTAAAGTCTGCAAGTGGATATTCAGACCTCCTTGAGACCTTCGTTGGAAACGGGATTTCTTCCTATTATGCTAGACAGAAGAATTCCCAGTAACTTCCTTGTGTTGTGTGTGTTCAACTCACAGAGTTGAGCTTTCATTTACACAGAGCAGATTTGAAACACTCTTTTTGTGGAATTTGCAAATGGAGATTTCAAGCGCTTTGAGGCCAAAGGCAGAAAAGGAAATATCTTCGTATAAAAACTAGACAGAATCATTCTCAGAAACTGCTCTGTGATGTGTGCGTTCAACTCTCAGAGTTTAACTTTTCTTTTCATTCAGCAGTTTGGAAACACTCTGTTTGTAAAGTCTGCACGTGGATAATTTTACCACTTAGAGGCCTTCGTTGGAAACGGGTTTTTTTCATGTAAGGCTAGACAGAAGAGTTCTCAGTAACTTCCTTGTGTTGTGTGTATTCAACTCACAGAGTTGAACGATCCTTTACACAGAGCAGACTTGTAACACTCTTTTTGTGGAATTTGCAAGTGGAGATTTCAGCCGCTTTGAAGTCAAAGTAGAAAAGGAAATATCTTCCTATAAAAACTAGACAGAATCATTCCCACAAACTGCGTTGTGATGTGTTCGTTCAACTCACAGAGTTTAAACTTTCTGTTCATAGAGCAGTTAGGAAACACTCTGTTTGTAAAGTCTGCAAGTGGATATTCAGACCTCCTTGAGGCCTTCGTTGGAAACGGGATTTCTTCATATTCTGCTAGACAGAAGAATTCTCAGTAACTTCCTTGTGTTGTGTGTATTCAACTCACAGAGTTGAACGATCCTTTACAGAGAGCAGACTTGAAACACTCTTTTTGTGGAATTTGCAAGTGGAGATTTCAGCCGCTTTGAGGTCAATAGTAGAAAAGGAAATAACTTCGTAGAAAAACTAGACAGAATGATTCTCAGAAACTCCTTTGTGATGTGTGTGTTCAACTCACAGAGTTTAACCTTTCTTTTCATAGAGCAGTTAGTAAACACTCTGTTTATAAAGTCTGCAAGTGGATTTTCAGACCCCTTTGAGGCCTTCGTTGGAAACGGGATTTCTTCATATTATGCTAGACAGAAGAATTCCCAGTAACTTCCTTGTGTTGTGTGTGTTCAACTCACAGAGTTGAACTTTGATTTACACAGAGCAGATTTGAAACACTCTTTTTGTGGAATTTGCAAGTGGAGATTTCAAGCGCTTTGAGGCCAAAGGCAGAAAAGGAAATACCTTCGTATAAAAACTAGACAGAATCATTCTCAGAAACTGCTCTGTCATGTGTGCGTTCAACTCTGAGAGTTTAAATTTTCTTTTCATTCAGCAGTTTGGAAACACTCTGTTTGTAAAGTCTGCACGTGGATATTTTGACCACTTAGAGGCCTTCGTTGGAAACGGGTTTTTTTCATGTAAGGCTAGACAGAAGAATTCCCAGTAACTTCCTTGTGTTGTGTGCATTCAACTCACAGAGTTGAACGTTCCCTTAGACAGAGCAGATTTGAAACACTCTATTTGTGCAATTTGCAAGTGTAGTTTTCAAGCTCTTTTAGGTCAACGGCAGAAAAGGAAATATCTTGGTTTCAAAACTAGACAGAATCATTCCCACAAACTGCGTTGTGATGTGTTCGTTCAACTCACAGAGTTTAACCTTTCTGTTCATAGAGCAGTTAGGAAACACTCTGTTTGTAAAGTCTGTAAGTGGATATTCTGACATCTGGTGGCCTTCGTTGGGAACGGGATTTCTTCATATTCTGCTAGACAGAAGAATTCTCAGTAACTTCCTTGTGTTGTGTGTATTCAACTCACAGAGTTGAACGATCCTTTACACAGAGCAGACTTGAAACACTCTTTTTGTGGAATTTGTAAGTGGAGATTTCAGCCGCTTTGAGGTCAATGGTAGAATAGGAAATATCTTCCTATAGAAACTAGACAGAATGATTCTCAGAAACTCCTTTGTGATGTGTACTTTCAACTCACAGAGTTTAACCTTTCTTTTCATAGAGCAGTTAGGAAACACTCTGTTTGTAAAGTCTGCAAGTGGATATTCAGACCTCTTTGAGGCCTTCGTTGGAAACGGGTTTTTTTCATATAAGGCTAGACAGAAGAATTCTCAGTAACTTCCTTGTGTTGTGTGTATTCAACTGACAGAGTTGAACTTTCATTTAGAGAGAGCAGATTTGAAACACTGTTTTTGTGGAATTTGCAAGTGGAGATTTCAAGCGCTTTGGGGCCAAAGGCAGAAAAGGAAATATCTTCGGATAAAAACTAGACAGAATCATTCTCAGAAACTGCTGCGTGATGTGTGTGTTCAACTCTCAGAGTTTAACTTTTCTTTTCATTCAGCGGTTTGGAAACACACTGTTTGTAAAGTCTGCACGTGGATATTTTGACCACTTAGAGGCCTTCGTTGGAAACGGGTTTTTTGCATGTAAGGCTAGACAGAAGAATTCCCAGTAACTTCCTTGTGTTGTGTACATTCAACTCACAGAGTTGAACGTTCCCCTTAGACAGAGCAGATTTGAAACACTCTTTTTGTGCAATTGGCAAGTGGAGATTTCAAGCGCTTTAAGGTCAATGGCAGAAAAGGAAATATCTTCGTTTCAAAACTAGACAGAATGATTCTCAGAATCTCCTTTGTGATGTGTGCGTTCAACTCACAGAGTTTAACCTTTCTTTTCATAGAGCAGTTAGGAAACACTCTGTTTGTAAAGTCTGCAAGTGGATATTCAGACATCCTTGAGGCTTTCGTTGGAAACGGGATTTCTTCATATTCTGTTTGAAAGAAGAATTCTCAGTAACTTCCTTGTGTTGTGTGTATTCAAGTCACAGAGTTGAACGATCCTTTACACAGAGCAGACTTGAAACACTCTTTTTGTGGAATTTGCAAGTGGAGATTTCAGCCGCTTTGAGGTCAATGGTAGAATAGGAAATATCTTCCTATAGAAACTAGACAGAGTGATTCTCATAAACTCCTTTGTGATGTGTGCGTTCAACTCACAGAGTTTAACCTTTCTTTTCATAGAGCAGTTAGGAAACACTCTGTTTGTAAAGTCTGCAAGTGGATATTCAGACCTCCTTGAGGCCTTCGTTGGAAACGGGATTTCTTCATATTCTGCTAGACTGAAGAATTCTCAGTAACTTCCTTGTGTTGTGTGTATTCAACTCACAGAGTTGAACGATCCTTTACACAGAGCAGACATGAAACACTCTTTTTGTGGAATTTGCAAGTGGAGATTTCAGCCGCTTTGAGGTCAATGGTAGAATAGGAAATATCTTCCTATAGAAACTAGACAGAATGATTCTCAGAAACTCCTTTGTGATGTGTGCGTTCAACTCACAGAGTTCAACCTTTCTTTTCATAGAGCAGTTAGGAAACACTCTGTTTGTAAAGTCTGCAAGTGGATATTCAGACCTCTTTGAGGCCTTCGTTGGAAACGGGATTTCTTCATATTATGCTAGACAGAAGAATTCTCAGTAACTTCCTTGTGTTGTGTGTATTCAACTCACAGAGTTGAACTTCCATTTACACAGAGCAGATTTGAAACACTCTTTTTGTGGAATTTGCAAGTGGAGATTTCAAGCGCTTTGAGGCCAAAGGCAGAAAAGGAAATATCTTCGTTTCAAAACTAGACAGAATCATTCTCAGAAACTGCTCTGCGATGTGTGCGTTCAACTCTCAGAGTTTAACTTTTCTTTTCATTCAGCAGTTTGGAAACACTCTGTTTGTAAAGTCTGCACGTGGATAATTTGACCACTTAGAGGCCTTCGTTGGAAACGGGTTTTTTTATGTAAGGCTAGACAGAAGAATTCCCAGTAACTTCCTTGTGTTGTGTACATTCAACTCACAGAGTTGAACGTTCCCTTAGACAGAGCAGATTTGAAACACTCTTTTTGTGCAATTGGCAAGTGGAGATTTCAAGCGCTTTGAGGTCAATGGCAGAAAAGGAAATATCTTCGTTTCAAAACTAGACAGAATCATTCCCAAAAACTGCGTTGTGATGTGTTCGTTCATCTCACAGAGTTTAACCTTTCTTTTCATAGAGCAGTTAGGAAACAGTCTGTTTGAAAATTCTGTAAGTGGATATTCTGACATCTTGTGGCCTTCGTTGGAAACGGGATTTCTTCATATTCTGCTAGACAGAAGAATTCTCAGTAACTTCCTTGTGTTGTGTGTATTCAACTCACAGAGTTGAACGATCCTTTACACAGAGCAGACTTGAAACACTCTTTTTGTGGAATTTGCAAGTGGAGATTTCAGCCGCTTTGAGGTCAATAGTAGAAAAGGAAATATCTTCGTAGGAAAACTAGACAGAATGATTCTCAGAAACTCCTTTGTGATGTGTGCGTTCAACTCAAAGAGTTTAACTTTTCTTTTCATAGAGCAGTTAGGAAACACTCTGTTTGTAAAGTCTGCAAGTGGATATTCAGACCTCTTTGAGGCCTTCGTTGGAAACGGGATTTCTTCATATTATGCTAGAGAGAAGAATTCTCAGTAACTTCCTTTTGTTGTGTGTATTCAACTGACAGAGTTGAACTTTCATTTAGACAGAGCAGATTTGAAACACTCTTTTTCTGGAATTTGCAGGTGGAGATTTCAAGCGCTTTGAGGCCGAAGGCAGAAAAGGAAATATCTTCGTATAAAAACTAGACAGAATCATTCTCAGAAACTGCTCTGCGATGTGTGCCTTCAGCGCTCAGAGTTTAACTTTTCTTTTCATTCAGCAGTTTGGAAACACTCTGTTTGTAAAGTCTGCACGTGGATATTTTGACCACTTAGAGGCCTTCGTTGGAAGCGGGTTTTTGTCATGTAAGGTTAGACAGAAGAATTCCCAGTAACTTCCTTGTGTTGTGTGCATTCAACTCACAGATTTGAGCGTTCCCTTAGACAGAGCAGATTTAAAACACTCTATTTGTGCAATTTGCAAGTGTAGATTTCAAGCGCTTTAAGGTCAATGGCAGAAAAGGAAATATCTTCGTTTCAAAACTAGACAGAATCATTCCCACAAACTGCGTTGTGAGGTGTTCCGTAAACTCACAGAGTTTAACCTTTCTTTTCATAGAGCAGTTAGGAAACAGTCTGTTTGTAAATTCTGTAAGTGGATATTCTGACATCTTGTGGCCTTCGTTGGAAACGGGATTTCTTCATATTCTGCTAGACAGAAGAATTCTCAGTAACTTCCTTGTGTTGTGTGTATTCAACTCACAGAGTTGAACGATCCTTTACACAGAGCAGACTTGAAACACTCTTTTTGTGGAATTTGCAAATGGAGATATCAGCCGCTTTGAGGTCAATGGTAGAATAGGAAATATCTTCCTATAGAAACTAGACAGAATGATTCTCAGAAACTCCTTTGTGATGTGTGCGTTCAACTCACAGAGTTTAACCTTTCTTTTCATAGAGCAGTTAGGAAACACTCTGTTTGTAAAGTCTGCAAGTGGATATTCAGACCTCCTTGAGGCTTTCGTTGGAAACGGGATTTCTTCATATTCTGCTAGAAAGAAGAATTCCCAGTAACTTCCTTGTGTTGTGTGTGTTCAACTCACAGAGTTGAACTTTCATTTACACAGAGCAGATTTGAAACACTCTTTTTGTGGAATTTGCAAGTGGAGATTTCAAGCGATTTGAGGCCAAAGGCAGAAAAGGAAATATCTTCGTTTCAAAACTAGACAGAATCATTCTCAGAAACTGCTCTGCGATGTGTGCGTTCAACTCTCAGAGTTTAACTTTTCTTTTCATTCAGCAGTTTGAAAACACTCTGTTTGTAAAGTCTGCACGTGTATATTTTGACCACTTAGAGGCCTTCGTTGGAAACGGGTTTTTTTCCTGTAAGGCTAGACAGAAGAATTCCCAGTAACTTCCCTTGTGTTGTGTGCATTCAACTCACAGAGTTGAACGTTCCCTTAGACAGAGCAGATTTGAAACACTCTATTTGTGCAATTTGCAAGTGTAGTTTTCAAGCTCTTTAAGGTCAACGGCAGAAAAGGAAATATCTTCGTTTCAAAACTAGACAGAATCATTCTCACAAACTGCGTTGTGATGTGTTCGTTCATCTCACAGAGTTTAACCTTTCTTTTCATAGAGCAGTTAGGAAACAGTCTGTTTGTAAATTCTGTAAGTGGATATTCTGACATCTTGTGGCCTTCGTTGGAAACGGGATTTCTTCATATTCTGCTAGACAGAAGAATTCTCAGTAACTTCCTTGTGTTGTGTGTATTCAACTCACAGAGTTGAACGATCCTTTACACTGAGCAGACTTGAAACATTCTTTTTGTGGAATTTGCAAGTGGAGATTTCAGCCGCTTTGGGGTCAATGGTAGAATAGGAAATATCTTCGTAGAAAAACTAGACAGAATGATTCTCAGAAACTTCTTTGTGATGTGTGCGTTCAACTCACAGAGTTTAACCTTTCTTTTCATGGAGCAGTTAGGAAACACTCTGTTTGTAAACTCTGCAAGTGGATATTCAGACCTCTTTGAGGCCTTCGTTGGAAACGGGATTTCTTCATACTATGCTAGACAGAAGACTTCTCAGTAACTTCCTTGTGTTGTGTGTATTCAACTCACAGAGTTGAACGATCCTTTACACAGAGCGGACTTGAAACACTCTTTTTGTGGAATTTGCAAGTGGAGATTTCAGCCGCGTTGAGGTCAATGGTAGAAAAGGAAATATCTTCTTATAAAAACTAGACAGAATGATTCTCAGAATCTCCTTTATAATGTGTGCGTTCAACTCACAGAGTTTAACCTTTCTTTTCATAAAGCAGTTAGGAAACACTCTGTTTGTAATGTCTGCAAGTGGATATTCAGACCTCTTTGAGGCCTTCGTTGGAAACGGGATTTCTTCATATTCTGCTAGACAGAAGAATTCCCAGTAACTTCCTTGTGTTGTGTGTGTTCAACTCACAGAGTTGAACTTTCATTTACACAGAGCAGATTTGAAACACTCTTTTTGTGGAGTTTGCATGTGGAGATTTCAAGCACTTTGAGGCCAAAGGCAGAAAAGGAAATATCTTCGTATAAAAACTAGACAGAATCATTCTCAGAAACTGCTGCGTGATGTGTGTGTTCAACCCTCAGAGTTTAACTTTCCTTTTCATTCAGCGGTTTGGAAACACTCTGTTTGTAAAGTCTGCACGTGGATATTTTGACCACTTAGAGGCCTTCGTTGGAAACGGGTTTTTTTCATGTAAGGCTAGACAGAAGAATTCCCAGTAACTTCCTTGTGTTGTGTGCATTCCACTCACAGAGTTGAACGTTCCCTTAGACAGAGCAGATTTGAAACACTCTATTTGTGCAATTTGCAAGTGTAGATTTCAAGCTCTTTAAGGTCAATGGCAGAAAAGGAAATATCTTCGTTTCAAAACTAGACAGAATCATTCCCACAAACTGCGTTGTGATGTGTTCGTTCAACTCACAGAGTTTAACCTTTCTGTTCATAGAGCAGTTAGGAAACACTCTGTTTGTAAAGTCTGTAAGTGGATATTCTGACATTTTGTGGCCTTCGTTGGAAATGGGATTTCTTCATATTCTCCTAGACAGAAGAATTCTCAGTAACTTCCTTGTGCTGTGTGTATTCAACTCACAGAGTTGAACGATCCTTTACACAGAGCATACTTGAAACACTCTTCCTGTGGAATTTGCAACTGGAGATTTCAGCCGCTTTGAGGTCAATGGTAGAATAGGAAATATCTTCGTATAAAAACTAGACAGAATGATTCTCAGAAACTCCTTTGTGATGTGTGTGTTCAACTCACAGAGTTTAACCTTTCTTTTCATAGAGCAGTTAGTAAACACTCTATTTATAAAGTCTGCAAGTGGATATTCAGACCCCTTTGAGGCCTTCGTTGGAAACGGGATTTCTTCATATTATGCTAGACAGAAGAATTCTCAGTAACTTCCTTGTGTTGTGTGTATTCAACTGACAGAGTTGAACTTTCATTTTGAGAGAGCAGATTTGAAATACTGTTTTTGTGGAATTTGCAAGTGGAGATTTCAAACGCTTTGGGGCCAAAGGCAGAAAAGGAAATATCTTCGTATAAAAACTAGACAGAATCATTCTCAGAAACTGCTGTGTGATGTGTGCGTTCAACTCTCAGAGTTTAACTTTTCTTTTCATTCAGCGGTTTGGAAACACTCTGTTTGTAAAGTCTGCACGTGGATATTTTGATCACTTAGAGGCCTTCGTTGGAAACGGGATTTTTTCATGTAAGGCTAGACAGAAGAATTCCCAGTAACTTCCTTGTGTTGTGTGCATTCAACTCACAGAGTTGAACGTTCCCTTAGACAGAGCAGATTTGAAACACTCTATTTGTGCAATTTGCAAGTGTAGATTTCAAGCGCTTTAATGTCAATGGCAGAAAAGGAAATATCTTCGTTTCAAAACTAGACAGAATGATTCTCAGAAACCCCTTTGTGATGTGTGCGTTCAACTCACAGAGTTTAACCTTTCTGTTCATAGAGCAGTTAGGAAACACTCTGTTTGTAAAGTCTGTAAGTGGATATTCTGACATGCTTGTGGCCTTCGTTGGAAACGGGATTTCTTCATATTCTGCTAGACAGAAGAATTCTCAGTAACTTCCTTGTGTTGTGTGTATTCAACTCACAGAATTGAACGATCCTTTACACAGAGCAGACTTGAAACACTCTTTTTGTGGAATTTGCAAGCGGAGATTTCAGCCGCTTTGGGGTCAATGGTAGAAAAGGAAATATCTTCGTATAAAGACTAGACAGAATGATTCTCAGAAACTCCTTTGTGATGTGTGCGTTCAACTCACAGAGTTTAACCTTTCTTTTCATAGAGCAGTTAGGAAACACTCTGTTTGTAAAGTCTGCATGTGGATATTCAGACCTCTTTGAGGCCTTCGTTGGAAACGGGTTTTTTTCATATAAGGCTAGACAGAAGAATTCTCAGTAACTTCCTTGTGTTGTGTGTATTCAACTGACATAGTTGAACTTTCATTTAGAGAGAGCAGATTTGAAACTCTGTTTTTGTGGAATTTGCAAGTGGAGATTTCAAGCGCTTTGGGGCCAAAGGCAGAAAAGGAAATATCTTCGTATAAAAACTAGACAGAATCATTCTCAGAAACTGCTCTGCGATGTGTGCCGTTCAACTCTCAGAGTTTAACTTTTCTTCTCATTCAGCAGTTTGGAAACACTCTGTTTGTAAAGTCTGCACGTGGATAATTTGACCACTTAGAGGCCTTCGTTGGAAACGGGTTTTTTTCATGTAAGGCTAGACAGAAGAATTCCCAGTAACTTCCCTTGTGTTGTGTGCATTCAACTCACAGAGTTGAACGTTCCCTTAGACAGAGCAGATTTGAAACACTCTATTTGTGCAATTTGCAAGTGTAGTTTTCAAGCTCTTTAAGGTCAACGGCAGAAAAGGAAATATCTTCGTTTCAAAACTAGACAGAATGATTCTCAGAAACTCCTTTGTGATGTGTGAGTTCAACTCACAGAGTTTATCCTTTCTTTTCATAGAGCAGTTAGGAAACACTCTGTTTGTAAAGTCTGCAAGTGGATATTCAGACCTCTTTGAGGCCTTCGTTGGAAACGGGATTTCTTCATATTCTGCTAGACAGAAGAATTCTCAGTAACTTCCTTGTGTTGTGTGCATTGAACTCACAGAGTTGAACGATCCTTTACACAGGGCAGACTTGAAACACTCTTTTTGTGGAGTTTGCAAGCGGAGATTTCAGCCTCTTTGAGGTTAATGGTAGAAAATGAAATATCTTCGTATAGAAACTAGACAGAATGATTCTCAGAAACTCCTTTGTGATGTGTGCGTTCAACTCACAGAGTTTAACCTTTCTTTTCACAGAGCAGTTAGGAAACACTCTGTTTGTAAAGTTTGCAAGTGGATATTCTGACATCCTTGAGGCCTTCGTTGGAAACGGGATTTCTTCATATTATGCTACACAGAAGAATTCTCAATAACTTCCTTGTGTTGTGTGTATTCCAATCACAGAGTTGAACGATCCTTTACACAGAGCAGACTTGAAACACTGTTTTTGTGGAATTTGCAAGTGGAGATTTCAGCCGCTTTGAGGTCAATGGTTGAAAAGGAAATATCTTCCAATAGAAATTTGACAGAATGATTCTCAGAAACTCCTTTGTGATGTGTGCGTTCAACTCACAGAGTTTAACCTTTCTTTTCATAGAGCAGTTAGGAAACACTCTGTTTGTAAAGTCTGCAAGTGGATATTCAGACATCTTTGAGGCCTTCGTTGGAAACGGGATTTCTTCATATTATGTTAGACAGAAGAATTCTCAGTAACTTTCTTGTGTTGTGTGTATTCAACTGACAGAGTTGAACTTTCATTTAGAGAGAGCAGATTTGAAACACTGTTTTTGTGGAATTTGCAAGTGGAGATTTCAAGCGCTTTGGGGCCAAAGGCAGAAAAGGAAATATCTTCGTATAAAAACTGGACAGAATCATTCTCAGAAACTGCTGCGTGATGTGTGCGTTCAACTCTCAGAGTTTAACTTTTCTTTTCATTCAGCGGTTTGGAAACACTCTGTTTGTAAAGTCTGCACGTGGATATTATGACCACTTAGAGGCCTTCGTTGGAAACGGGTTTTCTTCATGTAAGGCTAGACAGAAGAATTCCCAGTAACTTCCTTGTGTTGTGTGCATTCAACTCACAGAGTTGAACGTTCCCTTAGACAGAGCAGATTTGAAACACTCCATTTGTGCAATTTGCAAGTGTAGATTTCAAGCGCTTTAAGGTCAATGGCAGAAAAGGAAATATCTTCGTTTCAAAACTAGACAGAATCATTCCCACAAACTGCGTTGTGATGTGTTCGTTCAACTCACAGAGTTTAACCTTTCTTTTCATAGAGCAGTTAGGAAACACTCTGTTGGTAAATTCTGTAAGTGGATATTCTGACATCTTGTGGCCTTCAGTGGAAACGGGATTTTTTCATATTCTGCTAGACAGAATAATTCTCAGTAACTTCCTTGTGTTGTGTGTATTCAACTCCCAGAGTTGAACGATCCTTTACACAGAGCAGACTTGAAACATTCTTTTTGTGGAATTTGCAAGTGGAGATTTCAGCCGCTTTGAGGTCAATGGTAGAATAGGAAATATCTTCCTATAGAAACTAGACAGAATGATTCTGAGAAACTCCTTTGTGATGTGTGCGTTCAACTCACAGAGTTTAACCTTTCTTTTCATAGAGCAGTTAGGAAACACTCTGTTTGTAAAGTGTGCAAGTGGATATTCAGACCTCCTTGAGGCCTTCGTTGGAAACGGGATTTCTTCATATTATGCTAGACAGAAGAATTCCCAGTAACTTCCTTGTGTTGTGTGTGTTCAACTCACAGAGTTGAACTTTCATTTACACAGAGCAGATTTGAAACACTCTTTTTGTGGAATTTGCAAATGGAGATTTCAAGCGCTTTCAGGCCAAAGGCAGAAAAGGAAATATCTTCGTATAAAAACTAGACAGAATCATTCTCAGAAACTGCTGCGTGATGTGTGCGTTCAACTCTCAGAGTTTAACTTTTCTTTACATTCAGCGGTTTGGAAACACTCTGTTTGTAAAGTCTGCACGTGGAAATTTTGACCACTTAGAGGCCTTCGTTGGAAACGGGTTTTTTTCATGTAAGGCTAGACAGAAGAATTCCCAGTAACTTCCTTGCGTTGTGTACATTCCACTCACAGAGTTGAACGTTCCCTTAGACAGAGCAGATTTGAAACACTCTTTTTGTGCAATTGGCAAGTGGTGATTTCAGCCGCTTTGAGGTCAATGGTAGAAAAGGAAATATCTTCGTATAAAAACTAGACAGAATCATTCCCACAAACTGCGTTGTGATGTGTTCGTTCAACTCACAGAGTTTAACCTTTCTGTTCATAGAGCAGTTAGGAAACACTCTGATTGTAAAGTCTGTAAGTGGATATTCTGACATCTTGTGGCCTTCGTTGGAAACGGGATTTCTTCATATTCTGCTAGACAGAAGAATTCTCAGTAACTTCCTTGTGTTGTGTGCATTCAACTCACAGAGTTGAATGATCCTTTACACAGAGCACATTAGAAACACTCTTTTTGTGGAATTTGCAAGTGGAGATTTCAGCCGCTTTGAGGTCAATGGCAGAAAAGGAAATATCTTCGTATAAAAACTAGACAGAATGATTCTCAGAAACTCCTTTGTGATGTGTGCGTTCAACTCACAGAGTTTAACCTTTCTTTTCATAGAGCAGTTAGGAAACACTCTGTTTGTAAAGTCTGCAAGTGGATATTCAGACCTCTTTGAGGCTCTTCGTTGGAAACGGGTTTTTTTCATATAAGGCTAGACAGAGCAATTCTCAGTAACTTCCTTGTGTTGTGTGTATTCAACTGACAGAGTTGAACTTTCATTTAGAGAGAGCAGATTTGAAACACTGTTTTTGTGGAATTTGCAAGTGGAGATTTCAAGCGCTTTGGGGCCAAAGGCAGAAAAGGAAATATCTTCGTATAAAAACTAGACAGAATCATTCTCAGAAACTGCTGCGTGATGTGTGCGTTCAACTCTCAGAGTTTAACTTTTCTTTTCATTCAGCGGTTTGGAAACACTCTGTTTGTAAAGTCTGCACGTGGATATTTTGACCACTTAGAGGCCTTTGTTGGAAACGGGTTTTTTTCATGTAAGGCTAGACAGAAGAATTCCCAGTAACTTCCTTGTGTTGTGTGCATTCAACTCACAGAGTTGAACGTTCCCTTAGACAGAGCAGATTTGAAACACTCTATTTGTGCAATTTGCAAGTGTAGATTTCAAGCGCTTTAAGGTCAATGGCAGAAAAGGAAATTTCTTCGTTTCAAAACTAGACAGAATGATTCTCAGAAAATCTTTTGTGATGTGTGCGTTCAACTCACAGAGTTTAACTTTTCTTCTCATAGAGCAGTTAGGAAACATTCTGTTTGTAAAGTGTGCAAGTGGATATTCAGACTTCTTTGAGGCCTTCGTTGGAAACGGGATTTCTTCATATTATGCTAGACAGAATAATTCTCAGTAACTTCCTTGTGTTGTGTGTATTCAACTCACAGAGTTGAAGGATCCTTTACAGAGAGCAGGCTTGAAACACTCTTTTTGTGGAATTTGCAAGTGGAGATTTCAGCCGCTTTGAGGTCAATGGTAGAATAGGAAATACCTTCTTATAGAAACTAGACAGAATGATTCTCAGAAACTCCTTTGTGATGTGTGCGTTCAACTCACAGAGTTTAACCTTTCTGTTCATAGAGCAGTTAGGAAACACTCTGTTTGTAAAGTCTGCAAGTGGATATTCAGACCTCCTTGATTCCTTCGGTGGAAACGGGATTTCTTCATATTATGCTAGACAGAAGAATTCTCAGTAACTTCCTTGTGTTGTGTGTATTCAACTCACAGAGTTGAACGATCCTTTACAGAGAGCAGACTTGAAACACTCTTTTTGTGGAATTTGTAAGTGGAGATTTCAGCCGCTTTGAGGTCAATGGTTGAAAAGGAAACTATCTTCGTATAAAGACTAGACAGAATGATTCTCAGAAACTCCTTTGTGATGTGTGCGTTCAACTCACAGAGTTTAACCTTTCTTTTCATAGAGCAGTTAGGAAACACTCTGTTTGTAAAGTCTGCAAGTGGATATTCAGACCTCTTTGAGGCCTTCGTTGGAAACGGGTTTTTTTCATATAAGGCTCGACAGAAGAATTCTCAGTAACTTCCTTGTGTTGTGTGTATTCAACTGAAAGAGTTGAACTTTCATTTAGAGAGAGCAGATTTGAAACACTGTTTTTGTGGAAGTTGCAAGTGGAGATTTCAAGCGCTTTGGGGCCAAAGGCAGAAAAGGAAATATCTTCGTATAAAAACTAGACAGAATCATTCTCAGAAACTGCTGCGTGATGTGTGCGTTCAACTCTCAGAGTTTAACTTTTCTTTTCATTCAGCCGTTTGGAAACACTCTGTTTGTAAAGTCTGCACGTGGATATTTTGACCACTTAGGGGCCTTCGTTGGAAACGGGTTTTTTGCATGTAAGGCTAGACAGAAGAATTCCCAGTAACTTCCTTGTGTTGTGTGCATTCAACTCACAGAGTTGAACGTTCCCTTAGACAGAGCAGATTTGAAACACTCTATTTGTGCAATTTGCAAGTGTAGATTTCAAGCGCTTTAAGGTCAACGGCAGAAAAAGGAAATATCTTCGTTTCAAAACTAGACAGAATCATTCCCACAAACTGCGTTGTGATGTGTTCGTTCAACTCACAGAGTTTAACCTTTCTTTTCATAGAGCAGTTAGGAAACAGTCTGTTTGTCAATTCTGTAAGTGGATATTCTGACATCTTGTGGCCTTCGTTGGAAACGGGATTTCTTCACATTCTCCTAGACAGAAGAATTCTCAGTAACTTCCTTGTGTTGTGTGTATTCAACTCACAGAGTTGAACGATCCTTTACACAGAGCAGACTTGTAACACTCTTTTTGTGGAATTTGCAAGTGGAGATTTCAGCCGCTTTGAAGTCAAATGTAGAAAAGGAAATATCTTCCTATAAAAACTAGACAGAATGATTCTCAGAAACTTCTTTGTGATGTGTGTGTTCAACTCACAGAGTTTAACCTTTCTTTTCATAGAGCAGTTAGGAAACACTCTGTTTGTAAACTCTGCAAGTGGATATTCAGACCTCTTTGAGGACTTCGTTGGAAACGGGTTTTTTTCATATAAGGCTAGACAGAAGAATTCCCAGTAACTTTCCTTGTGTTGTGTGTGTTCAACTCACAGAGTTGAACTTTCAGTTACACAGAGCAGATTTGAAACACTCTTTTTGTGGACTTTGCAAATGGAGATTTCAAGCGCTTTGAGGCCAAAGGCAGAAATGGAAATATGCTTCGTATAAAAACTAGACAGAATCATTCTCAGAAACTGCTCTGCGATGTGTGCGTTCAAGTCTCAGAGTTTAACTTTTCTTTTCATTCAGCAGTTTGGAAACACTCTCTTTGTAAAGTCTGCAGGTGGATATTTTGACCACTTAGAGGCCTTCGTTGGAAACGGGTTTTTTTCCTGTAAGGCTAGACAGAAGAATTCCCAGTAACTTCCTTGTGTTGTGTGCATTCAACTCACAGAGTTGAACGTTCCCTTAGGCAGAGCAGATAGGAAACACTCTATTTGTGCAATTTGCAAGTGTAGATTTCAAGCGCTTTAAGGTCAACGGCAGAAAAGGAAATATCTTCGTTTCAAAACTAGACAGAAGAATTCTCAGTAACTTCCTTGTGTTGTGTGTATTCAACTCACAGAGATGAACGATCCTTTACACAGAGCAGACTTGAAACACTCTTTTTGTGGAATTTGCAACTGGAGATTTCAGCCGCTTTGAGGTCAATAGTAGAAAAGGAAATAACTTCGTAGAAAAACTAGACAGAATGATTCTCAGAAACTCCTTTGTCATGTGTGTGTTCAACTCACAGAGTTTAACCTTTCTTTTCATAGAGCAGTTAGTAAACACTCTGTTTATAAAGTCTGCAAGTGGATATTCAGACCCCTTTGAGGCCTTCGTTGGAAACGGGATTTCTTCATATTATGCTAGACAGAAGAATTCCCAGTAACTTCCTTGTGTTGTGTGTGTTCAACTCACACAGTTGAACTTTCGTTTACACAGAGCAGATTTGAAACACTCTTTTTGTGGAATTTGCAAATGGAGATTTCAAGCGCTTTGAGGCCAAAGGCAGAAAAGGAAATATCTTCGTATAAAAACTAGACAGAATCATTCTCAAAAACTGCTCTGCGATGTGTGCGTTCAACTCTCAGAGTTTAACTTTTCTTTTCATTCAGCAGTTTGGAAACACTCTGTTTGTAAAGTCTGCACGTGGATATTTTGACCACTTAGAGGCCTTCGTTGGAAACGGGTTTTTTTCCTGTAAGGCTAGACAGAAGAATTCCCAGTAACTTCCTTGTGTTGTGTACATTCAACTCACAGAGTTGAACGTTCCCTTAGACAGAGCAGATTTGAAACACTCTTTTTGTGCAATTGGCTAATGGAGATTTCAAGCGCTTTAAGGTCAATGGCAGAAAAGGAAATATCTTCGTTTCAAAACTAGACAGAATCATTCCCACAAACTGCGTTGTGATGTGTTCGTTCAACTCACAGAGTTGAACCTTTCTTTTCATAGAGCAGTTAGGAAACAGTCTGTTTGTCAATTCTGTAAGTGGATATTCTGACATCTTGTGGCCTTCGTTGGAAACGGGATTTCTTCATATTCTGCTAGACAGAAGAATTCTCAGAATCTTCCTTGTGTTGTGTGTATTCAACTCACAGAGTTGAACGATCCTTTACACAGAGCAGACTTGAAACACTCTTTTTGTGGAATTTGCAAGTGGAGATTTCAGCCGCTTTGAAGTCCATGGTAGAAAAGGAAATATCTTCGTATAAAAACTAGACAGAATGATTCTCAGAAACTCCTTTGTGATGTGTGCGTTCAACTCACAGAGTTTAACCTTTCTGTTCATAGAGGTGTTAGGAAACACTCTGTTTGTAAAGTCTGCAAGTGGATATTCAGACCTCCTTGAGGCCTTCGTTGGAAACGGGATTTCTTCATATTCTGCTAGACAGAAGAATTCTCAGTAACTTCCTTGTGTTGTGTGTATTCAACTGACAGAGTTGAACTTTCATTTAGAGAGAGCAGATTTGAAACACTGTTTTTGTGGAGTTTGCAAGTGGAGATTTCAAGCGCTTTGGGGCCAAAGGCAGAAAAGGAAATATCTTCGTATAAAAACTAGACAGAATCATTCTCAGAAACTGCTGCGTGATGTGTGCGTTCAACTCTCAGAGTTTAACTTTTCTTTTCATTCAGCGGTTTGGAAACACTCTGTTTGTAAGTCTGCACGTGGATATTTTGACCACTTAGAGGCTTTCGTTGGAAACGCGTTTTTTTCATGTAAGGCTAGACAGAAGAATTCCCAGTAACTTCCTTGTGTTGTGTGCATTCAACTCACAGTGTTGAACGTTCCCTTAGACAGAGCAGATTTGAAACACTCTATTTGTGAATTTGCAAGTGTAGATTTCAAGCGCTTTAAGGTCAATGGCAGAAAAGGAAATATCTTCGTTTCAAAACTAGACAGAATCATTCCCACAAACTGCGTTGTGATGTGTTCGTTCAACTCACAGAGTTTAACTTTTCTGTTCATAGAGCAGTTAGGAAACACTCTGTTTGTAAAGTCTGAAAGTGGATATTCTGACATCTTGTGGCCTTCGTTTGAAACGGGATTTCTTCATATTCTGCTAGACAGAAGAATTCTCAGTAACTTCCTTGTGTTGTGTGTATTCAACTCACAGAGTTGAACGATCCTTTACACAGAACAGACTTGTAACACTCTTTTTGTGGAATTTGCAAGTGGAGATTTCAGCCACTTTGAAGTCAAAGGTAGAAAAGGAAATAACTTCCTATAAAAACTAGACAGAATGATTCTCAGAAACTCCTTTGTGATGTGTGCGTTCACCTCACAGAGTTTAACTTTTCTTTTCATAGAGCAGTTAGGAAACACTCTGTTTGTAAAGTCTGCAAGTGTATATTCAGACCTCTTTGAGGCCTTCGTTGGAAACGGGATTTCTTCATATTATGCTAGACAGAAGAATTCCCAGTAACTTCCTTGTGTTGTGTGTGTTCAACTCACAGAGTTGAACTTTCATTTACACAGAGCAGATTTGAAACACTCTTTTTGTGGAATTTGCAAGTGGAGATTTCAAGCGCTTTGAGGCCAAAGGCAGAAAAGGAAATATCTTCGTTTGAAAACTACACAGAATCATTCTCAGAAACTGCTGCGTGATGTATGCGTTCAACTCTCAGAGTTTAACTTTTCTTTTCATTCAGCGGTTTGGAAACACTCTGTTTGTAAAGTCTGCACGTGGATATTTTGACCACTTAGAGGCCTTCGTTGGAAACGGGTTTTTTTCATGTAAGGCTAGACAGAAGAATTCCCAGTAACTTCCTTGTGTTGTGTGCATTCCACTCACAGAGTTGAACGTTCCCTTAGACAGAGCAGATTTGAAACACTCTATTTGTGCAATTTGCAAGTGTAGATTTCAAGCGCTTTAAGGTCAATGGCAGAAAAGGAAATATCTTCGTTTCAAAACTAGACAGAATCATTCCCACAAACTGCGTTGTGATGTGTTCGGTTCAACTCACAGAGTTTAACCTTTCTGTTCATAGAGCAGTTAGGAAACACTCTGTTTGTAAAGTCTGTAAGTGGATATTCTGACATCTTGTGGCCTTCGTTGGAAACGGGATTTCTTCATATTATGCTAGAAAGAAGAATTCTCAGAAACTTCCTTGTGTTGTGTGTTTTCAACTCACAGAGTTGAACGATGCTTTACACAGAGTAGACTTGAAACACTCTTTTTGTGTAATTTGCAAGTGGAGATTTCAGCCGCATTGAGGTCAATGGTAGAAAAGGAAATATCTTCGTTTAAAAACTAGACAGAATAATTCTCAGAAACTTCATTGTGATGTGTGCGTTCAACTCACAGAGTTTAACCTTTCTTTTCATAGAGCAGTTAGGAAACACTGTTTGTAAACTCTGCAAGTGGATATTCAGACCTCTTTGAGGCCTTCGTTGGAAACGGGATTTCTTCATACTGTGCTAGACAGAAGAATTCTCAGTAATTTCCTTGTGTTGTGTGTATTCAACTCACAGAGTTGAACGATCCTTTACACAGAGCAGACTTGAAACACTCTTCTTGCGGAATTTGCAAGTGGAGATTTCAGCCGCTTTGAGGTCAATGGTAGAATAGGAAATATCTTCCTATAGAAACTAGACAGAATGATTCTCAGAAACTCCTTTGTGATGTGTGCGTTCAACTCACAGAGTTTAACCTTTCTTTTCATAGAGCAGTTGGGAAACACTCTGTTTGTAAAGTCTGCAAGTGGATATTCAGACCTCTTTGAGGCCTTCGTTGGAAACGGGATTTCTTCATATTCTGCTAGACAGAAGAATTCCCAGTAACTTCCTTGTGCTGTGTGTGTTCAACTCACAGAGTTGAACTTTCATTTACACAGAGCAGATTTGAAACACTCTTTTTGTGGAATTTGCAAGTGGAGATTTCAAGCGCTTTGAGGCCAAAGGCAGAAAAGGAAATATCTTCGTATAAAAACTAGACAGAATCATGCTGAGAAACTGCTCTGCGATGTGTGCGTTCAACTCTCAGAGTTTAACTTTTCTTTTCATTCAGCAGTTTGGAAACACTCTGTTTGTAAAGTCTGCACGTGCATAATTTGACCGCTTAGAGGCCTTCGTTGGAAACGGGTTTTTTTCATGTAAGGCTAGACAGAAGAATTCCCAGTAACTTCCTTGTGTAGTGTGCATTCAACTCACAGAGTTGAACGTTCCCTTAGACAGAGCAGATTTGAAACACTATATTTGTGCAAATTGCAAGTGTAGATTTCAAGTGATTTAAGGTCAATGGCAGAAAAGGAAATATCTTCGTTTCAAAACTAGACAGAATCATTCCCACAAACTGCGTTGTGATGTATTCGTTCAACTCACAGAGTTTAACCTTTCTGTTCATAGAGCAGTTAGGAAACACTCTGTTTGTAAAGTCTGCAAGTGGATATTCAGACCTCTTTGAGGCCTTCGTTGGAAACGGGATTTCTTCATATTATGCTAGACAAAAGAATTCTCAGTAACTTCCTTGTGTTGTGTGTATTCAACTCACAGAGTTGAAGGATCCTTTACACAGAGCAGACTTGAAACACTCTTTTTGTGGAATTTGCAAGTGGAGATTTCAGCCGCTTTGAGGTCAATGGTAGAATAGGAAATATCTTCCTATAGAAACTAGACAGAATGATTCTGAGAAACTCCTTTGTGATGTGTGCGTTCAACTCACAGAGTTTAACCTTTCTTTTCATAGAGCAGTTAGGAAACACTCTGTTTGTAATGTGTGCAAGTGGATATTCAGACCTCCTTGAGGCCTTCGTTGGAAACGGGATTTCTTCATATTATGCTAGACACAAGAATTCTCAGTAACTTCATTGTGTTGTGTGTTTTCAACTGACAGAGTTGAACTTTCATTTAGAGAGAGCAGATTTGTAACACTGTTTTTGTGGAATTTGCAAGTGGAGATTTCAAGCGCTTTGGGGCCAAAGGCAGAAAAGGAAATATCTTCGTATAAAAACTAGACAGAATCATTCTCAGAAACTGCTCTGCGATGTGTGCGTTCAACTCTCAGAATTTAACTTTTCTTTTCATTCAGCAGTTTGGAAACACTCTGTTTGTAAAGTCTGCACGTGGATAATTTGACCACTTAGAGGCCTTCGTTGGAAACGGGTTTTTTTCATGTAAGGCTAGACAGAAGAATTCCCAGTAACTTCCTTGTGTTGTGTACATTCAACTCACAGAGTTGAACGTTTCCTTAGACAGAGCAGATTTGAAACACTCTTTTTGTGCAATTGGCAAGTGGAGATTTCAAGCGCTTTGAGGTCAATGGCAGAAAAGGAAATATCTTCGTTTCAAAACTAGACAAAATCATTCCCACAAACTGCGTTGTGATGTGTTCGTTCAACTCACAGAGTTTAACCTTTCTGTTCATAGAGCAGTTAGGAAAAACTCTGTTTGTAAAGTCTGTAAGTAGATATTCTGACATCTTGTGGCCTTCTTTGGAAAAGGGATTTCTTCATATTCTGCTAGACAGAAGAATTCTCAGTAACTTTCCTTGTGTTGTGTTTATTCAACTCACAGAGTTGAATGATCCTTTACACAGAGCAGACTTGAAACACTCTTTTTGTGGAATTTGCAAGTGGAGATTTCAGCCGCTTTGAGGTCAATGGTAGAAAAGTAAATATCTTCCTATAAAGACTAGACAGAATGATTCTCAGAAACTCCTTTGTGATGTGTGTGTTCAACTCACAGAGTTTAACCTTTCTTTTCCTAGAGCAGTTAGTAAACACTCTGTTTATAAAGTCTGCAAGTGGATATTCAGACCCCTTTCAGGCCTTCGTTGGAAACGGGATTTCTTCATATTATGCTAGACAGAAGAATTCCCAGTAACTTCCTTGTGTTGTGTGTGTTCAACTCACAGAGTTGAACTTTCATTTACACAGAGCAGATTTGAAACACTCTTTTTGTGGAATTTGCAAGTGGAGATTTCAAGCGCTTTGAGGCCAAAGCAGAAAAGGAAATATCTTCGTTTCGAAACTAGACAGAATCATTCTCAGAAAATGCTCTGTGATGTGTACGTTCAACTCTCAGAGTTTAACTTTTGTTTTCATTCAGCAGTTTGGAAACACTCTGTTTGTAAAGTCTGCACGTGGATATTTTGACCACTTAGAGGCCTTCGTTGGAAACGGGTTTTTTTCATGTAAGGGTAGACAGAAGAATTCTCAGTAACTTCCTTGTGTTGTGTGTATTCAACTCACAGAGTTGAACGATCCTTTACACAGAGCAGACTTGTAACACTCTTTTTGTGGAATTTGCAAGTGGAGACTTCAGCCGCTTTGAAGTCAAAGGTAGAAAAGGAAATATCTTCCTATAAAAACTAGACAGAATCATTCCCACAAACTGCGTTGTGATGCGTTCGTTCAACTCACATAGTTTAACCTTTCTGTTCATAGAGCAGTTAGGAAACACTCTGTTTGTAAAGTCTGCAAGTGGATATTCAGACCTCCTTGAGGCCTTCGTTGGAAACGGGATTTCTTCATATTCTGCTAGACAGAAGAATTCTCAGTAACTTCCTTGTGTTGTGTGTATTCAACTCACAGAGTTGAACGATCCTTTACACAGAGCAGACTTGAAACACTCGATTTGTGGAATTTGCAAGTGGAGATTTCAGCCGCTTTGAGGTCAATGGTAGAAAAGGAAATATCTTCGTATAAAAACTAGACAGAACGATTCTCAGAAACTCCTTTGTGATGTGTGTGTTCAACTCACAGAGTTTAACCTTTCTTTTCATAGAGCAGTTAGTAAACACTCTGTTTATAAAGTCTGCAAGTGGATATTCAGACCCCTTTGAGGCCTTCGTTGGAAACGGGATTTCTTCATATTATGCTAGACAGAAGAATTCTCAGTAACTTCCTTGTGTTGTGTGTATTCAACTCACAGAGTCGAACGATCCTTTACGCAGAGCAGACTTGAAACACTCTTTTTGTGGAATTTGCAAGTGGAGATTTCAGCCGCTTTGAGGTCAATGGTAGAAAAGGAAATATCTTCGTATAAAGACTAGACAGAATGATTCTCAGAAACTCCTTTGTGATGTGTGCGTTCAACTCACAGAGTTTAACCTTTCTTTTCATAGAGCAGTTAGGAAACACTCTGTTTGTAAAGTCTGCAAGTGGATATTCAGACCTCTTTGAGGCCTTCGTTGGAAACGGGATTTCTTCATATTCTGCTAGAGAGAAGAATTCTCAGTAACTTCCTTGTGTTGTGTGTATTCAACTGACAGAGTTGAACTTTCATTTAGAGAGAGCAGATTTGAAACACTGTTTTTGTGGAATTTGCAAATGGAGATTTCAAGCGCTTTGGGGCCAAAGGCAGAAAAGGAAATATCTTCCTATAAAAACTAGACAGAATCATTCTCAGAAACTGCTGCGTGATGTGTGCGTTCAACTCTCAGAGTTTAACTTTTCTTTTCATTCAACGGTTTGGAAACACTCTCTTTGTAAAGTCTGCACGTGGAAATTTTGACCACTTAGAGGCCTTCGTTGGAAACGGGTTTTTTTCATGTAAGGCTAGACAGAAGAATTCCCAGTAACTTCCTTGTGTTGTGTGCATTCAACTCACAGAGTTGAACGTTCCCTTAGACAGAGCAGATTTGAAACACTCTATTTCTGCAATTTGCAAGTGTAGTTTTCAAGCTCTTTAAGGTCAACGGCAGAAAAGGAAATATCATCGTTTCAAAACTAGACAGAATCATTCCCACAAACTGCGTTGTGATGTTTTCGTTCAACTCACAGAGTTTAACCTTTCTTTTCATAGAGCAGTTAGGAAACAGTCTGTTTGTCAATTCTGTAAGTGGATATTCTGACATCTTGTGGCCTTCGTTGGAAACGGGATTTCTTCATATTCTGCTAGACAGAAGAATTCTCAGAATCTTTCCTTGTGTTGTGTGTATTCAACTCACAGAGTTGAACGATCCTTTACACAGAGCAGACTTGAAACACTCTTTTTGTGGAATTTGCAAGTGGAGATTTCAGCCGCTTTGAAGTCCATGGTAGAAAAGGAAATATCTTCGTATAAAAACTAGACAGAATGATTCTCAGAAACTCCTTTGTGATGTGTGCGTTCAACTCACAGAGTTTAACCTTTCTTTTCATAGAGCAGTTAGGAAACCCTCTGTTTGTAAAGTCTGCAAGTGGATATTCAGACCTCTTTGAGGCCTTCGTTGGAAACGGGATTTCTTCATATTCTGCTAGACAGAAGAATTCTCAGAATCTTCCTTGTGTTGTGTGTATTCAACTCACAGAGTTGAACGATCCTTTACACAGAGCAGACTTGAAACACTCTTTTTGTGGAATTTGCAAGTGGAGATTTCAGCCGCTTTGAGGTCCTTGGTAGAAAAGGAAATATCTTCGTATAAAAACTAGACAGAATGATTCTCAGAAACTCCTTTGTGATGTGTGCGTTCAACTCACAGAGTTTAACCTTTCTTTTCATAGAGCAGTTAGGAAACACTCTGTTTGTAAAGTCTGCAAGTGGATATTCAGACCTCTTTGAGGCCTTCGTTGGAAACGGGTTTTTCTCATATAAGGCTAGACAGAAGAATTCTCAGTAACTTCCTTGTGTTGTGTGTATTCAACTGACAGAGTTGAACTTTCATTTAGAGACAGCAGATTTGAAACACTGTTTTTGTGGAATTTGCAAGTGGAGATTTCAAGCGCTTTGGGGCCAAAGGCAGAAAAAGAAATATCTTCGTATAAAAACTAGACAGAATCATTCTCAGAAACTGCTGCGTGATGTGTGCGTTCAACTCTCAGAGTTTAACTTTTCTTTTCATTCAGCGGTTTGGAAACACTCTGTTTGTAAAGACTGCACGTGGATATTTTGACCCCTTAGAGGCCTTCGTTGGAAACGGGTTTTTTTCATGTAAGGCTAGACAGAAGAATTCCCAGTAACTTCCTTGTGTTGTGTGCATTCAACTCACAGAGTTGAACGTACCCTTAGACAGAGCAGATTTGAAACACTCTATTTGTGCAATTTCCAAGTGTAGATTTCAAGCGCTTTAAGGTCAACGGCAGAAAAGGAAATATCTTCGTTTCAAAACTAGACAGAATCATTCCCACAAACTGCGTTGTGATGTGTTCGCTCAACTCACAGAGTTTAACCTTTCTGTTCATAGAGCAGTTAGGAAACACTCTGTTTGTAAAGTCTGTAAGTGGATATTCTGACATCCTTGTGGCCTTCGTTGGAAACGGGATTTCTTCATATTCTGCTAGACAGAAGAATTCTCAGTAACTTCCTTGTGTTGTGTGTATTCAACTCACAGAGTTGAACGATGATTTACACAGAGCAGACTTGAAACTCTCTTTTTGTGGAATTTGCAACTGGAGATTTCAGCCGCTTTGAGGTCAATGGTAGAATAGGAAATATCTTCCTATAGAAACTAGACAGAATGATTCTCAGAAACTCCTTTGTGATGTGTGCGTTCAACTCACAGAGTTCAACCTTTCTTTTCATAGAGCAGTTGGGAAACACTCTGTTTGTAAAGTCTGCAAGTGGATATTCAAACTTCTTTGAGGCCTTCGTTGGAAGCGGGATTTCTTCATATTCTGCTAGACGGAAGAATTCCCAGTAACTTCCTTGTGTTGTGTGTGTTCAACTCACAGAGTTGAACTTTCATTTAAACAGAGCAGATTTGAAACACTCTTTTTGTGGAATTTGCAAATGGAGATTTCAAGCGCTTTGAGGCCAAAGGCAGAAAAGGAAATATCTTCGTTTCAAAACTAGACAGAATCATTCTCAGAAACTGCTCTGTGATGTGTGCGTTCAACTCTCAGAGTTTAACTTTTCTTTTCATTCAGCAGTTTGGAAACACTCTGTTTGTAAAGTCTGCACGTGGATAATTTGACCACTTAGAGGCCTTCGTTGGAAACGGTTTTTTTTCATGTAAGGCTAGACAGAAGAATTCCCAGTAACTTCCTGGTGTTGTGTACATTCAACTCACAGAGTTGAACGTTCCCTTAGACAGAGCAGATTTGAAACACTCTTTTTGTGCAATTGGCAAATGGAGATTTCAAGCGCTTTAAGGTCAATGGCAGAAAAGGAAATATCTTCGTTTCAAAACTAGACAGAATCATTCCCACAAACTGCGTTGTGATGTGTTCGTTCAACTCACAGAGTTTAACCTTTCTGTTCATAGAGCAGTTAGGAAAAACTCTGTTTGTAAAGTCTGTAAGTGGATATTCTGACATCTTGTGGCCTTCGTTGGAAACGGGATTTCTTCATATTCTGCTAGACAGAAGAATTCTCAGTAACTTCCTTGTGTTGTGTGTATTCAACTCACAGAGTTGAACGATCCTTTACACAGAGCAGACTTGAAACACTCTATTTGTAGAATTTGCAAGTGGAGATTTCAGCCGCTTTGAGGTCAGTAGTAGAAAAGGAAATATCTTCGTGGAAAAACTAGACAGAATGATTCTCAGAAACTCCTTTGTGATGTGTGCGTTGAACTCACAGAGTTTAACTTTTCTTTTCATAGAGCAGTTAGGAAACACTATGTTTGTAAAGTCTGCAAGTGGATATTCAGACCTCTTTGAGGCCTTCGTTGGAAACGGGATTTCTTCACATTCTGCTAGACAGAAGAATTCTCAGTAACTTCCTTGTGTTGTGTGTATTCAACTCACAGAGTTGAACGATCCTTTACACAGAGCAGACTTGAATCACTCTTTTTGTGGAATTTGCAAATGGAGATTTCAGCCGCTTTGAGGTCAATAGTAGAAAAGGAAATATCTTCGTAGAAAAACTAGACAGAATCATTCTCAGAAACTGCTCTGCGATGTGTGCGTTCAACTCTCAGAGTTTAACTTTTCTTTTCATTCAGCAGTTTGGAAACACTCTGTTTTTAAAGTCTGCACGTGGATATTTTGACCACTTAGAGGCCTTCGTTGGAAACGGGTTTTTTTCCTGTAAGGCTAGACAGAAGAATTCCCAGTAACTTCCTTGTGTTGTGTGCATTCAACTCACAGCAGTTGAACGTTCCCTTAGACAGAGCAGATTTGAAACACTCTATTTGTGCAATTTGCAAGTGTAGATTTCAAGCGCTTTAAGGTCAATGGCAGAAAAGGAAATATTTTCGTTTCAAAACTAGACAGAATCATTCCCACAAACTGCGTTGTGATGTGTTCGTTCAACTCACAGAGTTTAACCTTTCTGTTCATAGAGCAGTTAGGAAACACTCTGTTTGTAAACTCTGTAAGTGGATATTCTGACATCTTGTGGCCTTCGTTGGAAACGGGATTTCTTCACATTCTGCTAGACAGAAGAATTCTCAGAAACTTCCCTTGTGTTGTGTGTTTTCAACTCACAGAGTTGAACGATCCTTTACACAGAGCAGACTTGAAACACTCCTTTTGTGGAATTTGCAAGTGGAGATTTCAGCCGCTTTGAGGTCAATGGTAGAATAGGAAATATCTTCCTATAGAAAGTAGACAGAATGATTCTCAGAAACTTCATTGTGATGTGTGCGTTCAACTCACAGAGTTTAACCTTTCTTTTCATACAGCAGTTAGGAAACACTCTGTTTGTAAACTCTGCAAGTCGATATTCACACCTCTTTGAGGCCTTCGTTGGAAACGGGATTTCTTCATACTGTGCTAGACAGAAGAATTCTCAGTAACTTCCTTGTGTTGTGTGTATTCAACTCACAGAGTTGAACGATCCTTTACACAGAGAGGACTTGAAACACTCTTTTTGTGGAATTTGCAAGTGGAGATTTCAGCCGCGTTGAGGTCAATGGTAGAAAAGGAAATATCTTCGTATAAAAACTAGACAGAATCATTCTCAGAAAGTGCTCTGCGATGTGTGCGTTCAACTCTCAGAGTTTAACTTTGCTTTTCATTCAGCAGTTTGGAAACACTCTGTTTGTAAAGTCTGCACGTGGATAATTTGACCACTTAGAGGCCTTCGTTGGAAACGGGTTTTTTTCATGTAAGGCTAGACAGAAGAATTCCCAGTAACTTCCTTGTGTTGTGTACATTCAACTCACAGAGTTGAACGTTCCCTTAGACAGAGCAGATTTGAAACACTCTTTTTGTGCAATTGGAAAGTGGAGATTTCAAGCGCTTTAAGGTCAATGGCAGAAAAGGAAATATCTTCGTTTCAAAACTAGACAGAATCATTCCCACAAACTGCGTTGTGATGTGTTCGTTCAACACACAGAGTTTAACCTTTCTTTTCATAGAGCAGTTAGGAAACAGTCTGTTTGTCAATTCTGTAAGTGGATATTCTGACATCTTGTGGCCTTCGTTGGAAACGAGATTTCTTCATATTCTGCTAGACAGAAGAATTCTCAGTAACTACCTTGTGTTGTGTGTATTCAACTCACAGAGTTGAACGATCCTTTACACAGAGCGGACTTGAAACACTCGTTTTGTGGAATTTGCAAGTGGAGATTTCAGCCGCGTTGAGGTCAATGGTAGAAAAGGAAATATCTTCGTATAAAAACTAGACAGAATGATTCTCAGAAACTCCTTTGTGATGTGTGCGTTCAACTCACAGAGTTCAACCTTTCTTTTCATAGAGCAGTTAGGAAACACTCTGTTTGTAAAGTCTGCAAGTGGATATTCAGACTTCTTTGAGTCCTTCGTTGGAAGCGGGATTTCTTCATGTTCTGCTAGACAGAAGAATTCTCAGTAACTTCCTTGTATTGTGTGTATTCAACTCACAGAGTTGAACGATCCTTTACACAGAGCAGACTTGAAACAATCTTTTTGTGGAATTTGCAAGTGGAGATTTCAGCCGCTTTGAGGTCAATGGTAGAATAGGAAATATCTTCCTATAGAAACTAGACAGAGTGATTCTCAGAAACTCCTTTGTGATGTCTGCGTTCAACTCACAGAGTTTAACCTTCCTTTTCATAGAGCAGTTAGGAAACACTCTGTTTGTAAATTCTGCAAGTGGATATTCAGACCTCCTTGAGGCCTTCGTTGGAAACGGGATTTCTTCATATTCTGCTATACAGAAGAATTCTCAGAAACTTCCTTGTGTTGTGTGTTTTCAACTCACAGAGTTCAACGATCCATTACACAGAGTATACTTGAAACACTCTTTTTGTGGAATTGGCAAGTGGAGATTTCAGCCGCTTTGAGGTCAATGGTAGAAAAGGAAATATCTTCGTATAAAAACTAGACAGAATCATTCTCAGAAACTGCTCTGTGATGTGTGCGTTCAACTCTCAGAGTTTAACTTTTCTTTTCATTCAGCAGTTTGGAAACACTCTGTTTGTAAAGTCTGCACGTGGATATTTTGACCACTTAGAGGCCTTCGTTGGAAAAGGGATTTCTTCATATGATGCTAGACAGAAGAATTCCCAGTAACTTCCTTGTGTTGTGTGCATTCAACTCACAGAGTTCAACGTTCCCTTAGACAGAGCAGATTTGAAACACTCTATTTGTGCAATTTGCAAGTGTAGATTTCAAGCGCTTTAAGGTCAATGGCAGAAAAGGAAATATCTTCGTTTCAAAACTAGACAGAATCATTCCCACAAACTGCGTTGTGATGTGTTCGTTCAACTCACAGAGTTTAACCTTTCTGTTCATAGAGCAGTTAGGAAACACTCTGTAAAGTCTGTAAGTGGATATTCTGACATCTTGTGGCCTTCGTTGGAAACGGGATTTCTTCATATTCTGCTAGACAGAAGAATTCTCAGTAACTTCCTTGTGTTGTGTGTATTCAACTCACAGAGTTGAACGATCCTTTACACAGAGCAGACTTGTAACCCTCTTTTTGTGGAATTTGCAAGTGGAGATTTCAGCCGCTTTGAAGTCAAAGGTAGAAAAGGAAATATCTTCCTATAAAAACTAGACAGAATGATTCTCAGAAAATCTTTTGTGATGTGTGCGTTCAACTCAAAGAGTTTAACTTTTCTTCTCATAGAGCAGTTAGGAAACACTCTGTTTGTAAAGTCTGCAAGTGGATATTCAGACCTCTTTGAGGCCTTCGTTGGAAAAGGGATTTCTTCATATTATGCTAGACAGAAGAATTCTCAGTAACTTCCTTGTGTTGTGTGTGTTCAACACACAGAGTTGAACTTTCATTTACACAGAGCAGATTTGAAACACTCTTTTTGTGGAATTTGCAAGTGGAGATTTCAAGCGCTTTGAGGCCAAAGGCAGAAAAGGAAATATCTTCGTTTCAAAACTAGACAGAATCATTCTCAGAAACTGCTGCGTGATGTGTGCGTTCAACTCTCAGAGTTTAACTTTTCTTTTCATTCAGCGGTTTGGAAACAGTCTGTTTGTAAAGTCTGCACGTGGATATTTTGACCACTTAGAGGCCTTCGTTGGAAACGGGTTTTTTGCATGTAAGGCTAGACAGAAGAATTCCCAGTAACTTCCTTGTGTTGTGTACATTCAACTCACAGAGTTGAACATTCCCTTAGACAGAGCAGATTTGAAACACTCTTTTTGTGCAATTGGCAAATGGAGATTTCAAGCGCTTTAAGGTCAATGGCAGGAAAGGAAATATCTTCGTTTCAAAACTAGACAGAATGATTCTCAGAAACTCCTTTGTGATGTGTGCGTTCAACTCACAGAGTTTAACCTTTCTTTTCATAGAGCAGTTAGGAAACACTCTGTTTGTAAAGTCTGCAAGTGGATATTCACACCTCTTTGAGGCCTTCGTTGGAAACGGGATTTCTTCATATTATGCTAGACAGAAGAATTCTCAGTAACTTCCTTGTGTTGTCTGTATTCAACTCACAGAGTTGAACGATCCTTTACACAGAGCAGACTTGAAACACTCTTTTTGTGGAATTTGCAAGTGGAGATTTCAGCCGCTTTGAGGTCAATGGTAGAATAGGAAATATCTTCCTATAGAAACTAGACAGAATGATTCTCAGAAACTCCTTTGTGATGTGTGCGTTCAAGTCACAGAGTTTAACCTTTCTTTTCATAGAGCAGTTAGGAAACACTCTGTTTGTAAAGTCTGCAAGTGGATATTCAGACCTCCTTGAGGCTTTCGTTGGAAACGGGATTTCTTCATATTCTGCTAGACAGAAGAATTCTCAGTAACTTCCTTTTGTTGTGTGTATTCAACTGACAGAGTTGAACTTTCATTTACACAGAGCAGATTTGAAACACTCTTTTTGTGGTATTTGCAAGTGGAGATTTCAGCCGCTTTGATGTCAATGATAGAAAAGGAAATATCTTCATATAAAAATTAGACAGAATGATTCTCAGAAACTTCTTTGTGATGTGTGCGTTCAACTCACAGAGTTTTACCTTTCTTTTCATAGAGCAGTTAGGAAACACTCTGTTTGTAAAGTCTGCAAGTGGATATTCAGACCTCTTTGAGGCCTTCGTTGGAAACGGGATTTCTTCATACTATGCTAGACAGAAGATTTCCCAGTAACTTCCTTGTGTTGTGTGTGTTCAACTCACAGAGTTGAACTTTCATTTACACAGAGCAGATTTGAAACACTCTTTTTGTGGAATTTGCAAATGGAGATTTCAAGCGCTTTGAGGCCAAAGGCAGAAAAGGAAATGCCTTCGTTTCAAAACTAGACAGAATCATTCTCAGAAACTGCTCTGCGATGTGTGCGTTCAACTCTCAGAGTTTAACTTTTCTTTCCATTCAGCAGTTTGGAAACACTCTGGTTGTAAAGTCTGCACGTGGATAACTTGACCACTTAGAGGCCTTCGTTGGAAACGGGTTTTTTTCCTGTAAGGCTAGACAGAAGAATTCCCAGTAACTTCCTTGTGTTGTGTGCATTCAACTCACAGAGATGAACGTTCCCTTAGACAGAGCAGATTTGAAACATTCTATTTGTGCAATTTGCAAGTGTAGATTTCAAGCGCTTTAAGGTCAATGGCAGAAAAGGAAAAATCTTCGTTTCAAAACTAGACAGAATGATTCTCAGAAAATCTTTTGTGATGTGTGCGTTCAACTCACAGAGTTTAACTTTTCTTCTCATAGAGCAGTTAGGAATCACTCTGTTTGTAAACTCTGCAAGTGGATATTCAGACCTCTTTGAGGCCTTCGTTGGAAACGGGATTTCTTCACATTCTGCTAGACAGAAGAATTCTCAGTAACTTCCTTGTGTTGTGTGTATTCAACTCACAGAGTTGAACAATCCTTTACACAGAGCAGACTTGAAACACTCTTTTTGTGGAATTTGCAAGTGGAGATTTCAGGCGCTTTGAGGTCAATGGTAGAAAAGGAAACATCTCCGTATAAAGACTAGACAGAATGATTCTCAGAAACTCCTTTGTGTTGTGTGCGTTCAACTCACAGAGTTTAACCTTTCTTTTCATAGAGCAGTTAGGAAACACTCTGTTTGTAAAGTCTGCAAGTGGATATTCAGACATCTTTGAGGCTTTCGTTGGAAACGGGATTTCTTCATATTCTGCTAGACAGAAGAATTCTCAGTAACTTCCTTGTGTTGTGTGTATTCAACTCACAGAGTTGAACGATCCTTTACATAGAGCAGTCTTGAAACGCTCTTTTTGTGGAATTTGCAAGTGGAGATTTCAGCCGCTTTGAGGTCAATAGTAGAAAAGGAAATATCTTCGTAGAAAAACTAGACAGAATGATTCTCAGAAACTCCTTTGTGATGTGTGCGTTCAACACACAGAGTTTAACCTTTCTTTTCATAGAGCAGTTCGGAAACACTCTGTTTGTAAAGTCTGCAAGTGGATATTCAGACTTCTTTGAGGCCTTCGTTGGAAACGGGATTTCTTCTTATTCTGCTAGACAGAAGAATTCTCAGTAACTTCCTTGTGTTGTGTGTATTCAACTCACAGAGTTGAATGATCCTTTACACAGAGCAGACTTGAAACTCTCTTTTTCTGGAATTTGCAAGTGGAGATTTCAGCCGCTTTGAGGTCAATGGTAGAAAAGTAAATATCTTCGTATAAAGACTAGACAGAATGATTCTCAGAAACTCCTTTGTGATGTGTGCGTTCAACTCACAGAGTTTAACTTTTCTTTTCATAGAGCAGTTAGGAAACACTCTGTTTGTAAAGTCTGCAAGTGGATATTCAGACCTCTTTGAAGCCTTCGTTGGAAACGGGATTTCTTCATATTATGCTAGACAGAAGAATTCTCAGTAACTTCCTTGTGTTGTGTGTATTCAACTGACAGAGTTGAACTTTCATTTTGAGAGAGCAGATTTGAAACACTGTTTTTGTGGAATTTGCAAGTGGAGATTTCAAGCGCTTTTGGGCCAAAGGCAGAAAAGGAAATATCTTCGTATAAAAACTAGACAGAATCATTCTCAGAAACTGCTGCGTGATGTGTGCGTTCAACTCTCAGAGTTTAACTTTTCTTTTCATTCAGCGGTTTGGAAACACTCTGTTTGTAAAGTCTGCAAGTGGATATTTTGACCACTTAGAGGCCTTCGTTGGAAACGGGATTTTTTCATGTAAGGCTAGACAGAAGAATTCCCAGTAACTTCCTTGTGTTGTGTGCATTCAACTCACAGAGTTGAACGTTCCCTTAGACAGAGCAGATTTGAAACACTCTATTTGTGCAATTTGCAAGTGTAGATTTCAAGCGCATTAAGGTCAATGGCAGAAAAGGAAATATCTTCGTTTCAAAATTAGACAGAATCATTCCCACAAACTGCGTTGTGATGTGTTCGTTCAACTCACAGAGTTTAACCTTTCCGTTCATAGAGCAGTTAGGAAACACTCTGTTTGTAAAGTCTGTAAGAGGATATTCTGACATCTTGTGGCCTTCGTTGGAAACGGGATTTCTTCATATTCTGCTAGACAGAAGAATTCTCAGTAACTTCCTTCTGTTGTGTGTATTCAACTCACAGAGTTCAACGATCCTTTACACAGAGCAGACTTGAAACACTCTTTTTGTGGAATTTGCAAGTGGAGATTTCAGCCGCTTTGAGGTCAATGGTAGAAAAGGAAATATCTTCGTATAAAAACTAGACAGAATGATTCTCAGAAACTTCTTTGTGATGTGTGTGTTCAACTCACAGAGTTTAACCTTTCTTTTCATAGAGCAGTTAGGAAACACTGTGTTTTTAAACTCTGCAAGTGGATATTCAGACCTATTTGAGGCCTTCGTTGGAAACGGGATTTCTTCATACTGTGCTAGACAGAAGAATTCTCAGTAACTTCCTTGTGTTGTGTGTATTCAACTCACAGAGTTGAACGATCCTTTACACAGAGCAGACTTGAAACACTCTTTTTGTGGAATTTGCAAGTGGAGATTTCAAGCGCTTTGAGGCCAAAGGCAGAAAAGGAAATATCTTCGTTTAAAAACTAGACAGAATCATTCTCAGAAACTGCTCTGCGATGTGTGCGTTCAACTCTCAGAGTTTAACTTTTCTTTTCATTCAGCAGTTTGGAAACACTCTGTTTGTAAAGTCTGCACGTGGATATTTTGACCACTTAGAGGCCTTCGTTGGAAACGGGTGTTTTTCCTGTAAGGCTAGACAGAAGAATTCCCAGTAACTTCCTTGTTTTGTGTACATTCAACTCACAGAGTTGAACGTTCCCTTAGATAGAGCAGATTTGAAACACTCTTTTTGTGCAATTGGCAAGTGGTGATTTCAACCGCTTTGAGGTCAATGGTAGAAAAGGAAATATCTTCGTATAAAAACTAGACAGAATGATTCCCACAAACTGCGTTGTGATGTGTTCGTACAACTCACAGAGTTTAACCTTTCTGTTCATAGAGCAGTTAGGAAACACTCTGTTTGTAAAGTCTGTAAGTGGATATTCAGAACTCTTTGAGGTCTTCGTTGGAAACGGGATTTCTTCATATTCTGCTAGACAGAAGAATTCTCAGTAACTTCCTTGTGTTGTGTGTATTCTACTCACAGAGTTGAACGATCCTTTACACAGAGCAGTCTTGAAACACTCTTTTTGTGGAATTTGCAAGTGGAGATTTCAGCCGCTTTGAGGTCAATAGTAGAAAAGGAAATATCTTCGTAGAAAAACTAGACAGAATGATTCTCAGAAACTCCTTTGTGACGTGTGCGTTCAACTCACAGAGTTTAACCTTTCTTTTCATAGAGCAGTTAGGAAACACTCTGTTTGTAAAGTCTGCAAGTGGATATTCAGACCTCCTTGAGGCCTTCGTTGGAAACGGGATTTCTTCATATTCTGCTAGACAGAAGAATTCCCAGTAACTTCTTTGTGTTGTGTGTGTTCAACTCACAGAGTTGAACTTTCATTTACACAGAGCAGATTTGAAACACTCTTTTTGTGGAATTTGCAAGTGGAGATTTCAAGCGCTTTGAGGCCAAAGGCAGAAAAGGAAATATCTTCGTATAAAAACTAGACAGAATCATTCTCAGAAACTGCTCTGCGATGTGTGCGTTCAACTCTCAGAGTTTAACTTTTCTTTTCATTCAGCAGTTTGGAAACACTCTGTTTGTAAAGTCTGCACGTGGATATTTTGAACACTTAGAGGCCTTCGTTGGAAACGGGTTTTTTTCCTGTAAGGCTAGACAGAAGAATTCCCAGTAACTTCCTTGTGTTGTGTGCATTCAACTCACAGAGTTGAACGTTCCCTTAGACAGAGCAGATTTGAAACACTCTATTTGTTCAATTTGCAAGTGTAGATTTCAAGCGCTTTAAGGTCAATGGCAGAAAAGGAAATATCTTCGTTTCAAAACTAGACAGAATCATTCCCACAAACAGCGTTGTGATGTGTTCGTTCAACTCACAGAGTTTAACCTTTCTGTTCAGAGAGCAGTTAGGAAACACTCTGTTTGTAAAGTCTGAAAGTGGATATTCAGACATCTTGTGGCCTTCGTTGGAAACGGGATTTCTTCATATTCTGCTAGACAGAAGAATTCTCACTAACTTCCTTGTGTTGTGTGTATTCAACTCACAGAGTTGAACGATCCTTTACACAGAGCAGACTTGAAACACTCTTTTTGTGGAATTTGCAAGTGGAGATTTCAGCCGCTTTGAGGTCAATAGTAGAAAAGGAAATATCTTCGTAGAAAAACTAGACAGAATGATTCTCAGAAACTCCTTTGTGATGTGTGTGTTCAACTCACAGAGTTTAACCTTTCTTTTCATAGAGCAGTTAGGAAACACTCTGTTTGTAAAGTCTGCAAGTGGATATTCAGACCTCGTTTGAGGCCTTCGTTGGAAACTGGATTTCTTCATATTCTGCTAGACAGAAGAATTCTCAGTAACTTCCTTGTGTTGTGTGTATTCAACTGACAGAGTTGAACTTTCATTTAGAGAGAGCTGATTTGAAACACTGTTTTTGTGGAATTTGCAAGTGGAGATTTCAAGCGCTTTGGGGCCAAAGGCAGAAAAGGAAATACCTTCGTATAAAAACTAGACAGAATCATTCTCAGAAACTGCTCTGCGATGTGTGTGTTCAACTCTCAGAGTTTAACTTTTCTTTTCATTCAGCAGTTTGGAAACACTCTGTTTGTAAAGTCTGCACGTGGATATTTTGACCACTTAGAGGCCTTCGTTGGAAACGGGTTTTTTTCATGTAAGGCTATACAGAAGAATTCCCAGTAACTTCCTTGTGTTGTGTACATTCAACTCACAGAGTTGAACGTTCCCTTAGACAGAGCAGATTTGAAATACTCTTTTTGTGCAATTGGCAAGTGGAGATTTCAAGCGCTTTAAGGTCAATGGCAGAAAAGGAAATATCTTCGTTTCAAAACTAGACAGAATCATTCCCACAAACTGCGTTGTGATGTGTTCGTTCAACTCACAGAGTTTAACCTTTCTGTTCATGGAGCAGTTAGGAAACACTCTGTTTGTAAAGTCTGTAAGTGGATATTCTGACATCTTGTGGCCTTCGTTGGAAACGGGATTTCTTCATATTCTGCTAGACGGAAGAATTCTCAGTAACTTCCTTGTGTTGTGTGTATTCAACTCACAGAGTTGAACGATCCTTTACACAGAGCAGACTTGAAACACCCTTTTTGTGGAATTTGCAAGTGGAGATTTCAGCCGCTTTGAGGTCAATAGTAGAAAAGGAAATATCTTCGTAGAAAAACTAGACAGAATGATTCTCAGAAACTCCTTAGTGATGTGTGCGTTCAACTCACAGAGTTTAACTTTTCTTTTCATAGAGCAGTTAGGAAACACTCTGTTTGTAAAGTCTGCAAGTGGATATTCAGACCTCTTTGAGGCCTTCGTTGGAAACGGGATTTCTTCATATTCTGCTAGACAGAAGAATTCTCAGTAACTTCCTTGTGTTGTGTGTATTCAACTCACAGAGTTGAACGATCCTTTACACAGAGCAATCTTGAAACATTCTTTTTGTGGAATTTGCAAGTGGAGATTTCAGCCGCTTTGAGGTCAATGGTAGAATAGGAAATATCTTCCTATAGAAACTAGACAGAATCATTCTCAGAAACTGCTCTGCGATGTGTGCGTTCAACTCTCAGAGTTTAACTTTTCTTTTCATTCAGCAGTTTGGAAACACTCTGTTTGTAAAGTCTGCACGTGGATATTTTGACCACTTAGAGGCCTTCGTTGGAAACGGGTTTTCTTCCTGTAAGGCTAGACAGAAGAATTCCCAGTAACTTCCTTGTGTTGTGTACATTCAACTCACAGAGTTGAACGTTCCCTTAGACAGAGCAGATTTGAAACACTCTTTTTGTGCAATTGGCAAGTGGTGATTTCAGCTGCTTTGGGGTCAATGGTAGAAAAGGGAATATCTTCGTATAAAAACTAGACAGAATGATTCTCAGAAACTCCTTTGTGATGTGTGCGTTCAACTCACAGAGTTTAACCTTTCTTTTCATAGAGCAGTTAGGAAACACTCTGTTTGTAAAGTCTGCAAGTGGATATTCAGACCTCTTTGAGGCCTTCGTTGGAAACGGGATTTCTTCATATTCTACTAGACAGAAGAATTCTCAGTAACTTCCTTGTGTTGTGTGTATTCAACTCACAGAGTTGAACGATCCTTTACACAGAGCAAACTTGAAACACTCTTCTTGTGGAATTTGCAAGTGGAGATTTCAGCCGCTTTGAGGTCAATTGTAGAATAGGAAATATCTTCCTATAGAAACTAGACAGAATGATTCTCAGAAACTCCCTTGTGATGTGTGCGTTCAACTCACAGAGTTTTAGCTTTCTTTTCATAGAGCAGTTAGGAAACACTCTGTTTGTAATGTCTGCAAGTGGATATTCAGACCTCTTTGAGGCCTTCATTGGAAACGGGATTTCTTCATATTATGCTAGACACAAGAATTCTCAGTAACTTGCCTTGTGTTGTGTGTATTCAACTCACAGAGTTGAACGATCCTTTACACAGAGCAGACTTGAAACACTCTTTTTGTGGAATTTGCAAGTGGAGATTTCAGCCGCTTTGAGGTCAATGGTAGAATAGGAAATATCTTCCTATTGAAACTAGACAGAATGATTCTCAGAAACGCCTTTGTGATGTGTGTGTTCAACTCACAGAGTTTAACCTTTCTTTTCATAGAGCAGTTAGGAAACACTCTGTTGGTAAAGTCTGCAAGTGGATATTCAGACCTCTTTGAGGCCTTCGTTGGAAACGGGATTTCTTCATACTGTGCTAGACAGAAGAATTCTCAGTAACTTCCTTGTGTTGTGTGTATTCAACTCACAGAGTTGAACGATCCTTTACACAGAGCGGAATTGAAACACTCTTTTTGTGTAATTTGCAAGTGGAGATTTCAGCCGCGTTGAGGTCAATGGTAGAAAAGGAAATCTCTTCGTATAAAAACTAGACAGAATCACTCTCAGAAACTGCTCTGCGATGTGTGCGTTCAACTCTCAGAGTTTAACTTTTCTTTTCATTCAGCAGTTTGGAAACACTCTGTTTGTAAAGTCTGCACGTGGATATTTTGACCTCTCAGAGGTCTTCGTTGGAAACGGGTTTTTTTCCTGTAAGGCTAGACAGAAGAATTCCCAGTAACTTCCTTGTGTTGTGTACATTCAACTCACAGAGTTGAACGTTCCCTTAGACAGAGCAGATTTGAAACACTCTTTTTGTGCAATTGGCAAATGGAGATTTCAAGCGCTTTAAGGTCAATGGCAGGAAAGGAAATATCTTCGTTTCAAAACTAGACAGAATGATTCTCATAAACTCCTTTGTGATGTGTGCATTCAACTCACGGAGTTTCACCTTTCTTTTCATAGAGCAGTTAGGAAACACTCTGTTTGTAAAGTCTGTAAGTGGATATTCTGACATCTTGTGGCCTTCGTTGGAAACGGGATTTCTTCATATTCTGCTAGACAGAAGAATTCTCAGTAACTTCCTTGTGTTGTGTGTATTCAACTCACAGAGTTGAACGATCCTTTACACAGAGCATACTTGAAACACTCTTCTTGTGGAATTTGCAAATGGAGATTTCAGCCGCTTTGAGGTCCATGGTAGAATAGGAAATATCTTCCTATAGAAACTAGACAGAATGATTCTCAGAAACTCCTTTGTGATGTCTGCGTTCAACTCACAGAGTTTAACCTTTCTTTTCATAGAGCAGTTAGGAAACACTCTGTTTGTAAAGTCTGGAAGTGGATATTCAGACCTCCTTGAGGCCTTCGTTGGAAACGGGATTTCTTCATATTATGCTAGATAGAAGAATTCTCAGTAACTTCCTTGTGTTGTGTGTATTCAACTGACAGAGTTGAACTTTCATTTAGAGAGAGCAGATTTGAAACACTGTTTTTGTGGAATTTGCAAGTGGAGATTTCAAGCGCTTTGGGGCCAAAGGCAGAAAAAGAAATATCTTCGTATAAAAACTAGACAGAATCATTCTCAGAAACTGCTCTGTGATGTGTGCGTTCAACTCTCAGAGTTTAACTTTTCTTTTCATTCAGCAGTTTGGAAACAATCTGTTTGTAAAGTCTGCACGTGGATATTTTGACCACTTAGAGGCCTTCGTTGAAAACGGGTTTCTTTCATGTAAGGGGAGACAGAAGAATTCCCAGTAACTTCCTTGTGTTGTGTGCATTCAACTCACAGAGTTGAACGTTCCCTTAGACAGAGCAGATTTGAAACACTCTATTTGTGCATTTTGCAAGTGTAGATTTCAAGCGCTTTAAGGTCAATGGCAGAAAAGGAAATATCTTCGTTTCAAAACTAGACAGAATCATTCCCACAAACTGCGTTGTGATGTGTTCGTTCAACTCACAGAGTTTAACCTTTCTTTTCATAGAGCAGTTAGGAAAAATTCTGTTTGTAAATTCTGTAAGTGGATATTCTGTAATCTTGTGGCCTTCGTTGGAAACGGGCTTTCTTCATATTCTGCTAGACAGAAGAATTCTCAGTAACTTCCTTGTGTTGTGTGTATTCAACTCACAGAGTTGAACGATCCTTTACACAGAGCAGACTTGAAACACTCTTTTTGTGGAATTTGCAAGTGGAGATTTCAGCCGCGTTGAGGTCAATGGTATAAAAGGAAATATCTTCGTATAAAAACTAGACAGAATGATTCTCAGAAACTCCTTTGTGATGTGTGCGTTCAACTCACAGAGTTTAACCTTTCTTTTCATAGAGCAGTTAGGCAACACTCTGTTTGTAAACTCTGCAAGTGGATATTCAGACCTCTTTGAGGCCTTCGATGGAAACGGGATTTCTTCATACTATGCTGGAGAGAAGAATTCTCAGTAACTTCCTTGTGTTGTGTGTATTCAACTCACAGAGTTGAACGATCCTTTACACAGAGCAGACTTGAAACACTCTTTTTGTGGAATTTGCAAGTGGAGATTTCAGCCGCTTTGAGGTCAATGGAAGAAAAGGAAATATCTTCGTATAAAAACTAGACAGAATCATTCTCAGAAACTGCTCTGCGATGTGTGCGTTCAACTCTCAGAGTTTAACTTTTCTTTTCATTCAGCAGTGTGGAAACACTCTGTTTGTAAAGTCTGCACGTGGATATTTTGACCACTTAGAGGCCTTCGTTGGAAAAGGGTTTTTTTCCTGTAAGGCTAGACAGAAGAATTCCCAGTAACTTCCCTTGTGTTGTGTACATTCAACTCACAGAGTTGAACGTTCCCTTAGACAGAGCAGATTTGAAACACTCTTTTTGTGCAATTGGCAAGTGGAGATTACAAGCGCTTTAAGGTCAATGGCAGAAAAGGAAATATCTTCGTTTCAAAACTAGACAGAATCATTCCCACAAACTGCGTTGTGATGTGTTCGTTCAACTCACAGAGTTTAACCTTTCTATTCATAGAGCAGTTAGGAAACACTCTGTTTGTAAAGTCTGTAAGTGGATATTCTGACATCTTGTGGCATTTGTTGGAAACGGGATTTCTTCATATTCTGCTAGACAGAATAATTCTCAGTAACTTCCTTGTGTTGCGTGTATTCAACTCACAGAGTTGAACGATCCTTTACAGAGAGCAGACTTGAAACACTCTTTTTGTGGAATTTGCAAGTGGAGATTTCAGCCGCTTTGAGGTCAATGATAGAATAGGAAATATCTTCCTATAGAAACTAGACAGAATGATTCTCAGAAACTCCTTTGTGTTGTGAGCGTTCAACTCACAGAGTTTAACCTTTCTTTTCATAGAGCAGTTAGGAAACACTCTGTTTATAAAGTCTGCAAGTGGATATTCAGACCCCTTTGAGGCCTTCGTTGGAAACGGGATTTCTTCATATTATGCTAGACAGAAGAATTCTCAGTAACTTCCTTGTGTTGTGTGTATTCAACTGACAGAGTTGAACTTTCATGTAGAGAGAGCAGATTTGAAACACTGTTTTTGTGGAATTTGCAAGTGGAGATTTCAAGCGCTTTGGGGCCAAAGGCAGAAAAGGAAATATCTTCGTATAAAACTAGACAGAATCATTCTCAGAAACTGCTCTGTGATGTGTGCGTTCAACTCTCAGAGTTTAACTTTTCTTTTCATTCAGCAGTTTGGAAACACTCTGTTTGTAAAGTCTGCACGTGGATAATTTGACCACTTAGAGGCCTTCGTTGGAAACGGGTTTTTTTCATGTAAGGCTAGACAGAAGAATTCCCAGTAACTTCCTTGTGTTGTGTGCATTCAACTCACAGAGTTGAACGTTCCCTTAGACAGAGCAGATTTGAAACACTCTATTTGTGCAATTTCCAAGTGTAGTTTTCAAGCTCTTTGAGGTCAACGGCAGAAAAGGAAATATCTTCGTTTCAAAACTAGACAGAATCATTCCCACAAACTGCGTTGTGATGTGTTCGTTCAACTCACAGAGATTAACCTTTCTTTTCATAGAGCAGTTAGGAAACACTCTGTTTGTAAATTCTGTAAGTGGATATTCTGACATCTTGTGGCCTTTGTTGGAAACGGGATTTCTTCATATTCTGCTAGACACAAGAATTCTCAGTAACTTCCTTGTGTTGTGTGTATTCAACTCACAGAGTTGAACGATCCTTTACAGAGGGCAGACTTGAAACACTCTTTTTGTGGAATTTGCAAGTGGAGATTTCAGCCGTTTTGAGGTCAATGGTAGAAAAGGAAATATCTTCGTATAAAGACTAGACAGAATGATTCTCAGAAACTCCTTTGTGATGTGTGCGTTCAACTCACAGAGTTTAACTTTTCTTTTCATAGAGCAGTTAGGAAACACTCTGTTTGTAAAGTCTGCAAGTGGATATTCAGACCTCTTTGAGGCCTTCGATAGAAACGGGATTTCTTCATATTCTGCTAGACAGAGGAATTCTCAGTAACTTCTTTGTGTTGTGTGTATTCAACTCACAGAGTTGAACGATCCTTTACACAGAGCAGACTTGAAACACTCTTTTTGTGGAATTTGCAATTGGAGATTTCAGCCGCTTTGAGTTCAAGGGTAGAATAGGAAATATCTTCCTATAGAAACTAGACAGAATGATTCTCAGAAACTCCTTTGTGATGTGTGCGTTCAACTCACAGAGTTCAACCTTTCTTTTCATAGAGCAGTTGGGAAACACTCTGTTTGTAAAGTCTGCAAGTGGATATTCAGACTTCTTTGAGACCTTCGTTGGAAGCGGGATTTCTTCATATTCTGCTAGACAGAATAATTCTCAGTAACTTCCTTGTGTTGTGTGTATTCAACTCACAGAGTTGAACGATCCTTTACACAGAGCAGACTTGAAACATTCTTTCTGTGGAATTTGCAAGTGGAGATTTCAGCCGCTTTGAGGTCAATGGTAGAATAGGAAATATTTTCCTATAGAAACTAGACAGAATGATTCTCAGAAACTCCTTTGTGATGTGTGCGTTCAACTCACAGAGTTTAACTTTTCTTTTCATAGAGCAGTTAGGAAACACTCTGTTTGTAAAGTCTGCAAGTGGATATTCAGACCTCTTTGAGGCCTTCGTTGGAAACGGGATTTCCTCATATTATGCTAGACAGAAGAATTCTCAGTAACTTCCTTGTGTTGTGTGTATTCAACTGACAGAGTTGAACTTTCATTTAGAGAGAGCAGATTTGAAACACTGTTTTTGTGGAATTTGCAAGTGGAGATTTCATGCGCTTTGGGGCCAAAGGCAGAAAAGGAAATATCTTCGTATAAAAACTAGACAGAATCATTCTCAGAAAGTGCTCTGCGATGTGTGCGTTCAACTCTCAGAGTTTAACTTTGCTTTTCATTCAGCAGTTTGGAAACACTCTGTTTGTAAAGTCTGCACGTGGATAATTTGACCACTTAGAGGCCTTCGTTGGAAACGGGTTTTTTTCATGTAAGGCTAGACAGAAGAATTCCCAGTAACTTCCTTGTGTTGTGTACATTCAACTCACAGAGTTGAACGTTCCCTTAGACAGAGCAGATTTGAAACACTCTTTTTGTGCAATTGGCAAATGGAGATTTCAAGCGCTTTAAGGTCAATGGCAGAAAAGGAAATATATTCGTTTCAAAACTAGACAGAATCATTCCCACAAACTGCGTTGTGATGTGTTCGTTCAACTCACAGAGTTTAACGTTTCCGTTCATAGAGCAGTTAGGAAACACACTGTTTGTAAAGTCTGTAAGTGGATATTCTGACATCTTGTGGCCTTCGTTGGAAACGGGATTTCTTCATATTCTGCTAGACAGAAGAATTCTCAGTAACTTCCTTGTGTTGTGTGTATTCAACTCACAGAGTTGAACGATCCTTTACACAGAGCAGACTTGAAACACTCTTTCTGTGGAATTTGCAAGTGGAGATTTCAGCCGCTTTGAGGTCAATAGTAGAAAAGGAAATGTCTTCGTAGAAAAACTAGACAGAGTGATTCTCAGAAACTCCTTTGTGATGTCTGCGTTTAACTCACAGAGTTTAACCTTTCTTTTCATAGAGCAGTTAGGAAACACTCTGTTTGTAAAGTCTGCAAGTGGATATTCAGACCTCCTTGAGGCCTTCGTTGGAAACGGGATTTCTCCATATTATGCTGGACAGAAGAATTCTCAGTAACTTTCTTGTGTTGTGTGTATTCAACTGACAGAGTTGAACTTTCATTTAGAGAGACCAGATTTGAAACACTGTTTTTGTGGAATTTGCAAGTGGAGATTTCAAGCGCTTTGGGGCCAAAGGCAGAAAAGGAAATATCTTCGTATAAAAACTAGACAGAATCATTCTCAGAAACTGCTGCGTGATGTGTGCGTTCACCTCTCAGAGTTTAACTTTTCTTTTCATTCAGCGGTTTGGAAACACTCTGTTTGTAAAGTCTGCACGTGGAAATTTTGACCACTTAGAGGCCTTCGTTGGAAACGGGTTTTTTTCATGTAAGGCTAGACAGAAGCAATTCCCAGGAACTTCCTTGTGTTGTGTACATTCAACTCACAGCAGTTGAACGTTCCCTTAGACAGAGCAGATTTGAAACACTCTTTTTGTGCAATTGGCAAGTGGTGATTTCAGCCGCTTTGAGGTCAATGGTAGAAAAGGAAATATCTTCGTATAAAAACTAGACAGAATCATTCCCACAAACTGCGTTGTGATGTGTTCGTTCAACTCACAGAGTTTAACCTTTCTGTTCATAGAGCAGTTAGGAAACACTCTGTTTGTAAAGTCTGCCAGTGGATATTCAGACCTCCTTGAGGCCTTCGTTGGAAACGGGATTTCTTCATATTCTGCTAGACAGAAGAATTCTCAGAATCTTCCTTGTGTTGTGTGTATTCAACTCACACAGTTGAACGATGGTTTACACAGAGCAGATTTGAAACACTCTTTTTGTGGAATTTGCAAGTGGAGATTTCAGCCGCTTTGAGGTCAATGGTAGAAAAGGAAATATCTTCGTATAACAACTAGACAGAATGATTCTCATAAACTCCTTTGGGATGTGTGCGTTCAACTCACAGAGTTTAACCTTTCTTTTCATAGAGCAGTTAGGAAACACTCTGTTTGTAAAGTCTGCAAGTGGATATTCAGACCTCTTTGAGGCCTTCGTTGGAAACGGGATTTCTTCATATTCTGCTAGACAGAAGAATTCCCAGTAACTTCCATGTGTTGTGTGTGTTCAACTCACAGAGTTGAACTTTCATTTACACAGAGCAGATTTGAAACACTCTTTTTGTGGAATTTGCAAATGGAGATTTCAAGCGCTTTGAGGCCAGAGGCAGAAAAGGAAATATCTTCGTATAAAAACTAGACAGAATCACTCTCAGAAACTGCTCTGTGATGTGTGCGTTCAACTCTCAGAGTTTAACTTTTCTTTTCATTCAGCAGTTTGGAAACACTCTGTTTGTAAAGTCTGCACGTGGATATTTTGACCACTTAGAGGCCTTCTTTGGAAACGGGTTTTTTTCATGTAAGGATAGACAGAAGAATTCCCAGTAACTTCCTTGTGTTGTGTGCATTCAACTCACAGAGATGAACGTTCCCTTAGACAGAGCAGATTTGAAACACTCTATTTGTGCAATTTGCAAGTGTAGATTTCAAGGGCTTTAAGGTCGATGGCAGAAAAGGAAATATCTTCGTTTCAAAACTAGACAGAATGATTCTCAGAAACTCCTTTGTGATGTGTGCGTTCAACTCACAGAGTTTAACCTTTCTTTTCATAGAGCAGTTAGGAAACACTCTGTTTGTAAAGTCTGCAAGTGGATATTCAGACATCTTTGAGGCCTTCTTTGGAAACGGGATTTCTTCATGTTCTGCTAGACAGAAGAATTCTCAGAAACTTCCTTGTGTTGTGTGTTTTCAACTCACAGAGTTGAACGATGCTTTACACAGAGTAGACTTGAAACACTCTTTTTGTGTAATTTGCAAGTGGAGATTTCAGCCGCTTTGAGAGTCAATGGTAGAAAAGGAAATATCTTCGTATAAAAACTAGGCAGAATGATTCTAAGAAACTTCTTTGTGATGTGTGCGTTCAACTCACAGAGTTTAACCTTTCTTTTCATAGAGCAGTTAGGAAACACTCTGTTTGTAAACTCTGCAAGTGGATATTCAGACCTCTTTGAGGCCTTCGTTGGAAACGGGATTTCTCCATACTGTGCGAGACAGAAGAATTCTCGGTAACTTCCTTGTGTTGTGTGTATTCAACTGACAGAGTTGAAATTTCATTTAGAGAGAGCAGATTTGAAACACTGTTTTTGTGGAATATGCAAGTGGAGATTTCAAGCGCTTTGGGGCCAAGGGCAGAAAAGGAAATATCTTCGTATAAAAACTAGACAGAATCATTCTCAGAAACTGCTGCGTGATGTGTGCGTTCAACTCTCAGAGTTTAACTTTTCTTTTCATTCAGCGGTTTGGAAACACTCTGTTTGTAAAGTCTGCACGTGGATATTTTGACCACTTAGAGGCCTTCGTTGGAAACGGGTTTTTTTTCATGTAAGGCTAGACAGAAGAATTCCCAGTAACTTCCTTGTGTTGTGTACATTCAACTCACAGAGTTGAACGTTCCCTTAGACAGAGCAGATTTGAAACACTCTTTTTGTGCAATTGGCAAGTGGAGATTTCAAGCGCTTTGAGGTCAATGGCAGAAAAGGAAATATCTTCGTTTCAAAACTAGACAGAATCATTCCCACAAACTGCATTGTGATGTGTTCGTTCAACTCACAGAGTTTAACCTTTCTTTTCATAGAGCAGTTAGGAAACAGTCTGTTTGTAAATTCTGTAAGTGGATATTCTGACATCTTGTGGCCTTCGTTGGAAACGGGATTTCTTCATATTCTGCTAGACAGAAGAATTCTCAGTAACTTCCTTGTGTTGTGTGTATTCAACTCACGGAGTTGAACGATCCTTTACACAGAGCAGACTTGAAACACTCTTTTTGTGGAATTTGCAAGTGGAGATTTCAGCCGCTTTGAGGTCTATAGTAGAAAAGGAAATATCTTCATAGAAAAACTAGACAGAATGATTCTCAGAAACTCCTTTGTGATCTGTGCGTTCAACTCACAGAGTTTAACCTTTCTTTTCATAGAGCAGTTAGGAAACACTCTGCTTGTAAAGTCTGCAAGTGGATATTCAGCCCTCTTTGAGGCCTTCGTTGGAAACGGGTTTTTTTCATATAAGGCTAGACAGAAGAATTCTCAGTAACTTCCTTGTGTTGTGTGTATTCAACTCACAGAGTTGAACGATCCTTTACACATAGCAGACTTGAAACACTCTTTTTGTGGAATTTGCAAGTGGAGATTTCAGCCGCTATGGGGTCAATGGTAGAATAGGAAATATCTTCCTATAGAAACTAGACAGAATGATTCTCAGAAACTCCTTTGTGATGTGTGCGTTCAACTCACAGAATTTAACATTTCCTTTCATAGAGCAGTTAGGAAACACTCTGTTTGTAAAGTCTGCAAGTGGATATTCAGACCTCTTTGAGGCCTTCGTTGGAAACGGGATTTCTTCATATTCTGCTAGACAGAAGAATTCCCAGTAACTTCCTTGTGTTGTGTGTGTTCAACTCACAGAGTTGAACTTTCATTTACACAGAGCAGATTTGAAACACTCTTTTTGTGGAATTTGCAAGTGGAGATTTCATGCGCTTTGAGGCCAAAGGCAGAAAAGGAAATATCTTCGTATAAAAACTAGACAGAATCATTCTCAGAAACTGCTCTGCGATGTGTGCGTTCAACTCTCACAGTTTAACTTTTCTTTTCATTCAGCAGTTTGGAAACACTCTGTTTGTAAAGTCTGCACGTGGATAATTTGACCACTTAGAGGCCTTCGTTGGAAACGGGTTTTTTTCATGTAAGGCTAGACAGAAGAATTCCCAGTAACTTCCTTGTGTTGTGTGCATTCAACTCACAGAGTTCAACGTTCCCTTAGACAGAGCAGATTTGAAACACTCTATTTGTGCAATTTGCAAGTGTAGATTTCAAGCGCTTTAAGGTCAACGGCAGAAAAGGAAATATCTTCGTTTCAAAACTAGACAGAATCATTCCCACAAACTGCGTTGTGATGTGTTAGTTCAACTCACAGAGTTTAACCTTTCTTTTCATAGAGCAGTTAGGAAACAGTCTGTTTGTCAATTCTGTAAGTGGATATTCTGACATCTTGTGGCCTTCGTTGGAAACGGGATTTCTTCATATTCTGCTAGACAGAAGAATTCTCAGTAACTTCCTTGTGTTGTGTGTATTCAACTCACAGAGTTGAACGATCCTTTACACAGAGCAGACTTGAAACACTCTTTTTGTGGATTTGCAAGTGGAGATTTCAGCCGCTTTGAGGTCAATGGTAGAATAGTAAATATCTTCCTGTAGAAACAAGAGAGAATGATTCTCAGAAACTCCTTTGTGATGTGTGCGTTCAACTCACAGAGTTTAACCTTTCTTTTCATAGAGCAGTTAGGAAACACTCTGTTTGTAAAGTCTGCAAGTGGATATTCAGACCTCTTTGAGGCCTTCGTTGGAAACGGGAATTCTTCATATTATGCTAGACAGAAGAATTCCCAGTAACTTCCTTGTGTTGTGTGTGTTCAACTCACAGAGTTGAACTTTCATGTACACAGAGCAGATTTGAAACACTCTTTTTGTGGAATTTGCAAGTGGAGATTTCAAGCGCTTTGAGGCCAAAGGCAGAAAAGGAAATATCTTCGTATAAAAACTAGACAGAATCATTCTCAGAAACTGCTCTGCGATGTGTGCGTTCAACTCTAAGAGTTTAACTTTTCTTTTCATTCAGCAGTTTGGAAACACTCTGTTTGTAAAGTCTGTACGTGGATAATTTGACCACTTAGAGGCCTTCGTTGGAAAAGGGTTTTTTTCATGTAAGGATAGACAGAAGAATTCCCAGTAACTTCCTTGTGTTGTGTACATTCAACTCACAGAGTTGAACGTTCCCTTAGACAGAGCAGATTTGAAACACTCTTTTTGTGTAATTGGCAAGTGGAGATTTCAAGCGCTTTAAGGTCAATGGCAGAAAAGGAAATATCTTCGTTTCAAAACTAGACAGAATCATTCCCACAAACTGCGTTGTGATGTGTTCGTTCAACTCACAGAGTTTAACCTTTCTTTTCATAGAGCAGTTAGGAGACACTCTGTTTGTAATGTCTGCAAGTGGATATTCAGACCTCTTTGAGGCCTTCGTTGGAAACGGGATTTCTTCATATTATGCTACACAGAAGAATTCTCAGTAACTTCCTTGTGTTTTGTGAATTCAACTCACAGAGTTGAACGATCCTATACACAGAGCAGACTTGAAACACTCTTTTTGTGGAATTTGCAAGTGGAGATTTCAGCCGCTTTGTGGTCAATAGTAGAATAGGAAATATCTTCCTATAGAAACTAGACAGAATGATTCTCAGAAACTCCTTTGTGATGTGTGCGTTCAACTCACAGAGTTTAACCTTTCTGTTCATAGAGCAGTTAGGAAACACTCTATTTGTAAAGTCTGCAAGTGGATATTCAGACCTCTTTGAGGCCTTCGTTGGAAACGGGATTTCTTCATATTCTGCTAGACAGAAGAATTCTCAGTAACTTCCTTGTGTTGTGTGTATTCAACTGACAAGAGTTGAACTTTCATTTGGAGAGAGCAGATTTGAAACACTGTTTTTGTGGAATTTGCAAGTGGAGATTTCAAGCGCTTTGGGGCCAAAGGCAGAAAAGGAAATATCTTCGTATAAAAACTAGACAGAATCATTCTCAGAAACTGCTCTGCGATGTGTGCGTTCAACTCTCAGAGTTTAACTTTGCTTTTCATTCAGCAGTTTGGAAACACTCTGTTTGTAAAGTCTGCACGTGGATAATTTGACCACTTAGAGGCCTTCGTTGGAAACGGGTTTTTTTCATGTAAGGCTGGACAGAAGAATTCCCAGTAACTTCCTTGTGTTGTGTACATTCAACTCACAGAGTTGAACGTTCCGTTAGACAGAGCAGACTTGTAACACTCTTTTTGTGGAATTTGCAAGTGGAGTTTTCAGCCGCTTTTAAGTCAATGGTAGAAAAGGTAATATCTTCCTATAAAAACTAGACAGAATGATTCTCAGAAACTCCTTTGTGATGTGTGCGTTCAACTCACAGAGTTTAACCTTTCTTTTCATAGAGCAGTTAGGAAACACTCTGTTTGTTAAGTCTGCAAGTGGATATTCAGTCCTCTTTGAGGCCTTCGTTGGAAACGGGATTTCTTCATATTATGCTAGACAGAAGAATTCTCAGTAACTTCATTGTGTTGTGTGTATTCAACTCACAGATTTCAACGATCCTTTACACAGAGCAGACTTGAAACACTCTTTTTGTGGAATTTGCAAGTGGAGATTTCAGCCGCTTTGAGGTCAATGGTAGAATAGGAAATATCTTCCTATAGAAACTAGACAGAATGATTCTCATAAACTCCTTTGTGATGTGTGCGTTCAACTCACAGAGTTTAACCTTTCCTTTCATAGAGCAGTTAGGAAACACTCTGTTTGTAAAGTCTGCAAGTGGATATTCAGACCTCCTTGAGGCCTTCGTTGGAAACGGGATTTCTTCATATTCTGCTAGACAGAAGAATTCCCAGTAACTTCCTTGTGTTGTGTGTGTTCTACTCACAGAGTTGAACTTTGATTTACACAGAGCAGATTTGAAACACTCTTTTTGTGGAATTTGGAAGTGGAGATTTCAAGCGCTTTGAGGCCAAAGGCAGAAAAGGAAATATCTTCGTATAAAAACTAGACAGAATCATTCTCAGAAACTGCTCTGCGATGTGTGCGTTGAACTCTCAGAGTTTAACTTTTCTTTTCATTCAGCAGTTTGGAAACACTCTGTTTGTAAAGTCTGTACGTGGATATTTTGACCACTTAGAGGCCTTCGTTGGAAACGGGTTTTTTTCCTGTAAGGCTAGACAGAAGAATTCCCAGTAACTTCCTTGTGTTGTGTGCATTCAACTCACAGAGTTGAACGTTCCCTTAGACAGAGCAGATTTGAAACACTCTATTTGTGCAATTTGCAAGTGTAGTTTTCAAGCTCTTTAAGGTCAACGGCAGAAAAGCAAATATCTTCGTTTCAAAACTAGACAGAATGATTCTCAGAAACTCCTTTGTGATTTGTGCGTTCAACTCACAGAGTTTAACTTTTCTTTTCATAGATCAGTTAGGAAACACTCTGTTTGTAAAGTCTGCAAGTGGATATTCAGACCTCTTTGATGCCTTCGTTGGAAACGGGATTTCTTCATATTATGCTAGACAGAATAATTCTCAGTAACTTCCTTGTGTTGTGTGTATTCAACTCACAGAGTTGAACGATCCTTTAGAGAGAGCAGACTTGAAACACTCTTTTTGTGGTATTTGCAAGTGGAGATTTCAGCCGCTTTGTGGTCAATGGTAGAAAAGGAAACTATCATCGTATAAAGACTAGACAGAATGATTCTCAGAAACTCCTTTGTGATGTGTGTGTTCAACTCACAGAGTTTAACCTTTCTTTTCATAGAGCAGTTAGGAAACACTCTGTTTGTAAAGTCTGCAAGTGGATATTCAGACCTCTTTGAGGCCTTCGTTGGAAACGGGTTTTTTTCATATAAGGCTAGACAAAAGAATTCCCAGTAACTTCCTTGTGTTGTGTGTGTTCAACTCACAGAGTTGAACTTTCATTTACACAGAGCAGATTTGAAACACTCTTTTTGTGGAATTTGCAAATGGAGATTTCAAGCGCTTTGAGGCCAAAGGCAGAAAAGGAAATATCCTCGTATAAAAACTAGACAGAATCATTCTCAGAAACTGCTCTGCGACGTGTGCGTTCAACTCTCAGAGTTTAACTTTTCTTTTCATTCAGCAGTTTGGAAACACTCTGTTTGTAAAGTCTGCACGTGGATAATTTGACCACTTAGAGGCCTTCGTTGGAAACGGGTTTTTTTCATGTAAGGCTAGACAGAAGAATTCCTAGTAACTTCCTTGTGTTGTGTACATTCAACTCACAGAGTTGAACGTTCCCTTAGACAGAGCAGATTTGAAACACTATTTTTGTGCAATTGGCAAGTGGTGATTTCAGCCGCTTTGAGGTCAATGGTATAAAAGGAAATATCTTCGTATTAAAACTAGACAGAATCATTCCCACAAACTGCGTTGTGATGTGTTCGTTCATCTCACAGAGTTTAACCTTTCTTTTCATAGAGCAGTTAGGAAACAGTCTGTTTGTAAATTCCGTAAGTGGATATTCTGACATCTTGTGGCCTTCGTTGGAAACGGGATTTCTTCATATTCTGCTAGACAGAAGAATTCTCAGAAACTTCCTTTTGTTGTGTGTATTCAACTCACAGAGTTGAACGATCCTTTACACAGAGCAGATTAGAAAAACTCTTTTTGTGGAATTTGCAAGTGGAGATTTCAGCCGCTTTGAGGTCAATGGTAGAAAAGGGAATATCTTCGTATAAAAACTAGACAGAATGATTCTCAGAAACTCCTTTGAGATGTGTGCGTTCAACTCACAGAGTTTAACCTTTCTTTTCATAGAGCAGTTAGGAAACACTCTGTTTGTAAAGTCTGCAAGTGGATATTCAGACCTCTTTGAGGCCTTCGTTGGAAACGGGTTTTTTCATATAAGGCTAGACAGAAGAATTCTCAGTAACTTCCTTGTGTTGTGTGTATTCAACTCACAGAGTTGAACTATCCTTTACACAGAGCAGACTTGAAACACTCTTTTTGTGGAATTTGCAAGTGGAGATTTCAAGCGCTTTGAGGCCAAAAGCAGAAAAGGAAATATCTTCGTATAAAAACTAGACAGAATCATTCTCAGAAACTGCTGCGTGATGTGTGCGTTCAACTCTCAGAGTTTAACTTTTCTTTTCATTCAGCGGTTTGGAAACACTCTGTTTGTAAAGTCTGCACGTGGATATTTTGACCACTTAGAGGCCTTCGTTGGGAAACGGGTTTTTTTCATGTAAGGCTAGACAGAAGAATTCCCAGTAACTTCCTTGTGTTGTGTGTGTTCAACTCACAGAGTTGAACTTTCATTTACACAGAGCAGATTTGAAACACTCTTTTTGTGGAATTTGCAAATGGAGATTTCAAGCGCTTTGAGGCCAAAGGCAGAAAAGGAAATATCTTCGTTTCAAAACTAGACAGAATCATTCCCACAAACTGCGTTGTGATGTGTTCGTTCAACTCACAGAGTTTAACCTTTCTGTTCATAGAGCAGTTAGGAAACACTCTGTTTCTAAAGTCTGTAAGTGGATATTCTGACATCTTGTGGCCTTCGTTGGAAACGGGATTTCTTCATATTCTGCTAGACAGAAGAATTCTCAATAACTTCCTTGTGTTGTGTGTATTCAACTCACAGAGTTGAACGATCCTTTACACAGAGCAGACTTGAAACACTCTTGTTGTGGAATTTGCAAGTGGAGATTTCAGCCGCTTTGAGGTCAATGGTAGAATAGGAAATATCTTCCTATAAAAACTAGACAGAATGATTCTCAGAAACTCCTTTGTGATGTGTGCGTTCAACTCACAGAGTTTAACCTTTCTTTTCATAGAGCAGTTAGGAAACACTCTGCTTCTAAAGTATGCAAGTGGATATTTAGCCCTCTTTGAGGCCTTCGTTGGAAACGGGTTTTTTTCATATAAGGCTAGACAGAAGAATTCCCAGTAACTTCCTTGTGTTGTGTGTGTTCAACTCACAGAGTTGAACTTTCATTTACACAGAGCAGATTTGAAACACTCTTTTTGTGGAATTTGCAAGTGGAGATATCAAGCGCTTTGAGGCCAAAGGCAGAAAAGGAAATATCTTCGTATAAAAACTAGACAGAATCATTCTCAGAAACTGCTCTGCGATGTGTGCGTTGAACTCTCAGAGTTTAACTTTTCTTTTCATTCAGCAGTTTGGAAACACTCTGTTTGTAAAGTCTGCACGTGGATAATTTGACCACTTAGAGGCCTTCGTTGGAAACGGGTTTTTTTCATGTAAGGCTAGACAGAAGAATTCCCAGTAACTTCCTTGTGTTGTGTGCATTCAACTCACAGAGTTGAACGTTCCCTTAGACAGAGCAGATTTGAAACACTCTATTTGTGCAATTTGCAAGTGTAGATTTCAAGCGCTTTAAGGTCAACGGCAGAAAAAGGAAATATCTTCGTTTCAAAACTAGACAGAATCATTCCCACAAACTGCGTTGTGATGTGTTCGTTCAACTCACAGAGTTTAACCTTTCTTTTCATAGAGCAGTTAGGAAACACTCTGTTGGTAAATTCTGTAAGTGGATATTCTGACATCTTGTGGCCTCCGTTGGAAACGGGATTTCTTCATATTCTGCTAGACAGAAGAATTCTCAGTAACTTCCTTGTGTTGTGTGTATTCAACTCACACAGTTGAACGATCCTTTACACAGAGCGGACTTGAAACACTCGTTTTGTGGAATTTGCAAGTGGAGATTTCAGCCGCGTTGAGGTCAATGGTAGAAAAGGAAATATCTTCGTATAAAAACTAGACAGAATGATTCTCAGAAACTCCTTTGTGATGTGTGTGTTCAACTCACAGAGTTTAACCTTTCTTTTCATAGAGCAGTTAGTAAACACTCTGTTTATAAAGTCTGCAAGTGGATATTCAGACCCCTTTGAGGCCTTCGTTGGAAACGGGATTTCTTCATATTCTCCTAGACAGAAGAATTCTCAGTAACTTCCTTGTGTTGTGTGTATTCAACTGACAGAGTTGAACTTTCATTTGGAGAGAGCAGATTTGAAACACTGTTTTTGTGGAATTTGCAAGTGGAGATTTCAAGCGCTTTGGGGCCAAAGGCAGAAAAGGAAATATCTTCGTATAAACACTAGACAGAATCATTCTCAGAAACTGCTCTGCGATGTGTGCGTTCAACTCTCAGAGTTTAACTTTTCTTTTCATTCAGCAGTTTGGAAACACTCTGTTTGTAAAGTCTGCACGTGGATAACTTGACCACTTAGAGGCCTTCGTTGGAAACGGGTTTTTTTCATGTAAGGCTAGACAGAAGAATTCCCAGTAACTTCCTTGTGTTGTGTACATTCAACTCACAGAGTTGAACGTTCCCTTAGACAGAGCAGATTTGAAACACTCTTTTTCTGCAATTGGCAAATGGAGATTTCAAGCGCTTTAAGGTCAATGGCAGAAAAGGAAATATCTTCGTTTCAAAACTAGACAGAATGATTCTCAGAAACTCCTTTGTGATGTGTGCGTTCAACTCACAGAGTTCAACCTTTCTTTTCATAGAGCAGTTGGGATACACTCTGTTTGTAAAGTCTGCAAGTGGATATTCAGACTTCTTTGAGGCCTTCGTTGGAAGCGGGATTTCTTCATATTCTGCTAGACAGAAGAATTCTCAGTAACTTCCTCGTGTTGTGTGTATTCAACTCACAGAGTTGAACGAACCTTTACACAGAGCAGACTTGAAACACTCTTTTTGTGGAATTTGCAAATGGAGATTTCAGCCACTTTGAGGTCAATGGTTGAAAAGGAAATATCTTCATATAAAAATTAGACAGAATGATTCTCAGAAACTCCTTTGTGATGTGTGCGTTCAACTCACAGAGTTCAACCTTTCTTTTCATAGAGCAGTTGGGAAACACTCTGTTTGTAAAGTCTGCAAGTGGATATTCAGACTTCTTTGAGGCCTTCGTTGGAAGCAGGATTTCTTCATGTTCTGCTAGACAGAAGAATTCTCAGTAACTTCCTTGTGTTGTGTGTATTCAACTCACAGAGTTGAACGATCCTTTACACAGAGCAGTCTTGAAACACTCTTTTTGTGGAATTTGCAAGTGGAGATTTCTGACGCTTTGAGGTCAATGGTAGAATAGGAAATATCTTCCTATAGAAACTAGACAGAATGATTCTCAGAAACTTCTTTGTGATGTGTGCGCTCAACTCACAGAGTTTAACCTTTCTTTTCATAGAGCAGTTAGGAAACACTCTGTTTGTAAAGTCAGCAAGTGGATATTCAGACCTCTTTGAGGCCTTCGTAGGAAACGGGATTTCTGCATATTATGCTAGACAGAAGAATTCCCAGTAACTTCCTTGTGTTGTGTGTGTTCAACTCACAGAGTTGAACTTTCATTTACCCAGAGCAGATATGAAACACTCTTTTTGTGGAATTTGCAAGTGGAGATTTCAAGCGCTTTGAGGCCAAAGGCAGAAAAGGAAATATCTTCGTATAAAAACTAGACAGAATCATTCTCAGAAACTGCTCTGTGATGTGTGCGTTCATCTCTCAGAGTTTAACTTTTCTTTTCATTCAGCAGTTTGGAAACACTCTGTTTGTAAAGTCTGCACGTGGATAATTTGATCACTTAGAGGCCTTCGTTGGAAACGGGTTTTTTTCATGTAAGGCTAGACAGAAGAATTCTCAGTAACTTCCTTCTGTTGTGTGTATTCAACTCACAGAGTTGAACGATCCTTTACACAGAGCAGACTTGTAACACTCTTTTTGTGGAATTTGCAAGTGGAGATTTCAGCCGCTTTGAAGTCAAAGGTAGAAAAGGAAATATCTTCCTATAAAAAATAGACAGAATGATTCTCAGAAACTTCTTTGTGATGTGTGCGTTCAACTCACAGAGTTTAACCTTTCTTTTCATAGAGCAGTTAGGAAACACTCTGTTTGTAAACTCTGCAAATGGATGTTCAGACCTCTTTGAGGCCTTCGTTGGAAACGGGATTTCTTCATACTATGCTAGACAGAAGAATTCTCAGTAACTTCCTTGTGTTGTGTGTATTCAACTCACAGAGTTGAACCGATCCTTTACACAGAGCAGACTTGAAACACTCTTTTTGTGGAATTTGCAAGTGGAGATTTCAGCCGCTTTGAGGTCAATGGTAGAAAAGGAAATATCTTCCTATAAAAACTAGACAGAATGATTCTGAGAAACTCCTTTGTGATGTGTGCGTTCAACTCACAGAGTTTAACCTTTCTTTTCATAGAGCAGTTAGGAAACACTCTGTTTGTAAAGTCTGCAAGTGGATATTCAGACCTCCTTGAGGCCTTCGTTGGAAACGGGTTTTCTTCATATTATGCTAGACAGAAGAATTCCCAGTAACTTCCTTGTGTTGTGTGTGTTCAACTCACAGAGTTGAACTTTCATTTACACAGAGCAGATTTGAAACTCTCTTTTTGTGGAATTTACAAATGGAGATTTCAAGCGCTTTGAGGCCAAAGGCAGAAAAGGAAATATCTTCGTATAAAAACTAGACAGAATCATTCTCAGAAACTGCTCTGCGATGTGTGCGTTCAACTCTCAGAGTTCAACTTTTCTTTTCATTCAGCAGTTTGGAAACACTCTGTTTGTAAAGTCTGCACGTGGATAATTTGACTACTTAGAGGCCTTCGTTGGAAACGGGTTTTTTTCATGTAAGGCTAGACAGAAGAATTCCCAGTAACTTCCTTGTGTTGTGTGCGTTCAACTCACAGAGTTGAACTTTCATTTACACAGAGCAGATTTGAAACACTCTTTTTGTGGAATTTGCAAATGGAGATTTCAAGCGCTTTGAGGCCAAAGGCAGAAAAGGAAATGTCTTCGTTTCAAAACTAGACAGAATGATTCTCAGAAAATCTTTTGTGATGTGTGCGTTCAACTCACAGAGTTTAACCTTTCTTTTCATAGAGCAGTTAGGAAACACTCTGTTTGTAAAGTCTGCAAGTGGATATTCAGACCTCCTTGAGGCCTTCGTTGGAAACGGGATTTCTTCATATTCTGCTAGACAGAAGAATTCTCAGTAACTTACCTTGTGTTGTGTGTATTCAACTCACAGGGTTGAACGATCCTTTACACAGAGCAGACTTGAAACACTCTTTTTGTGGAATTTGCAAGTGGCGATTTCAGCCTCTTTGAGGTCAATGGTAGAATAGGAAATATCTTCCTATAGAAACTAGACAGAATGATTTTCATAAACTCCTTAGTGATGTGTGCGTTCAACTCACAGAGTTTAACCTTTCTGTTCATAGAGCAATTAGGAAACACTCTGTTTGTAAAGTCTGCAAGTGGATATTCAGACCCCTTTGAGGCCTTCGTTGGAAACGGGATTTCTTCATATTATGCTAGACAGAAAAATTCTCAGTAACTTCCTTGTGTTGTGTGTATTCAACTGACAGAGTTGAACTTTCATTTAGAGAGAGCAGATTTGAAACACTGTTTTTGTGGAATTTGCAAGTGGAGATTTCAAGCGCTTTGGGGCCAAAGGCAGAAAAGGAAATATCTTCGTATAAAAACTAGACAGAATCATTCTCAGAAACTGCTGCGTGATGTGTGCGTTCAACTCTCAGAGTTCAACTTTTCTTTTCATTCAGCGGTTTGGAAACACTCTGTTTGTAAAGTCTGCACGTGGATATTTTGACCACTTAGAGGCCTTCGTTGGAAACGGGTTTTTTCATGTAAGGCTAGACAGAAGAATTCCCAGTAACTTCCTTGTGTTGTGTGCATTCAACTCACAGAGTTGAACGTTCCCTTAGACAGAGCAGATTTGAAACACTCTATTTGTGCAATTTGCAAGTATAGATTTCAAGCGCTTTAAGGTCAATGGCAGAAAAGGAAATATCTTCGTTTCAAAACTAGACAGAATCATTCCCACAAACTGCGTTGTGATGTGTTCGTTCAACTCACAGAGTTTAACCTTTCTGTTCATAGAGCAGTTAGGAAACACTCTGTTGTAAAGTCTGTAAGTGGATATTCTGACATCTTGTGGCCTTCGTTGGAAACGGGATTTCTTCATATTCTGCTAGACAGAAGAATTCTCAGTAACTTCCTTGTGTTGTGTGAATTCAACTCACAGAGTTGAACGATCCTTTACACAGAGCAGACTTGAAACACTCTTTTTGTGGAATTTGCAGGTGGAGATTTCAGCCGCTTTTTGTTCAATGGTAGAATAGGAAATATCTTCCTATAGAAACTAGACAGAATGATTCTGAGAAACTCCTTTGTGATGTGTGTGTTCAACTCACAGAGTTTAACCTTTGCTTTCATAGAGCAGTTAGTAAACACTCTGTTTATAAAGTCTGCAAGTGAATATTCAGACCCCTTTGAGGCCTTCGTTGGAAACGGGATTTCTTCATATTATGCTGGACAGAAGAATTATCAGTAACTTCCTTGTGTTGTGTGTATTCAACTCACAGAGTTGAACGATCCTTTACACAGAGCAGACTTGAAACACTCTTTTTGTGGAAATTGCAAGTGGAGATTTCAGCCGCTTTGAGGTCAATGGTAGAATAGGAAATATCTTCCTATAGAAACTAGACAGAATGATTCTCAGAAACTCCTTTGTGATGTATGTGTTCAACTCACAGAGTTTAACCTTTCTTTTCATTGAGCAGTTAGGAAACACTCTGTTTGTTAAGTCTGCAAGTGGATATTCAGACCTCTTTGAGGCCTTCGATGGAAACGGGTTTTTTTCATATAAGGCTAGACAGAAGAATTCCCAGTAACTTCCTTGTGTTGTGTGTGTTCAACTCACAGAGTTGAACTCTCATTTACACAGAGCAGATTTGAAACACTCTTTTTGTGGAATTTCCAAGTGGAGATTTCAAGTGCTTTGAGGCCAAAGGCAGAAAAGGAAATATCTTCGTATAAAAACTAGACAGAATCATTCTCAGAAACTGCTCTGCGATGTGTGCGTTCAACTCTCAGAGTTTAACTTTTCTTTTCATTCAGCAGTTTGGAAACACTCTGTTTGTAAAGTCTGCACGTGGATAACTTGACCACTTAGAGGCCTTCGTTGGAAACGGGTTTTTTTCATATAAGGCTAGACAGAAGAATTCCCAGTAACTTCCTTGTGTTGTGTGCATTCAACTCACAGAGTTGAACGTTCCCTTAGACAGAGCAGATTTGAAACACTCTATTTGTGCAATTTGCAAGTGTAGATTTCAAGCGCTTTAAGGTCAATGGCAGAAAAGGAAATATCTTGGTTTCAAAACTAGACAGAATCATTCCCACAAACTGCGTTGTGATGTGTTCGTTCAACTCACAGAGTTTAACCTTTCTTTTCATAGAGCAGTTAGGAAACACTCTGTTTGTAAACTCTGCAAGTGGATATTCAGACCTCTTTGAGGCCTTCGTTGGAAACGGGATTTCTTCATACTATGCTAGACAGAATAATTCTCAGTAACTTCCTTGTTTTGTGTGTATTCAACTCACAGAGTTGAACGATCCTTTACAGAGAGCAGACTTAAAACACTCTTTTTGTGGAATTTGCAAGTGGAGATTTCAGCCGCTTTGAGGTCAATGGTAGAATAGGAAATATCTTCCTATAGAAACTAGACAGAATGATTCTCAGAAACTCCTTTGTGATGTGTGCGTTCAACTCACAGAGTTTACCCTTTCTTTTCATAGAGCAGTTAGGAAACACTCTGTTTGTAAAGTCTGCAAGTGGATATTCAGACATCCTTGAGGCTTTCGTTGGAAACGGGATTTCTTCATATTCTGCTAGAAAGAAGAATTCCCAGTGACTTCCTTGTGTTGTGTGTGTTCAACTCACAGAGTTGAACGTTCCCTTAGACAGAGCAGATTTGAAACACTCTTTTTGTGGAATTTGCAAGTGGAGATTTCAAGCGCTTTGAGGCCAAAGGCAGAAAAGGAAATATCTTCGTATAAAAACTAGACAGAATCATTCTCAGAAACTGCTGCGTGATGTGTGCGTTCAACTCTCAGAGTTTAACTTTTCATTTCATTCAGCGGTTTGGAAACCCTCTGTTTGTAAAGTCTGCACGTGGATATTTTGACCACTTAGAGGCCTTCGTTGGAAACGGGTTTTTTGCATGTAAGGCTAGACAGAAGAATTCCCAGTAACTTCCTTGTGTTGTGTGCATTCAACTCACAGAGTTGAACGTTCCCTTAGACAGAGCAGATTTGAAGCACTCTATTTGTGCAATTTGCAAGTGTAGATTTCAAGCGCTTTAAGGTCAATGGCAGAAAAGGAAATATCTTCATTTCAAAACTAGACAGAATGATTCTCAGAAACTCCTTTGTGATGTGTGCGTTCTACTCACAGAGTTCAACCTTTCTTTTCATAGAGCAGTTGGGAAACACTCTGTTTGTAAAGTCTGCAAGTGGATATTCAGACTTCTTTGAGGCCTTCGTTGGAAGCGGGATTTCTTCATATTCTGCTAGACAGAAGAATTCTCAGAAACTTCCTTGTGTTGTGTGTTTTCAACTCACAGAGTTGAACGATCCTTTACACAGAGCAGACTTGAAACACTCCTTTTGTGGAATTTGCAAGTGGAGATTTCAGCCGCTTTGAGGCCAATGGTAGAATAGGAAATATCTTCCTATAGAAACTAGACAGAATGATTCTCAGAAACTTCTTTGTGATGTGTGCGTTCAACTCACAGAGTTTAACCTTTCTTTTCATAGAGCAGTTAGGAAACACTCTGTTTGTAAAGTCTGCAAGTGGATATTCAGACCTCTTTGAGGCCTTCGTTGGAAACGGGATTTCTTCATACTGTGCTAGACAGAAGAATTCTCAGTAACTTCCTTGTGTTGTGTGTATTCAACTCACAGAGTTGAACGATCCTTTACACAGAGCGGACTTGAAACACACTTTTTGTGGAATTTGCAAGGGGAGATTTCAGCCGCATTGAGGTCAATGGTAGAAAAGGAAATATCTTCGTATAAAAACTAGACAGAATCATTCTCAGAAACTGCTCTGCGATGTGTGCGTTCAACTCTCAGAGTTTAACTTTTCTTTTCATTCAGCAGTTTGGAAACACTCTGTTTGTAAAGTCTGCACGTGGATAAATTGACCACTTAGAGGCCTTCGTTGGAAACGGGTTTTTTTCACGTAAGGCTAGACAGAAGAATTCTCAGTAACTTCCTTGTGTTGTGTGTATTCAACTCACACAGTTGAACGATCCTTTACACAGAGCAGACTTGTAACACTCTTTTTGTGGAATTTGCAATTGGAGATTTCAGCCGCTTTGAAGTCAAATGTAGAAAAGGAAATATCTTCCTATAAAAACTAGACAGAATGATTCTCATAAACTCCTTTGTGATGTGTGCGTTCAACTCACAGAGTTTAACCTTTCTGTTCATAGAGCAGTTAGGAAACACTCTGTTTGTAAAGTCTGCAAGTGGATATTCAGACCTCCTTGAGGCCTTCTTTGGAAACGGGATTTCTTCATATTCTGATAGACAGAAGAATTCTCAGTAACTTCCTTGTGTTGTGTGTATTCAACTCACAGAGTTGAACGATCCTTTACACAGAGCAGACTTGAAACACTCTTTTTGTGGAATTTGCAAGAGGAGATTTCAGCAGCTTTGAGGTCAATGGTAGAAAAGGAAACTATCTTCGTATAAAGACTAGACAGAATGATTCTCAGAAAATCCTTTGTGATGTGTGCGTTCAACTCACAGAGTTTAACTTTTCTTTTCATAGAGCAGTTAGGAAACACTCTGTTTGTAAAGTCTGCAAGTGGATATTCAGACCTCTTTGAGGCCTTCGTTGGAAACGGGATTTCTTCATATTATGCTAGACCGAAGAATTCTCAGTAACTGCCTTGTGTTGTGTGTATTCAACTCACAGAGTTGAACGATCCTTTACACAGAGCAGACTTGAAACACTCTTTTGGTGGAATTTGCAAGTGGAGATTTCAGCCGCTTTGAGGTCAATGGTAGAATAGGAAATATCTTCCTATAGAAACTAGACAGAATGATTCTCAGAAACTCCTTTGTGATGTGTGCATTCAACTCACAGAGTTTAACCTTTCTTTTCATAGAGCAGTTAGGAAACACTCTGTTTGTAAAGTCTGCAAGTGGATATTCAGACCTCTTTGAGGCCTTCGTTGGAAACGGGATTTCTTCATATTATGCTAGACAGAAGAATTCTCAGTAACTTCCTTGTGTTGTGTGTATTCAACTCACAGAGTTGAACGATCCTTTACACAGAGTAGACTTGAAACACTCTTTTTGTGGAATTTGCAAGTGGAGATTTCAACCGCTTTGAGGTCAATGGTAGAAAAGGAAATATCTTCGTATAAAAACTAGACAGAATCATTCTCAGAAACTGCTGCGTGATGTGTGCGTTCAACTCTCAGAGTTTAACTTTTCTTTTCATTCAGCGGTGTGGAAACACTCTGTTTGTAAAGTCTGCACGTGGATATTTTGACCACTTAGAGGCCTTCGTTGGAAACGGGTTTTTTTCATGTAAGGCTAGAGAAAAGAATTCCCAGTAACTTCCTTGTGTTGTGTGCATTCAACTCACAGAGTTGAACGTTCCCTTAGACAGAGCAGATTTCAAACACTCTATTTGTGCAATTTGCAAGTGTAGATTTCAAGCGCTTTAAGGTCAGTGGCAGAAAAGGAAATATCTTCGTTTCAAAACTAGACAGAATGATTCTCATAAACTCCTTTGTGATGTGTGCGTTCAACTCACAAAGTTTAACTTTTCTTTTCATAGAGCAGTTAGGAAACACTCTGTTTGTAAAGTCTGCAAGTGGATATTCAGACCTCTTTGAGACCTTCGTTGGAAACGGGATTTCTTCATATTATGCTAGACAGAATAATTCTCAGTAACTTCCTTGTGTTGTGTGTATTCAACTCACAGAGTTGAACGATGCTTTACACAGAGCAGACTTGAAACATTCTTTTTGTGGAATTTGCAACTGGAGATTTCAGCCGCTTTGAGGTCAATGGTAGAATAGGAAATATCTTCCTATAGAAACTAGACAGAATGATTCTCAGAAACTCCTTTGTGATGTGTGTGTTCAACTCACAGAGTTTAACATTTCTTTTCATAGAGCAGTTAGGAAACACTCTGTTTGTAAAGTCTGCAAGTGGATATTCAGACCTCTTTGAGGCCTTCGTTGGAAACGGGTTTTTTTAATATAAGGCTAGACAGAACAATTCTCAGTAACTTCCTTGTGTTGTGTGTATTCAACTCACAGAGTTGAACGATCCTTTACACAGAGCAGACTTGAAACACTATTTTTGTGGAATTTGCAAGTGGAGATTTCATCCGCTTTGAGGTCAATGGTAGAATAGGAAATATCTTCCTATAGAAAGTAGACAGAATGATTCTCAGAAACTTCTTTGTGATGTGTGCGTTCAACTCACAGAGTTTAACCTTTCTTTTCATAGAGCAGTTAAGAAACACTCTGTTTGTAAAGTCTGCAAGTGGATATTCAGACATCTTTGAGACTCTCGTTGGAAACGGGATTTCTTCATATTCTGCTAGACAGAAGAATTCTCAGTAACTTCCTTGTGTTGTGTGTATTCAACTGACAGAGTTGAACTTTCATTTAGAGAGAGCAGATTTGAAACACTGTTTTTGTGGAATTTGCAAGTGGAGATTTCAAGCGCTTTGGGGCCAAAGGCAGAAAAGGAAATATCTTCCTATAAAAACTAGACAGAATCATTCTCTGAAACTGCTCTGTGATGTGTGCGTTCAACTCTCAGAGTTTAACTTTTCTTTTCATTCAGCAATTTGGAAACACTCTGTTTGTAAAGTCTGCACGTGGATATTTTGACCACTTAGAGGCCTTCGTTGGAAACGGGTTTTTTTCATGTAAGGCTAGACAGAAGAATTCCCAGTAACTTCCTTGTGTTGTGTGCATTCAACTCACAGAGTTGAACGTTCCCTTAGACAGAGCAGATTTGAAACACTCTATTTGTGCAATTTGCAAGTGTAGATTTCAAGCGCTTTAAGGTAATGGCAGAAAAGGAAATATCTTCGTTTCAAAACTAGACAGAATCATTCCCACAAACTGCGTTGTGATGGGTTCGTTCAACTCACAGAGTTTAACCTTTCTGTTCATAGAGCAGTTAGGAAACACTCTGTAAAGTCTGTAAGTGGATATTCTGACATCTTGTGGCCTTCGTTGGAAACGGGATTTCTTCATATTCTGCTAGACAGAAGAATTCTCAGAAACTTCCTTGTGTTGTGTGTTTTCAACTCACAGAGTTGAACGATCCTTTACACAGAGTAGACTTGAAACACTCTTTTTGTGGAATTTGCAAGTGGAGATTTCAGCTGCTTTGAGGTCAATGGTAGAAAAGGAAATATCTTCCTATAGAAACTAGACAGAATGATTCTCAGAAACTCCTTTGTGATGTGTGCGTTCAACTCACAGAGTTTAAACCTTTCTTTTCATAGAGCAGTTAGGAAACACTCTGGTTGTAAAGTCTGCAAGTGGATATTCAGACCTCTTTGAGGCCTTCGTTGGAAACGGGATTTCTTCATATTCTGCTAGACAGAAGAATTCCCAGTAACTTCCTTGTGTTGTGTGTGTTCAACTCACAGAATTGAACTTTCATTTACACAGAGCAGATTTGAAACACTCTTTTTGTGGAATTTGCAAGTGGAGATTTCAAGCGCTTTGAGGCCAAAGGCAGAAAAGGAAATATCTTCGTATAAAAACTAGACAGAATCATTCTCAGAAACTGCTCTGCGATGTGTGCGTTCAACTCTCAGAGTTTAACTTTTCTTTTCATTCAGCAGTTTGGAAACACTCTGTTTGTAAAGTCTGCACGTGGATATTTTGACCACTTAAAGGCCTTCGTTGGAAACGGGTTTTTTTCCTGTAAGGCTAGACAGAAGAATTCCCAGTAACTTCCTTGTGTTGTGTACATTCAACTCACAGAGTTGAACGTTCCCTTAGACAGAGCAGATTTGAAACACTCTTTTTGTGCAATTGGCAAGTGGTGATTTCAGCCGCTTTGTGGTCAATGGTATAAAAGGAAATATCTTCGTATAAAAACTAGACAGAATGATTCTCAGAAACTTCATTGTGACGTGTGCGTTCAACTCACAGAGTTTAACCTTTCTTTTCATAGAGCAGTTAGGAAACACTCTGTTTGTAAACTCTGCAAGTGGATATTCAGACCTCTTTGAGGCCTTCGTTGGAAACGGGATTTCTTCATACTGTGCTAGACAGAAGAATTCTCAGTAACTTCCTTGTGCTGTGTGTATTCAACTCACAGAGTTGAACGATCCTTTACACAGAGCAGACTTGAAACACTCTTTTTGTGGAATTTGCAAGTGGAGATTTCAGCCGCTTTGAGGTCAATAGTAGAAAAGGAAATATCTTCGTAGAAAAACTAGACAGAATGATTCTCAGAAACTCCTTGGTGATGTGTGCGTTCAACTCACAGAGTTTAACTTTTCTTTTCATAGAGCAGTTAGGAAACACTCTGTTTGTAAAGTCTGCAAGTGGATATTCAGACCTCTTTGAGGCCTTCGTTGGAAACGGGATTTCTTCATATTATGCTAGACAGAAGAATTCCCAGTAACTTCCATGTGTTGTGTGTGTTCAACTCACAGAGTTGAACTGTCATTTACACAGAGCAGATTTGAAACACTGTTTTTGTGGAATTTGCAAATGGAGATTTCAAGCGGTTTGAGGCCAAAGGCAGAAAAGGAAATATCTTCGTATAAAAACTAGACAGAAATCATTCTCAGAAACTGCTCTGCGATGTGTGCGTTCAACTCTCAGAGTTTAACTTTTCTTTTCATTCAGAAGTTTGGAAACACTCTGTTTGTAAAGTCTGCACGTGGATAACTTGACCACTTAGAGGCCTTCGTTGGAAACGGGTTTTTTTCCTGTAAGGCTAGACAGAAGAATTCTCAGTAACTTCCCTGTGTTGTGTGTATTCAACTCACAGAGTTGAACGATCCGTTACACAGAGCATACTTGAAACACTCTTCTTGTGGAATTTGCAAGTGGAGATTTCAGCCGCTTTGAGGTCAATGGTAGAATAGGAAATATCTTCCTATAGAAACTAGACAGAATGATTCTCAGAAACTCCTTTCTGATGTGTGCGTTCAACTCAAAGAGTTTAACCTTTCTTTTCGTAGAGCAGCTAGGAAACACTCTGTTTGTAAAGTCTGCAAGTGGATATTCAGACCTCTTTGAGGCCTACGTTGGAAACGGGATTTCTTCATATTATGATAGACAGAAGAATTCTCAGTAACTTCCTTGTGTTGTGTGTATTCAACTGACGGATTTGAACTTTCATTTAGAGAGAGCAGATTTGTAACACTGTTTTTGTGGAATTTGCAAGTGGAGATTTCATGCGCTTTGGGGCCAAAGGCAGAAAAGGAAATATCTTCGTATAAAAACTAGACAGAATCATTCCCAGAAACTGTGTAGTGATGTGTATGTTTAACTCACAGAGTTTAACATTTCTTTTCATAGAGCAGTTGGGAAACGCTCTGTTTGAAAAGTCTGCCTGTGGATATTTGGACCGCCATGAGGCGTTCTTTGGAAATGGTATTTCTTCATTTAAGGCTACACAGAAGAATTCTCAGAATCTTCCCTTGTGTTGTGTGTATTCAACTCACAGAGTTGAACGATCCTTTACACAGAGCAGATTTGAAACACTCTTTTTGTGGAATTTGCAAGTGGAGATTTCAGCCGCTTTGAGGTCAATGGTAGAAAATGAAATATCTTCGTATAAAAACTAGACAGAATGATTCTCAGAAACTCCTTTGTGATGTGTGCGTTGAACTCACAGAGTTTAAGCTTTCTTTTCATAGAGTAGTTAGGAAACACTCTGTTTGTAAAATCTGCAAGTGGATATTCAGACCTCTTTGAGGCCTTCGTTGGAAACGGGATTTCTTCATATTATGCTAGACAGAAGAATTCTCAGAAACTTCGTTGTGTTGTGTGTTTTCAAATCACAGAGTTCAACGATCCTTTACAGAGAGTAGACTTGAAACACTCTTTTTGTGGAATTGGCAGGGTGGAGATTTCAGCCGCTTTGAGGTCAATGGTAGAAAAGGAAATATCTTCGTATAAAAACTAGACAGAATGATTCTCAGAAACTCCTTTGTGATGTGTGTGTTCAACTCACAGAGTTTAACCTTTCTTTTCATAGAGCAGTTAGGAAACACTCTGTTTGTAAAGACTGCAAGTGGATATTCAGGCCTCTTTGAGGCCTTCTTTGGAAACGGGTTTTTTTCATATAAGGCTAGACAGAAGAATTCCCAGTAACTTCCTTGTGTTGTGTGTATTCAACTCACAGAGTTGAACTTTCATTTACACAGAGCAGATTTGAAACACTCTTTTTGTGGAATTTGCAAATGGAGATTTCAAGCCCTTTCAGGCCAAAGGCAGAAAAGGAAATATCTTCGTATAAAAACTAGACAGAATCATTCTCAGAAACTGCTCTGCGATGTGTGCGTTCAACTCTCAGAGTTTAACTTTTCTTTTCATTCAGCAGTTTGGAAACACTCTGTTTGTAAAGTCTGCACGTGGATAACTTGACCACTTAGAGGCCTTCGTTGGAAACGGGTTTTTTTCCTGTAAGGCTAGACAGAAGAATTCCCAGTAACTTCCTTGTGTTGTGTACAATCAACTCACAGAGTTGAACGTTCCCTTAGACAGAGCAGATTTGAAACACTCTTTTTGTGCAATTGGCAAATGGAGATTTCAAGCGCTTTAAGGTCAATGGCAGAAAAGGAAATATCTTCGTTTCAAAACTAGACAGAATCATTCCCACAAACTGCGTTGTGATGTGTTCGTTCAACCTACAGAGTTTAACCTTTCTTTTCATAGAGCAGTTAGGAAACAGTCTGTTTGTAAATTCTGTAAGTGGATATTCTGACATCTTGTGGCCTTGGTTGGAAACGGGATTTCTTCATATTCTGCTAGACAGAAGAATTCTCAGAAACTTCCTTGTGTTGTGTGTTTTCAACTCACAGAGTTGAACGATGCTTTACAGAGAGTAGACTTGAAACACTCTTTTTGTGGAATTTGCAAGTGGAGATTTCAGCCGCTTTGAGGTCAATGGTAGAATAGGAAATATCTTCCTATAGAAACTAGACAGAATGATTCTCAGAAACTCCTTTGTGATGTGTGCGTTCAACTCACAGAGTTTAACCTTTCTTTTCATAGAGCAGTTGGGAAACACTCTGTTTGTAAAGTCTGCAAGTAGATATTCAGACATCCTTGAGGCTTTCGTTGGAAACGGGATTTCTTCATATTCTGCTAGAAAGAAGAATTCTCAGTAACTTCCTTGTGTTGTGGGTATTCAACTCACAGAGTTGAACGATCCTTTACACAGAGCAGACTTGAAACACTCTTTTTGTGGAATTTGCAAGTGGAGATTTCAGCCGCTTTGAGGTCAATGGTAGAATAGGAAATATCTTCCTATAGAAACTAGACAGAATCATTCTCAGAAACTGCTCTGCGATGTGTGCGTTCAACTCTCAGAGTTTAACTTTTCTTTTCATTCAGCAGTTTGGAAACACTCTGTTTGTGAAGTCTGCACGTGGATATTTTGTCCACTTAGAGGCCTTCGTTGGAAACGGGTTTTTTTCCTGTAAGGCTAGACAGAAGAATTCCCAGTAACTTCCTTGTGTTGTGTGCATTCAACTCACAGAGTTGAACGTTCCCTTAGACAGAGCAGATTTGAAACACTCTATTTGTGCAATTTGCGAGTGTAGATTTCAAGCGCTTTAAGGTCAACGGCAGAAAAGGAAATATCTTCGTTTCAAAACTAGACAGAATCATTCCCACAAACTGCGTTGTGATGTGTTCGTTCAACTCACAGAGTTTAACCTTTCTGTTCATAGAGCAGTTAGGAAACACTCTGTTTGTAAAGTCTGCAAGTGGATATTCAGACCTCCTAGAGGCCTTCGTTGGAAACGGGATTTCTTCGTATTCTGCTAGACAGAAGAATTCTCAGTAACTTCCTTGTGTTGTGTGTATGCAACTCACAGAGTTGAACAATCCTTTACACAGAGCAGACTTGAAACACTCCTTTTGTGGAATTTGCAAGTGGAGATTTCAGCCGCTTTGAGGTCAATGGTAGAAAAGGAAACTATCTTCTTATAAAGACTAGACAGAATGATTCTCAGAAACTTCTTTGTGATGTGTGCGTTCAACTCACAGAGTTTAACCTTTCTTTTCATAGAGCAGTTAGGAAACACTTTGTTTGTAAAGTCTGCAAGTGGATATACAGACCTCTTTGAGGCCTTCGTTGGAAACGGGATTTCTTCATACTATGCTAGACAGAAGAATTCCCAGTAACTTCCTTTTGTTGTGTGTGTTCAACTCACAGAGTTGAACTTTCATTTACACAGAGCAGATTGGAAACACTCTTTTTGTGGAATTTGCCAGTGGAGATTTCAAGCGCATTGAGGCCAAAGGCAGAAAAGGAAATATCTTCGTATAAAAACTAGACAGAATCATTCTCAGAAACTGCTGCGTGATGTGTGGGTTCAACTCTCAGAGTTTAACTTTTCTTTTCATTCAGCGGTTTGGAAACACTCTGTTTGTAAAGTCTGCACGTGGATATTTTGACCACTTAGAGGCCTTCGTTGGAAAAGGGTTTTTTTCATGTAAGGCTAGACAGAAGAATTCCCAGTAACTTCCTTGTGTTGTGTACATTCAACTCACACAGTTGAACGTTCCCTTAGACAGAGCAGATTTGAAACACTCTTTTTGTGCAATTGGCAAATGGAGATTTCAAGCGCTTTAAGGTCAATGGCAGGAAAGGAAATATCTTCGTTTCAAAACTAGACAGAATCATTCTCAGAAACTGCTCTGCGATGTGTGCGTTCAACTCTCAGAGTTTAAATTTTCTTTTCATTCAGCAGTTTGGAAACACTCTGTTTGTAAAGTCTGCACGTGGATAACTTGACCACTTAGAGGCCTTCGTTGGAAACGGGTTTTTTTCATGTAAGGCTAGACAGAAGAATTCTCAGTAA